>NC_000017.11:15036565-15339595 GCF_000001405.40 Homo sapiens | reverse complement strand
ATAAAATGTTTACCCAGTATGAAGCCAACTTTTGGATAGCAAATGGAGCTTTCCGGTTCTTAAAATCTCTGTGTGATTGATTCTATATTTAGTATGTTAATATTTATGGAAGACTATTGTAGCATTTTTTTCAGTATGTAAATAACAGTTGACTGTAAATTAAGTGCACCTAGTCAAACATTGTATTTGACTTTGTAGCCCATGTCTCATTTCTTAAAATTCTGTTTGGGCACATGTCTTAGTTTTCTGCTGCTATAACAGAATACCAGAGACTGGGTGATTTATAAAGGCGGAGATTTATTGGGCTCACAGTTCTGGAGGCTAGGAAGTCCAAGATCCAGGGGCTACATCTGATGGGGGTCTTCTTGCTACATCATAATATGGCAGAAGGACAAGTGAATGAAAGAGACAGAGACAACGGGGGTGAATTTATTATTTTATCAGGAGCCCACTTCTGTGATAACTAATCCACTCCCACAATAATGGCATTATTCCATTCATGAGGTCAGACCCCTTATAACATAATCACCTCTTAAAAGTCTCACCTCTTAATACTGCACAATGGTAATTAAATTTCAACTTGAGTTTTAGAGGGAAACATTCAAACCAAAACATCATGATTAAATGTATAATAAGCAGTTGCCTAATTTAGGGGATTTTTCCATAGCTATTTTCAGTCATTTTTCCAAAGAATTTGCTGTTTCTTTGCAAGTATGAGATATTTATAGCATCGGTTAATGATCTTAGTATGTGCTGCACATGCTCTCTTAAGAATTGACTGGCTGGGCGCGGTGGCTCACGCCTGTAATCCCAACACTTTGGGAGGCCGAGGCTGGCAGATCACGAGTTCAGGAGATCGAGACCATCCTAGCTAACACGGTGAAACCCGTCTCTACTAAAAAAAAAAAAAAAAAAAAAAAAAAATTAGCCAGGTGTGGTGGCAGGCGGCTGTAGTCCCAGCTACGCTGGAGGCTGAGGCAGGAGAATGGCGTGAACCCAGGAGGCGGAGCTTGCAGTGGCGCCATCTTGGCGCCACTGCACTCCAGCCTGGGGGACAGAGCGAGACTCCATCTCAAAAAAAAAAAAAAGAATTGACTGAGTTAGAATTTAGAGAGTAAGTTAATCATTGTGAAAGATGCGCACCACCAAAGTAAGCCATAGGCTTTTAAAAACTGAGGTATTTCTTCCTTAAAAGTTTGGTAGAATTCACCAGTGAACCCATTGGAGCTTGAAGTTTTCTTTGAGGAAAGTTTTTAAACTGTAGATTCAATTTTTAAAAAATACTACAAGGCTACTCAGGTTTTCTAACTCTTCTTTAATCAGTTTTGGTTATTTGTATCTTTCAAAAATTTTGTCCATTTCATCTATGTTGTCAAATTTCTTGCCATAAAGTTGTTAGTAATATTGCTAAATATTGTATTAACCAATATTTTGTTTACTTGCTCTATGATTTACTAACAGACAAACGTTGAAATATTGAAATATAATGTGGATTTGTCTATTTCTCATTTTAGTTCTGTCAATTTTTGCTTTAGGTGTTGAAAGTTAGGTAAATGATTACATAAACATTTAATATTGCTATATCTCCTTGACTGATCCCTTTATCCTTATTTTTCTCTTTATCTCCGATAATATTTCTTGTTTAGAAGTCTACTTGATTTGATATTAATATAGCCACTTCTGTATTCTTTTGATTAGTGTTTAAACAGTCTATCTTTTCTCATACTTTTATTTATTTCTTTTTTCTTTTCTCTTGAGATGGAGTCTCACTCTGTCGCCCAGGCTGGAGTGCAGTGGCATGATCTCGGCTCACTGCAACCTCCGCCTCCCAGGTTCAAGCAATTCTCTGCCTCAGCCTCCTGAGTAGCTGGGATTACAGGCAACTTCCACCATGCCCGGCTAATTTTTGTATTTTTAGTGGAGTTGGGGTTTCACCATCTTGGCCAGGCTGGTCTTGAACTTCTGACCTCGTGATCCACCAGCCTCAGCCTCCCAAAGTGCTGGGATTACAGGCGTGAGCCACCGTGCCCAGCCCATATTTTTATTTTTAACTTATTTGTGTTTTATATTTAAAGTGAGATTTTTCCTGGACAGCTTATAGTTCAATATTGCTATTTAAAAACGATTTCTAATAATCTGTGCCTTTTAATTGGATTGTTTAATTATCAGCATAGTTGGATTTGTATCATTTTCCTGTTTTTTCTTTGTCTTATTTTTGGTTCTCTTTTCTCTTGGAATAATTATGAGTCTTTTTTGTCTTCCATTTTTTTCCTTCATTATTGGTCAAAACTCTTGTTTTTTAGTCTTAGATATTGCTCCAGCTCAGTGGTTCAAAAACATTTTTATCTCAGGACACCTTTACATTCTTAAAAATATTGAGGACCTCAAAGAGCTTTTACTTATGTGGATTATATCTATTGTATTTATTATACTAGAAATTAAAAACTATAAATTATTTTAAAATAACCATAATAATCCATTATACATTAACATAATGTTTTTATTAAAACATTTATTTTTATTATTTTTTTTCTGAAACAAAAAATAATTTAGTAAGAAGTATTTAGTATTGTTTTATATTTTTGGCAAAGTAATTTTTAGCTTAGTAGCTGGGCTCTCATCCTCATTCAGCCTGTTGTGATAGTATGTATCATGTCACCTCTGAAAAGCTCCATTGTAAATTTGTGAGAAAGGCAAATAGCATCTGAGTATTTACTATGAAAACAATTTTGACCATTTCACCTCCAAAGAGGTCTTAGGCATACCCATGGGTCCTTAGTTTACATTTTGAGAACTGGCTATTCTAAAGTTTGCAATACATATTTTTAACTTATCACAGTATATGTTTAAATGACATTATTTCACTTCAGTTATAAGACCCTTATAATCTAATATGGCCATCTAAGCCCTCCTATCATTTGTGCTATGGCTACCATATAATTTACTTCTATTTTATTAATGCCACAATTTTTTATTTTTAGTTTAAATAATGATCTTTTAAAGAAATTTGAAAGTTAGAAAGATTTTTTTTTTTCTTATTAGCACACATGCTTACCATTTCTGACATTTTTATTTCTTTGTGTGGATCCAAGTTTCCATCTGGTATAATTTCCTTTTGCCTGAAGAATTTCCTTTAACAATTCTCTTATTGCAGGTCTGCTGCTGATGAATTCTTTTGGATTTCGTTTTTATGAAAAGATTTTATTTCACCTTCATTTTTTGAAGGATATTTTCACTAGATATAGAATTTGAGGCTTACACTTTCTTCCAGCCCTTTTAAAATGTTGTTTGTCTTCTGGTTTGGGTAGTTTCTGACAATAATTCAGCACTAATTCTTATCTTCGTTCTTTTTTTCCAAATATGTCCTTCCTGTCTGATTTTCAAATTTTCTCTCTATCCCTGGTTTTCAGCATTTTGATTATGAGCCTTGGAGTGGTGGTGGCAGCAGGGGGTTGTGTGTGTGCACGTATGTGTGTGTGTGTGTGTGTGTGTATTCTTGGAGTTTGTGGAGCTTCTTGACCTAGGTATTTATAGTTTTCAGCAAATTTGGGAAATATTCAGCCATTATTTCCTCAAATATTTTTGTCTCTCTACTTTTTTTTATGGCACTGCAAAACCTTAATATTAGAACCTTTGCTATTGCACCATAGGTTACCAAGGTGCTTTTAATTTTCTTTTTTAGTTAAAAAAAAAGTCTGAGCTCACTAATTTCTAATGTGCTGTTAATCTCATGTAGTGAAGTTGTGCAAGTATATATTGTATGTTTTATTCCTGAAGTTTATTTGGTTCTTCTCCAGTCTTCCATTTCTGTCTTCTCAATGTCCTTGTATCAAATACTTGTATGTAGTTTACTAGTTCCATCATCTCTGCCATTTCTAGGCCTCCTTCCATTGACTGATTTTTCTTTAGGGGTTACATTTTTGAGCTCCTTATTATGTCTGGTCATTTTTGACTGGATGCTGGACATTGTGATGTTACATATTGGAGTGTCTTGATGTCAGGTAGTTAAGTTACTTGTGGATTAGCTTGATATCTTTGAGACCTGTTTTCAAGCTTTGCTAGAGTGAGTCTTCATTACCTTCACTCCAGGTATAGTTCAGCCCTACCTCTAACGTGTGGCCTCTCTAGTGTCTCCCTTGAATGCTCCAGGTGATTGTCAATGACCCTCCAATCTAGTTAGTCTGTGTTCATAATGTATCTCCACCCTCTGTAAGTTCTAGAAATTGTTCAGCTAACAGCTCTGCCATCACTCTTTGCCAAGGTTTGTGGAGTGTTCCTTGATGCATATGCAGCCTATTCTCAGCAAAGACTCACAAAGATCCCTTTGTAGATTTCTGGATCTCTATTTCGGCATAGCTCACTTTATTCCAGAAACCTGCTCTACAATTTCTAGCTTTCTCAGCCTCCCTGAATTCTGATCACTTTCTCAACTCACAAAAGCTGCCAGGCTCTGTTCAGTTTTCATGTTTTTTCTCATTGTCTGAAAATTGCCTTTAGGCACAATACCTTGACAATCAGAGGGCTCACCTTATTTGTTTCCCTTCTCTCAAGGATCAGAGCCTATGATGCCTGTTGTCTGAGGTCTGAATGCAGTTGTTTCATATATTTTGTCTAGATTTTTAGATATAAGAGGCTAAGTCTGGTTTTTATTATTCTGTCATGGTTGGAGGTAGAAATCAGTTTTCAGTTTTTAAGTATTTCTTAGTTCATGACAGTCTTGGTTTTCTTGACCATTAATGGCCCAAAATGCATGACAGTGGAATATTTTGGTGAAACCATCCCCACGTGATGTCTTTTATTCAGTCTTCCTGAATGGCTTACAAGATGGCTGGTGGAGCTAGAACTTCAGGTGTGGCTGTAAAATATTCTCTCCATATGAAACTGACTGCCGTACATGAGGAGTTCTACTTCTGTGATCTGTAAACCACTATGCTTTATGCTTTAGATTCCAGATTCTAAGACAAATCTCACCTCTAATTAAAAAACACATCACCAGGTGCTTTTGTAAACTATATTTGTTTTTCTCAGTCCACATATCTCATCTGGTGTGTAAACCTCTGCATCTTCAGATATCACCCCTGGAGCAGATGACTCACATTTCAAACATGGGTTGAGACGTCTCAAGATGCCTATATAACAAATGCTGGGAAAACTCACGTGGCATTCTACACGTGAAATTCCATGGTTGAAGGATGAAGTGAGCTATTGGTTTCTGGATCTCTTATTGTCAAGAATTAAGCAGGCTGGGCATGATGGCTCATGCCTGTAATCCCAGCACTTTGGGAAGTTGAGGTGGGGGATCACTTGTGGCCAGGAGTTTGAGACCAGCCTGGGCAACATAGTGAAACCTGCTCATCTCTACTAAAATAAATAAATAAAAGTAGCCAGGCATGGTGGTGTGTGTTTGTAGCTCCAGCTACTTGGGAGGATTGCTTGAGCCTAGGAGTTCAAGGCTGCAGTGAGCAGTGATCATGCCACTGCATTCCAGCCTGGGCAACAGAGCAAGATTCTGTCTCTGAAAATAAAATAAACCAGCTGGGCGTGGTGGCTCACACCTGTAATCCCAGCACTTTGAGAGGCCGAGGTGGGTGGATCACAAGGTCAGGAGATCCAGACCATCCTGGCTAGCATGGTGAAACCCCGACTCTACTAAAAATACAAAAAAATTAGCCGGGCATGGTGGCGGGCACCTGTAGTCCCAGCTACTCGGGAGGCTGAGGAGGCAGGAGAATGGTGTGAACCTGGGAGGCAGAGCTTGCAGTGAGCCGAGATCATGCCACTGCACTGGAGCCTGGGCGACAGAGCGAGACTCTGTCTAAAAAATAAAAATAAAATAAAATAAAATAAAATAAAATAAAATAAAATAAAATAAACCAAAGCCAAGTAGGAGTGGTCCATCACCACTTGAAGTTTCTTGCTAGAAATAAACCAGATTATTTATTGATCTGACATAGGGAAGGGGTTGGAACTAAAGACAACTTTAAGGACCCTAATGCCTCAGTACTTTAAATTTCCTTTTTCAAAAAGTAATGTTTAAGTTTCAAATTGAAGCAAAGAACTGCAAATGGTAACTAAGGCTTTTGTTTTTACCATCAGTCTGTAAGTTTGGCCAGTATAACACGTTTGGGGGCCGTAGGAAGGAAGAATTTAGCAGAAAGAGAACTAGGGTTCTATAAGCACAGGGCCACGGGCAGCTATTTTATCATGTGATCTGTGTGGATTTTGACTTGAACGCAATTCTACAGATAGATTATTTTGTACTTGGGTACCAAAGTCCTCAAGACATAGCTATTTAAGTAGTCACTAAAGAATTTTTATTTTTCTGAGCAGTGCATAGAATTGGATCTGATTGTAGTTTTGCTTTTTAGTAAAAAAGTCCATAGACATTAACCCCAAAACAGAATGACATTTAAATGCTAAAAGATACGTAGTGGTCTGTGGCATCCTTGGCTTTCTGGAATAATAACGACCAAAAGTTTCAGACAATGGAACTGGTAAAAAGAATGAAGTAGATCTGTATGTTCTAACAGGGGGAGTGGCCCAGAAAATATACTTAAGTTAAAAAAAAAAAAAAGATCTACAATGATATATCAAATGATTAGGATAATTCAGTTTTTGTATTAAAAAGCTTTGTATATAGGTATAGATGGTATATAGGTAGAGGTATATAAAATATAAATAATACACATGTTGGTATATGAATAGGAAAAATCTGGAAAGATACAACTATTAATGAACTATTTAGTGGCTACTTCTGAGGAGTTCACCTTTGCGGGGAGGAAGGATATTTTTCTTTTACTTTATCTACTTCTCTGAGGTAGCAATTTAAAAAGTTAAGATCTATTGCACACTTTCTATGTGTCCGACACTCTGCTAATCCTTCTAAATACATAGCATTGTCTTAGCCCTCATAACCCCATGGCTTCCCTAGGATTTCTGTTATACATTCGAGGTGCTTACAGGTTGTAGGTTGCCAGGAAAGGAGATCCAGGTACTTGCCTCGAGCTGCGTTTGCATATCAACCACACCATTGTCATCCAGATGGAGTGTTTATTTAGGATGACTTGTGGGGGCAGGGGCGGGGAGTTGCCAAGCAATTCCCTGCTGCTACCACTGCTCACAACAGTCCAAAGAAGGAAGTGCTATTATTATTCCCTATTATTTCTAAGTGAAGCAACCGAGGCACAGAGAGGTTAAGTAATTTACCCAGTGTCACATAGCTAATAAATAGGTGGGCTCACCTTGTTTCTCTTTTCTCATGGCTCAGAGTCCTGTGCTGTCCATTGTCCAATGTCTGAAATCAGTAGTTTCTTGTCTAGATTTTTAGATATAAGAGGCTAAGTCTAGTTTTTATTAGTCTATCATGGTTTGAGACGGAAATCTATTTATTTATTTATTTATTTTTTAGACGGAGTCTCTCTGTAGCCCAGGCTGGAGTGCAGTGGTGCGATCTCAGCTCATTGCAATCTATCTGCCCCCCACCCCCGCCACCAGGTTCAAGCGATTCTCCTGCCTCAGCCTCCTGAGTAGATGGGATTACAGGTGCCTGCCACAACAGCTGGCTAATTTTTGTATTTTTAACAGAGACGACATTTCGTCTTGTTGGCTAGGCTGGTCTCGAACTCCTGACTTCAAGTGAGAAATCTATTTTGAATCCCTATCCGTTAAGATGCATAGTTTAGGCTCCTAATTTGAATTTGTTACAACAAGACAATATTACTCTCATAATTTTCACAAAAATTCAAAAGTCCAAATGGCCAATAAAAATGTGATCTTTATACATTCTAGAGACATAGAGATTAAAAAAAAACTTTGTTGGAATATATTATCAATGGTGAATGTGGATAACAAATGAGAACAAGCATCTAATGTGTTCGGGGCCTCTGCAACTGATACTAAGTCAGATGTGGCCTTTTATCTGTATGTTTCACCAGAGATTATTTTATGTGACTGTCTTATTTTACTTTTTATTTTTTAACAGGAGAGATTTACAAATAGTGTTTTGGCATCATGGAACGTGTAGGTTGTACTTTAACGACAACTTACGCCCACCCTAGACCAACACCAACCAACTTTCTACCAGCCATCAGTACCATGGCCTCAAGCTACAGGGACCGCTTTCCCCACTCCAATTTGACCCATAGCCTGAGCCTTCCTTGGAGACCCAGCACATACTACAAAGTCGCCTCCAATTCCCCAAGCGTGGCCCCGTACTGCACCAGATCACAGAGGGTGTCCGAGAATACCATGCTTCCCTTTGTTTCCAACAGAACCACTTTCTTCACAAGATACACACCGGATGACTGGTACAGGTCCAATTTAACCAACTATCAAGAGTCCAACACTTCCCGACATAATTCGGAGAAACTAAGAGTGGATACATCTCGCCTGATTCAAGACAAATATCAACAAACAAGAAAAACTCAGGCAGACACAACCCAAAATCTGGGAGAACGTGTCAATGACATAGGGTTTTGGAAATCTGAAATCATTCATGAGTTGGATGAAATGATTGGAGAGACAAATGCACTTACTGATGTGAAGAAAAGACTGGAGCGGGCTTTGATGGAGACTGAAGCCCCTCTTCAGGTAAGACCTTATGATAGAACACACTGAATTTTTATGATTATAACCCACTGGTTGAGTTACTGTGGTTATTTATTTATTGACTTATGTTTTACTTCATCTGTTGAAGCCAACCCCCTATCAATAAATCTGTGACTGTTTTCAGCAATGGCAAAACCACTGCCTATTTTTTTTTTAAATGCATTATATACTTTAAGAACAACCACTTTAAGAGGTAATTCTGAATGCAAAGCAAAGAAGACCAATTAAATAGACACCATTAGGACACACAATGTTTTAAGGTGAACACGCCATCTGTATTCCGCCATTCTCACATTGCTATAAAGAAATACCTGAGACTCAGTAATTTATAAAGAAAAGAGGTTTAATTGGCGCCTGGTTCTACAGGCTGTACAGGAAGCATAATGGCTTCTGCTTCTGGGGAGCCCTTAGGAAGCTTCCAATCATGGCAGAAGGCAAAGGAGGAGCAGGTATCTTAAATGAAGGGTCCAGGGGCAAGAGAGAACGGGGGAGGGTGCCACACACTTTTAAACAACCAGATCTCCAGAGAACTCATTCACTATCCTGAGAACAGCGCCGAAGGGACGGTGCTAAACCATTCATGAAGGATCTACCCCCACGATCCAATCACCTCCCACCAGGCCCCACCCCCAACATTGTGGATTACAATTTGACTTGAGATTTGTGCAGGGACACAGATCCAAACCATATGACCATCTTATCTCTTAAATAGGCTGCTTCATCATTGCTGTCACTAAATTAAAATAAACAATATTTGAGACCAAAACCTTTATTTTTTTAGTCTGTATCATGAAACGCCTCCTGTATATATGTTATGATTCCCTTTTAGGATGTAGTGACATCATCAAATGAGACCATCTTAGGGCATGGAATTTGCTTGATTAAATAGAAAAATGGTGCTGAGATTGGCCAGTTGCCATAGTAATGTAGGGAGCATTTCAGTTGGTTACTGGCCTCTGACCAGGCTTCTGAATGGGCTCAGGTCACCTCTAACCCTCAGGCTATGCGATGGGCCCTCCAACCCCATTCCACCCTCCTCCATTGAAAGAAGACATTCCATGTTTGAAGATGTGCAAATTATACAAATTATTTTAGAAGTATACATTTTGATGAGCACAGCTAGCACCATTTTTCCTCATGTTTGCATGACTTATTCCCATGTGATGAGCACTTGCTGTAGTTCTCTACCACAGCATCTGTAGTAGAAGAGTTTAGAGAATCAAGGAGCTGAAAGTCTGGTGAGCGGAGGAGTTTCTTGGGGCACCCTGCGCACTGTCACTTCCTACTGCAACCCCTCCCCGCTGTACAAAAACACATACAGAGGCACACAATCCCCAGGAATCCTGAGAATGGCTGATAGTTCACTAATGATCTTTTTGAATTAATTCATCATAAATTTTTGTTTAGAATCAGAAGGGCTTCTACGCCTTCCCTGAGCATCAGATTACTCTGAAGTATTGGTTTATTCTACAGTTCTTCCTACCCTTGACTGCCTTTAAGAATTGAAAATATCCTTAAAATGATAGCTACTTTCTTAATTTCCAGTGGAGATTCAGTTTCTTCTCTTAGTAACCCTTTCAGTGATGACTACTTTCAGAAAGATGGTTCTAATTTGAATTTTTTCTGCAGTTTTTGTCCAGATGTTCTTGTGTGTTTGAAAATTTATTGTCAACACAGTATTAGAGGGTCCTTTTTAAATTGAGTCACATGAACAGATAAGCCTCCAAAGAGAAAATATAGGCGATCAACAAATATAAGAAAAAATGTTAAAGCTTAATGATAAAATACAAATTAAATCAATGAAATAACTACCTTTGGCCTATCAAATTTGCAATAATGAAAATGCATGACATTTAGAGCTGGCGTAAGAGCAGCAAATGGGCACTTTCATATATTACTGGTGGGGCTATGGATTGGTAGAAATTTCCTGGGAAGCAGTTTGGTAATACATATCAAAATAATCAGAGTTCCCCTCTACCCGTTAATTCTTCTTCTGGTAAGTGATACTATTAAACAATTAGAGATTCACTTAAAGTTTTTGTTCAGTGATAGTATATCTGGATTATAGTATACATACCATTATATTTTATGCTTTTAAAAATTTAATATTATTTGGGAGTCCTATGTTATGGAATAGTCTTCGAGAAAAGCATTTTAACTGCTACATAATGTTCTTTCATACATAATTTATTGTTAGAAATTTAAGCTGTTTTCCATTAGAGCCACTAACATACTTTATCTCAAAGAATATTTCATGATTTGGGTCTACTGTTTAATGTCAATACTAAAAAGCATAATATAAAGTTGTGAGAACATTATAACCTCTATCTTGTTAAGACGAACAAAGTAGTAATAGGAGTATGGCTAAATCATATTTTCTACTTTTCTATATTTTTTCTCTTTAGTGAGTAAAGGCATATTATTTTGATAATTGGGAAAACAATCAATGACACTTTAAAAATAATCACTGGGACTTTTGGCAACACAAAAATTTTGATGTTTTTAAAGATAATCATTCATTTCTTCCTATTCTCAGTAGAAAATATTTAGAAATAATATCTTGAAGACTTGTGTCTCATGTTACTGAACTATCTCACCTGAAGAAAGTAATGCCAACTAATGCCCTCAAATGCTAATTTGCGGGGATCAAGTAAATGCCATCTACTTCATTTTGTCAACTTTCCAAGATAGGAATATTTTCAAACTATTTTGAAGAGCTACCTCTTTACCTTTTAACTAGCAGCAGAGATTCATTTAGTTGTTACAGTCTGTTTCAGGCTAGATTTTCACAAAAGGGCTGGAAAAGTTGGTATTGGGAGTATCTATTGACTTATTTTTGAAACAAATTATTAGAGCTGCTAGTCATGGATTGTCAGTTTTTATTAGTGCTTTCCATTATCTGTGTATCTGTAGGTAGCCCGAGAATGTCTATTTCATCGAGAAAAGAGAATGGGAATCGACCTAGTTCACGATGAAGTTGAAGCACAACTGCTGACGGTAAATGTGGGGGAAATGCATCAGTCACAGGCAGCTTAGTTGTAAATGTATGTTGAATATGTAGAAGCAAAAAAGGATGTTACATAAAATGACTTATAAGTAAAGCATTATCGTATCAGATGCTGATAGCATTTAGCAAAGACATGTTTTTCTTGGTTATAACATATATTCAATGAGAATATGAAAATGCAAACGAGTAAATAAAGATGAAAATCACTTGAAGCTTTATTAGACAGAAATCACTATTAATTTTGGAGTATTTCAGTCTTTTTATTAATCATGCTTTTTTTTCTACCATTCCGTTGCATCTTTTTATTAATCATTCTTAGATAGGCACCACCTAACTCACACAATGATGCTCAGATATGTCTCCAAGATTCAGATCATTGTATTTATAAATTTGAATAGGGTATACTCATTTAAAATTATATTGGGGTAATTTTTACCATATCATTAGATACTTTTTTTTTTTTTTGAGACAGAGTCTTGCTCTTATCGCCCAGGCTGGAGTGCAATGGCACAATCTCGGCTCACTGCAACCTCTGCCTCCTAGGTTCAAGCAATTCTCCTGCCTCAGCCTCCCAAGTAGCTGGGATTACAGGCACCTGCCACCATGCCTGGCTAATTTATGTATTTTTAGTAGAGATGGGATTTCGCCATGTTGGCCAGGCTGGTCTTGAACTCCCAACCTCATGATCTGCCTGCCTCAGCCTCCCAAAGTGCTGGGATTACAGACTTGAGCCACTGCACCCAGCCTGGATATTCTTTTAAGACATGATTTTTAATGGTTAGGCAGTGTTCTACAATGTAAAGGTGCTATCTTTTTTTTTTTTTTCAATCAATCATCTCTTATATAGTTAGGTTGCTTCCCTATCCCACTCCTTTGTTTTCCTATTTTAATAGCACTGCAGTATACAAAAATATTATTACTGATAACTGTAGTTACTCCTGATTATTTCTTTAGAATATATTTTGGGAAGTGTAATTGTTGTGCCAAAGGTTCTATGCATTTGAAAGCTTTTGATATGTAGCCAAATTGCCATCCAGAAACTTACAGTTGCATCTGCACTACTCTGCTGATCTCCCGCTAATCTCTCTTCCACCTTCCACCAATTAAATCTGGTTTAGTTCTAATTTCTCTGATCTTCACTTCTTAGACTTGCTACCACAGATCTCTATCATTTCTTAAGATTTCAAGTATCATGTACCTGGAGCCCTTCCCAATCTCTTTTTTCAGCCCAGGCACTTTATAAAGCATTAGTTCTTCATTCCTAAGTACTTGCCAAACATTTTTTAGCTTGGTAACTTTTTTTCTTCTGGTTCACATTCATAAAGCCTGCTTAGCCTATTGCCTGTCCCTTTCTATTGATGGTACCAGTGTTCCTTCATCACCATGGCTTGCTGCCCGTTGTCTCCCAAACTCCTTTAATCCATTTCCAGCTCTTTAAAAAAATACCTGGTTGATAAGAAATTCCAAAGCACCTTTCCTTCCCCAAGTTTCCCTTGGATCTATCCTATACATTCTCATGAGTTTCTTCCCTCTGCTATGAACTCTTCCTTGACTCCCTAATTTCTGCAGGAGAAAAATCCACTAAGGCCTCTCTTGTCTGACTCCCTCCTCATTTCTCAGCTTCATTTCCCTGTCTAATTTCACAGAATTTCTGCTGCAGTGAATCCATCTTCTCTGTCCCTGCACAAGCTTTGCAGGGTCACACCTCTTCGCCTCTTTTTAATTGGTCCTTGGTGAGAATTGAGTCCTTGGTAGGAAAGTAAGTATGACAAGGTAGCAGCCGAGTCCTCAGAGTAGTTTTATCCCCACACGGCATCAACACCCTGCTTTAACATCACTTACATTTTCTTAGTGACCCATGACATTAAAGATGACAAGCAGACTTTTTTCTTTGCTCTTTCCTTTCCTCTACTGTCTGGTTCTCTGAGAGAACTCTGAGTTGAAATAATATACTCAGGAAAGCTTTGGCTACTACAGAAAGGTTTTGTAATCTACTGTAAAAGTCACTGTCCCTATTGCCGGACAGGAGTGGTTAGAAATAGAACATTCTGAATGAAATAGTTTTGCAGTGATGGGTCTCCACTCTTCTGTTTCTTCTTTCCCAGGCTTTGATGAATCTCACAAGCCTTAAAATAATCTGTCACCTACTTTGTCATCCTAACTGGATAGGAATTTACCATCATCTCTCCTGTGGTCTTTTGTTCTCACTAATCCTGAGATGTTCTGTATGAAATAAATTACAAGGCAGTTCTAACAGCTTAACTTCATCACCTTGCCCACAAACACACTATGATATTTCCAACAGATTTTTTTTGGTACTTGGCTACATTTAGTGTTTCCATTACTTGAGTAGTGGCTCTCAAACCTGACTACATGTTAGAATCACCTGGCAAAGATTTTAAAAATATCAATGGCTGGGTCCCACACCCAGAGATGCTGATTCAAATCTGCAGTGGGGACTAGGCATTGATCTTTTTAAAATATCCCCCAGGTAATCTTAATGACTAGGCAGAGTAAAGAACAAGTGCCTCAGAAATTCAAAATATTGCTGAAAGAAATTAAAGATGACCTAAATAAATGGGCATATCATGTCTATGGATGGGAACATCCATAAACATGGATGTTCGTGTTAAGATGGCAATATTTCTCAACTAGATTCATAGACTCAACACAATTCCTATCAAAATCCCAGCTGACTTCTTTGTAAAAATTGGTGAGCTGATCCTAAAATTCATATAGAAATTCAAAGGATAGTGAATAGCCAAAATAATATGGAAAAAGAAGAAAGTTGGAGGACTCACACCTCCTGATTTCAACACTTACTATAAAGCTGCAATATGTAAGACAGTGTAGTACCTGCCTAACAATGGACACAATTTGAGAGTTGAGAAATAAACCATCACATTTACCATCTATTGATCTTTGACAATGATGCCAAGGCAATGCAATGGGAAGAGTGTCTTCAACAAATGGTATTTGGACAATTGGATATCCACATGCGAAAGAATGAAGTTGGATTCCAAATCAAACATACAAAATAGTTAAGTCAAAAGGGATCAAAGACCTATACATAAGAGCTAAAACTGTAAGACTTTTAGAAAAGAACATAGGCATGAATATTCGTGACATTGGAATAGGCAACAGTTTTTTAGATGTGATATCAAAAGCACAAACAACACAAGGAAAAGCAGATAAACTGGACATCATCAAAATTAAAAATGTATTTTGAAGAACACTAGCAACAAAGTGAAAAGAGTTGTATGTAGAATATATAAATAACTGTCACAATTAAAAAAAATCAACCCAATTAAAAATGGGCAAAGGATCTCACAATGAAATATGACTTCATACCCATGAGGATAGTTCTAATAAAAAATATAGAAAATAACAAGTTGGCTGGAATGTGGAGGAATTAGAACCCTAATACATTGCTGATGGGAGTGTAAAATGAGGCAAATCCTTTGGAAAATGCTTAAGCATGAATGACCCTGTATGATCCATAGGATCCAGTAGTTCTACTCCCAAGCATCATTCCAGGAGAAAAGAAAACATATGCCCAAACAAAAATTTGTGCATGGATATTTATAACAACATTATTCATAGCAGCCAAAAAGTAGAAACAACTCAAATGTCTATCAGCTGATGAATGGAAAAGTAAAATGTAAGATAGTCATACAACAGGTTATTCTGCCAAAAAAAAGGAATGATGTGCTTATCTGTTGCTATAACATGGATGAATATTGAAAACATTATGCTACATGAAAGAAGCCATCACAAAGGACCACATATGGTAATTCCATTTATATGAAATTTCCAGAATAGGGAAATCTATAGAGACTATAAGTAGGTTTGTGGTTGCTTATTATGAAAGGAGGCTTGGGGGATTGGAAATTGTGGGTGACAGCTAATGGGCACATGATTTCTTTGGAAGGTAATGGAAATGTTTTAAATTTGGTTCCGGTGATGATTATACAACTCGGCGAATGTACTAAAAACCATCAAACTGCACACTTTAAACAAGTGAATTATATGGTCTATGAATTATATCTCAACAAAGCTGTTTCTTAAAAACAAGAACCACTGCATTAGAGGTTTCTAGTTTCTAGGTCAGTAGCAGGGGGGTCCTTTATCTCAAAAACCTGACAGTGGTGGCTTTATCTCAAAAAACTGAATGTGCAATTAGAGTAATGGTTCATGAATTGAGGGAGGAGCTTCGGTCATTGCCAGTTAATTCAAGTAGTGAATGCATTCTGTGGCTTACTCAAGGTATTGATATTGGCATATGTTTTATTTTTTACCAAAGTAGGTCTTAATTTTTAGAATAATTAAATGTGTATTAGCAAAGGAAAGAAGTAGCCTTAAAAGACCTACCTTTGAAAAACATGGATGCAACGAAATATTTTCTTATGAATTCTGCTGAATTCTGTTGACTATTACGTTCAGTCGGTGATAATTGATAAATTCTTACAGGATGGCTTCTGTTGGGGAGGCAATCATGGTACTATCTTCTTAGCACTCCCAGACCGTACTGACTCCTTGGACTTTGGAGCCAAATGAACCTGCAAAGTCATCTACCCTGCAGCCTGCCCTGGTCTGGCTCTGGGATGGGGACTGAGACAGCTGCTCAGAACTCAGGCTGGGGCTCTGGGCCTGGCCCCAGCTGGCCAGTTTCCTTCCCACAAGAGGCTTTTCCTTCCTCCATGCTGCAGAAGCAGAAAGCAAAAATACTCCAGCCTCAGACGTTTGTTGAGAATGCAACCAATGAGTTCCAGAGATGTCAGACCTGCTGCTGGAGAGACGTTTCAGCATTTCAGCCCAGTCCAGTCCAAGGCGGTTCTCCTCTAAGGACAGGATTGAATAGAAATCCTGCAACCAGCACGGAAAGAGGATCTGGGTGGGCTCTCACCCCCAGCAATAAGAACTATACTCCTCACCTAGGTTTCTGCCTCTAAGCAGGTTGTGGGACCAGAAGCTTCTCACAAGCAGCCATGCCAGAAAGGGTAGCTGATGGGTCATCTTGGCTGAACTCAGGAATAAATACTGAGAATGCAGATCTCTAATGAAAGGAAATGCCTCTGCTCACTATACTCAAGGATAAGTGAGAAGACAAGAATATTTGGTGAATCTATCATTAAAAAGCATTGTATGTGGAAATGAAATATCTGCACCTATAGGTGGTATTTGCTTATTAGCTAGATTCAATTCAGGCTTGCAGCTTGACTTTGAAGATTTGATTTCAGTAGCCCATTCACCTGTTAGACAGGAGGTTTACCCACTTTCCCAAGATGTAAAAAGACTCAGTTAACACAGGTAAATAGAACCACATATAAAGCCTCAACCTGTGGGAGCAGGGTCTGGGTTTAACAAGGACATCCAAGTAATGATTTTATATCCACAACTCAGGCCACAGCGCGGGGTCAGCACTCATCCACATTTGTGGCTGCAACTCAATGTTTCTGTGATGTGGTGCATATTCCTCAGCTGACAGTATAGCAGAGCCCACATCTTACATGAGGATTCAGTTCTAAAGTCATGAAAATCACCCATGTTACAATATTACGAGACCTAATACTTAACTGAACACTCAGCATCTACTAGGCACATAATTATCTACCCAATAGCCTGGAAAGATGGGTATTATTACCATTAGTTTATTACTTGCCTCTGGTCAGGTTTAGCAAGTAGCAAAGACATGTGAACCAGGGCTGTCTGACGCCGAAGCTTGTGGCTTTTGTTAACATTTTAATTTTGTAAAAAATGTGTATATATTCATGGGGTACAAGTGCGATTTCACTTCATTGATACATTGCACTGTGGTGAAATCAGGACCTTCAGAGCATCTATCACTGGAGCAACGCACATTTAACCACCAAGCAACCTCCCAACATCCCACCCTCCTCCCTCCCCTCCTTTGAGTCCCACTATTCATCATTCCACACTCTCAAGGCATATGTTTTCAGCCACTGTTCCAGCCAAGACCTGGGAGTGTGCACAAGAAGGGATTTTCACTTGAGGTGATGGGAAGTAAAAGGCTGTGAAGTCTCTATTCCACCTCCCCAAGCCCCACCTCCCAAGAGGTGAACTGTAACGACAGATGCTTCATGAACATTTCAGCCGCTCAAATAGTAGGATGCATTCAAGGTTCTTCAAGCAACTGGACATGATTCCATGTTTTGTTTTCATCCAAAGCCCCACAGATGAAACTGCATTTTAATCACTTTAGTCACTGCAATCTGAGAAGCTCAATGAAGTCAGTGTGACCCTGTAACTCATGGGGCCTGTAATTTCTCCCTAAGTCAGGGATCTGGAAATGTTGGACCCATTTTCCAGGCTCCTAAATGTACGGTTCACTTCCTTAGGTGTGAGGCAGCAGCCAGAGATCTAGTTAGATGAAGGCTCTTCCTACGCTTCTGCTTTCTGTGTGTATCCCCCACCTTTTTGCAACTTTCTTCTCTTGGGCAGGTGAGGGAATGCTTTGTCCTTCTTTTGCTGTATTGTGGTATTTCAAGGCCACCTCCATGTATGGGTACAGATGGAAGGATAAGTTAGCACTGGGGACAGTGCCAGAGGCCTTTGGCTTTGGGCTTTTTGTATTCTTGTGAACCCTTCTGCCTCCAACCATCTGGCATTCATCATATGACATTATTTAAATTCACATATAAAAATTATTGTTGGCCGGGCATGGTGGCTCACGCCTGTAATCTCAGCACTTTGGGAAGCCGAGGCGGGTGGATCACAAGGTCAGGAGATCAAGACCATCCTGGATAACATGGTGAAACCCCATCTCTACTAAAAATACAAAAAATTAGCCAGGCATGGTGGTGGGCGCCTGTAGTCCCAGCTACTCAGGAAGCTGAGGCAGGAGAATGGCGTGAACCCGGGGGGTGGAGCTTGCAGTGAGCCGAGATCGCGCCACTGCACTCCGGCCTGGGAGATAGAGCAAGACTCCATCTCAAAAAAAAAAAAAATTATTGTTGTAGGAATTTTTTACAGCAAGAGTCTCATTAAATGCATTTTTTTTCCCTCACTAAAAGTCCTAAGAATTTCCACTCTGTGCTTTGTGTACACAAGGGATAAAAACACAATTTGGGGTTTTAAATGGTCCTTTCTAAGCAGGACTCCATGCATCTTTTGTTAAAATTTCATCAAAGTACACACAGGTACACATACTCATGAGGCACTGAGAAAGATAAAAACTGAACACAAAAATACTAAGACTGATGCACAACCTACTGTGAGGCTGGGAAATCTTGCCTGCTTGTCAAGGCAGGGAGAATGTTGGTGTCAATGTGTGAAGGGAATTTAGCTCTTCCTTTATTCCATTAATTCAGATACCAAACAACCAGACAGTAGGGTGATCACTCTAGACATATTTGATATTTTTATACTAAACGATTAAACAATAAAAGAAGAACAATACATAGGTGAGTAATACTTCATATTGGAGTGGTGAAGGCCTTTATTGTCTAAGTAACAAAGGCAGAAACCAAAAGGAGATATATTTGATAGATTTGATATCATAGAAATCAGAAACATCTATATCAAAAGCACCACGCACATTTATAAAACCAAAGGCAAATTGATTAAAAAAATTGTGACATATATAACACAAAAGACTGAATTTTAAACATGTTTATAACCCTCACAAATGAAAAAGAAAAAATAAATGACAGAAAAAGTGGACAAGCATGTGAACAGGTAGTTGACACAAGCAAAAAAGGCAAATGGTGAACAAATGAATACTCATAATATCAGCTTGCAAATTTAGGCAGGTTTGCTGCTTTTGGTGGGGTGGTGGGGGTGTGGTTCCATCACACTGGTGAAGATGGAAAGGAGTAACAGTGGCCACTTGCTGGGCAAGACAAGAAAACACGTGTTCATTTGTTGTTGTAAATGAGTACCACTTTTCTGAAAGGCAATTTGGCTGTACTTGTCAAAACCTTGGAAAAAGGCATACTCTTCGGTGGTGTCTAAATATTGATCAAGGTCATTCATCACAGTACTTTTTAATGTCATGAGAAA
This sequence comes from Homo sapiens, assembly GCF_000001405.40. Classification (NCBI taxonomy): domain Eukaryota; kingdom Metazoa; phylum Chordata; class Mammalia; order Primates; family Hominidae; genus Homo; species Homo sapiens. Next base: position 15,319,959 of record NC_000017.11, on the reverse strand, counting down.
ATGTTCAAGTTTAAAATGTCCCAAAGCAGTATGCATAGTATGACAACTTTTTGGCTGAGAAAATGATAACAGTAACAATGTGCACTTTTCTAATGTGCATACATAATGTGCTACATTTTCTAACGTGCATAGAAATTTCAAGGGGGAAATAAATGTTGATTTAATAGTCTCTGACATGTTATGGGCTAGTGGATACATCCTAGCAGCATCAAAAGGCAACGTGTGTGGTCCAGTAGAGAGGCCTGGCTAGCACAGGTGTTTGTACAAGGACAGGAGCTGGGCTGCAGTACACAAGCAGGACCGGAGGGCGACCTCCCAGGGTGGAAGTCAGCCTCCATGTTTGGACCCAAGCACTGTCTTCTGGAGGATACATGTACTGCCAGAGAGAAGCTTCTTTTGGTTGTGCTTTTTTCCTCCCTGACTTACTTTGTCTTGGAAGAACAGCTGTTATAGAAGAAGCCGTGCATTTAAATTTGACCTTGTATATTACCAGAATTTTTTTTTTTTACTGTTTTAATTAAGGACAGGGATAAAAAGAGAGAAAAATCCTAAAATTTTAACCATGTCCCCACTTGTTCCATAATATAATTTCCCCATGGACCGACCTATGAAGGCTGCATCTTAGTCTGATATTTAGATTCCAGTATCATGGAGCATGTAGATAAATAAGTGGAAGCAAAATTGTTTTCTTGTTTAACTTCACAGTATTTTAAGAAACAAAATTTTCCTTCATTGATGTTTGTTACATTGTTGATTTTGAGTGTTATATTCAATAATGAAAACATTAATATGTTTTTTTTCCAATTGAGTAGGAAGTTGATACTATTCTGTGTTGTCAAGAAAGAATGAAGCTACATTTGGATAAGGCTATTGCCCAACTTGCGTAAGAGCTTTATGTCTCTATACAATTCAAAATCTATCATTGAACTATACTTTCATGCTCCTCATTGAAATTTCTCTTAATTTCTTATAAGGACACACACACAGGCATATACACATATTTTTATTCAAATGTTAAGATGATTACTTGATACCCCAGCTACTCTGATGTGATTCTTACACGTTGTATGCCTGTATCAAAATATCACATGTACCCCATAAATGTATATACCCATTATGTACCCATAAACATTTTTTAAAATAATACAAATAGACATTTTGGGAAATTAAGGCAGGAAAATCGCTTGAGCCCAGGAGTTCAAGGCCAGCCTGGGCAATGTAATGAGACCTCTGCTCTACAGATAAAAGATACAAATTAGCCAGGCATGGTGGCGGGTGCCTGTGGTCCTAGCTACTTAGGAGGTTGAGGTGTGAGGATTGCTTAAGCCCAAGAGTATGAGGCTGCAGTGATGAGCTCTGATTGTGCTACTGCACTCCAGCCTGGGCAACAGAGACAGACTCTGTCTCAAGAAAAATATATTTTTAAAAAATAAGTACATGGAGTACTTGCTGTAAATTTTTATTTAAATAAATAATTCTGAGATGCTGTGGGAAGGATTTCTGCCCTCACTTGAGTGTAACTAAGATTTCTTTTAACTCAAAAGACTGGCATTTTTTTTACATAAGAGATTGACTTATACTTGTTCAGCTCTAACATTTGAAAAAGTAATGAGTGGTCGTTTACTTGAATGTTTATCTTCCATACCTCCTTAAAGATCTGGCCTCTGCGGCGGCCGGGCGTGGTGGCTCACACCTGTAATCCCAGCACTTTGGGAGGCCGGGGCGGGCAGATCACGATGTCAGGAGATCGAGACCATCCTGGCTAACACCATGAAAGTCCGTCTCTACTAAAAATACAAAAAATTAGCCGGGCATGGTGGCAGGCGCCTGTAGTCCCAGCTACTCGGGAGGTTGAGGCAAGAGAATGGCGTGAACCTGGGAGGTGGAGCTTGCAGTGAGCTGAGATTGCGCCACTGCACTCTAGCCTGGGCGACGGAGCGAGACTCCGTCTCAAAAAAAAAAAAAAAAGAAAAAAAAAAAAAGAGATCCGACCTCTGCAATGATTACACCCTTGCAATGCTCCCTGCGTCCCACAGCATTGTAACTGTTAACCCATCCTATTCCTCACTAGAATACACATTCTTCCAGGGGATGGGCTCTCTTTTCTTGGTGATAGTAGGTACTTAATATTTATGGTTGGGGGTGGGATGAGGAGTTAGGAGGGGGAAGAATAATAATAAAGAAGGTCTCAGGCAATGATCACAGCTGTCAGCATAGGAAAAGTATTGGCCGAGACTGTTGGCCAACATTAAGTAGAAAGATCAGTGCCATTTGCTTATGGTCACGGAAGGAAGTAGTGTCGAATATGCCACCCAATAAGAGAGGTGATTATGTGTGTTATAAAAGCGTCCATGCTGCTCATTTAATTTGCCCATCCTGTGCGTCAGGATCTGAACACCACGAAGGTTGGAGAGGTTTGTACGCTGAGATTCTCTCGAGCTGTGACTGGAAGGGTTTTTTAATTTGGAAATTGGTGAGGAGAAGCAAAAGAGTAGTTAAGGATGACTGTACGTGGTTTCTGCTCCCCAGGAATTTTAGAAACATGTTTAGTGTGGTTCAAAGCATTGGTTCTAGTTCCTAATTCGCATTTTATTTCGTAGTCTGGAATCTGCTGCCCATCTTTTGTGTTCTTGGCTGTTCTTGGCCTAGATTGTTCTACCGTGGAACAGCCTCATCTCATGTAAATCCCTGTTACAAATTGCCTCAATACTGGCTGTATTGCAGACCTTTGCAGAAAGTTCTGTGTGTTTGTACCTGTTTGGAATCTTTGTTGTTGATCCTTTAAGGAGATTGGCTTTCCTTTAATACACAGTGGGCATAATGCCTACCTCACTTCCCGGGATGGCTTCTCCAGGATTTGTGGGGCGGCCACTGTGATCTGTCCAGGGCAGGTGACTGGAAGAGAGTTTATCAACTACACTTGTTTCAGAAGGAGCAATGAAACCCTCAGCTTGGATCTCAGCTGAAAATAGAATCTCATTAGGCACTAACAGGGCAGCCAAGGTCTTCCCATCTTGGGCTGTAAGACGTGGTGATGGGATGCTGCCTTAAATGCCTGTCCAAGCAGACTCCGAGGCCAGATCAGAGGGTGTCCAGGCAGCCCCAGTTCTAAAGTCATAAAAATCACCCATGTTACAATATTACTAGACCTAATACTTACTGAGCACTTAGCATCTGTTAGGCACATAATTATCTTCCGGACAGCCTGGAAAGACGGGTATTATTACCATTAGTTTATAACTTTCCTCTGGTCAGGTTTAGCAAGCAGCAAAGACATTTGAACCAGGGCTGTCTGATGCTGAAGCATATGGCTTTTGTTAACATTTTAATTTTGTAAAAAATGTGTATATATTCATGGGGTACAAGTGCAATTTTGCTTCATTGATATATTGCACTGTGGTGAAATCAGGACTTTCAGAGTATCTATCACTGGAGCACCGCACATTGTAACCACTAAGCAACCTTCCAACATCCCACCCTCCTCCCTCCCCTCCTTTGAGCCCCACTGTTCATCATTCCACACTCTCAAGGCATATGTTTTCAACCACTGTTCCAGCCAAGACCTGACAGTGTGCACGAGAAGGGATTTTCACTTGAGGTGATGGGAAGTAAAAGGCTGTGAAGTCTCTATTCCACCTCCCCAAGCCCCACCTCCCAAGAGGTGAACTGTAACAATAGATGCTTCATGAACATTTCAGCCCCTTCTCTAACAGGGTCTCAGCTTAAGACAGGAAGCTTGTGGGACATCTTGGTCCCAGACCAAAGGAGAAAGGCCTTCTAGTCCTAGAATTTCAGCATAATCACCTAAGGCAAGAGCCTCAGCACAGAAGTAGCAAGGGAAGGGAGCTTTTTCCTTTTTCATCCTTCGCACATGTATACTGTCTTAGAATTCACAAAGTGCAGATCATTTGCATGTCGCTACTCTCATTTACACTTTACAAAGAAGAAAAACAGCTTTGAGAGGTCAAGTGATTTGCTTGAAAGCACAGGCTAAGTTGAAGGGAACCTGCAGCTAGAACTGACTCATTCCATTCAACACAGCCTTTACTGAGTGAACGGCTTTGCTCTACCAAAACCATTTTTAGGTGCTGAGAATATAGAAATTCCCAAGCTCATTCAGCTATCCTACTTTTTCAAATACTGGTTATCTGTCAGTGTCTCCCTACTTTTTATCTCTAGCCTAGATGTCTCTTTCAAATTCCAACAACCTCCTTCATGTCTCCCATGTAGATGTTCAGTGAACACTCAAGTTTACTATGTCAACTGAACTTCCATCTTCTCCCCTAGCTTCTCCCTCCCCAGCCAACCCCCTATCTTAGTTGATGGAATTCCATTATTCCAACGACTCAAGCTCTTTTTTTTTTTTTTTTCTCACTGGTGTTCAATTTCATAGGAGATTCTCTTGGTTCTATCTTCAAACCATATCCAGAATCTGAATACTTCTTCTTGCTTCCTTCACTTTCATCCTCTTGGTCCAAGCCGCCTTCATCTCTCACCTGAGTAACTGCAGTGGCCCCCTAATGGGTCTTCCTGCCCCCGGCAGTCTGTTCTCAGCCCAGCACCAGAATGATCCTTTTAAATTGTAAGTCAATGGCCTCCAATTTTACTCGAAGGAAAACCTGATTCATTCCCATGTCCATTAGGGCCCTGCATGATCTGATTCCTCCTTTTTTATGTCTTTGCTCAATGTCACCTGGTGAAACCTATTCTGGCCATCCTCTTTAAAATCATAACCACAGTCCTGGTCTCTTTTCTCCTGCTTTGTTTTTAGCATTGTTCTTCGAACCACACAAATTGCCGATTCATTGAATGTGCTGTCTCCTCCCAGAAACATGTCGGCTCCTTAGAGAAGAGATGTTGGTGGTGTCCACTGACGCATCCCAGGCTTGCAGAATGGTGTCTGCCACATAGGAGGCACTCAATAATTATTTGTCGAATGAAGTATTCCATGTGGCTCACCTGTCATCTATGCCTGCCCCCAGGGTCTGTCTTTGGTAATAAGCTGTGGGTCCCCTGTCTGCCTGGCAGTGCAGGCAAGACCATACATCTCAGAGCTTACTGAGGCCTCTTCCTTCCAGCAGGGTGGCTGCTGGAGTGTGTGAGCCTGGGTGGACCATTAGTTCCCGATCTCTGCTGAAGCCCTCTCTCACTCCTGCCCTGGAGGTTAATTTTGATCCTTGGTTTTTATCTCCTGGCAAACTTCTTAGCCACAGCATGACCACAAACCAAGGTTACCAATGGATGGCAGGAGGCTCGGCTATAAAGGCCTCATGATTTCTTGGGGATTTATATTCAAATAATGGAGGAAAAGGGAGCTGAGATATAGAAGAGGAAAAGGAAAAGGAAAAGGAAGGAATGGAAGGCACAGATGTGGACAGATTACTTTGAACCCGTGTCCTGTCTGGAAGAGTTTGTGTGTTTTAGGGAGATGGGCCCCAGCTGGGGCTGCAGATCCTGGACCCCTGTTTATCTTCACCTGCTCTACCCACTTCCATCCCACCCTATGAAAGGAGAAGTGTAGACAAGGTGGGAGTTAGGGTCCCAGTGACGTAGAGGTATGGGCATATCCAGAGAGTGCTCGTTTTGACTGAGAAATTGAACGCTGTGTGAAGAGGGAGAGATGGTGAGAGCAACAGTGAGAGAGGTCCCAATATGGAAGGGCACTCATGTGTCCTTGCAGGACATTGTCACCTGAGTGTGAAGCTCCACTTCCCGACTCTGTATTGCAGAGCCAACAGAGCGTCCCAGCATGAGCTGGAAAAGGACCTGAGTGACAAACAGACGGCTTACCGGATCGACGACAAATGCCACCACCTGCGCAACACATCAGACGGTGTCGGCTACTTCCGCGGAGTGGAGAGGGTCGATGCAACGTAAGTCAGGCACACGCCACGGCTGTGATTTCGATGTCATTTAACTCTTTCTCCTTTCGAAAGGACACAGCTTACAGGTTAAAATGGAAAGCAAGGTAAGATATCTGAAGGTGAGAAACACACCCAGCTTTGGACAAGTCTCCAGTAAGCAAGCACGTTCTGTGGTCAGACCTTGATAATTGCATCCTGAATTCTTTTGTAAAGTAATATTTGTTACTTATATTTTCTAACTATGAAAATAACCCTACCTGATGCAGAAGTCCTAGAAAAACACAGACAAGGCCGGGTGCGGTGGCTCACACCTAATCCCTGCACTTTGGGATGCTGAGATAGGAGGATCAGTTGAGGTCAGGAGTTCGAGACCAGCCTGACGAACATGGTGAAACCCCGTCTCTACTAAAAATACAAAAATTAGCCAGGCATGGTGGTGGGTGCTTGTAATCCCAGCTACTCAGGAGGCTGAGGCAGGAGAATCACTTGAACCTGGAAGGAGAGGTTGCAGTGAGCCGAGATTGTGCCACTGCACTCCAGCCTGGGTGACAGAGTGAGACTCTGTCTCAAAAAAAGAAAAAAAAAAGAAAAACACAGACAAGCCACAAGTTGCCATTGTATAGCATGCCCTGGATGCTGTGGGATACAGGCTGAAAACAGCTTGATGCCTTTCCTACCACAGCTTGTTCAACTTACCCCACCAGTGGTTTCTTTGCCAGGCCCCTGGATGCAATTTTGGGCAGGATCCATGGTCTCTTCCAGCCACTTTCTTAAAAAAGTTAACTTGATTGAAATTCACATACCATACAATGCACGCAGTTGAAATATAGCCTGTCTGATTTTTCAGTAACATTGTCTGTAAAATAAATATTCTACTTTAACATGAATTTGCCTGGTATATGGATTACTTTTTTGAATGTACCATAATCAACCTTTTTGTTTTAAACTTTTGAGCATTTAGGTAGTTTCTCATTTTTCAGGGATCAGCATAAATATGGCTGAAATGAATATCCTCACACGTATATCCTTGGGTACATTGTTTCCTTATAATACATTTCTAGAAGTGGAAGTTCTGGGTTTTCCACATTTGAATGAAAGGCTGTTGGTTTGTGTTGCCTCTTTACCCTCCAGGAAGGTTGTACCAATTCAACATTCTCATCTGTAGGATACAAGAGAAACTTTTTCTAAATATGCTCGCCAGCACTGCAAATGATCATTCTCTCTACTCCTGCTAATATTTCCTTAGTAGGCTGTTTTCATTAATGCTTCTTTGATTACCCTTGAGGCTGAGTATTTTGTCATATGCTTATTGATGTGATGTGTGACACATTTATAATGAACCTACACGTTCACATCATTCATTAATCCTTTTGCCCCTTGAAACTGGCAGAAGAACCAGCTTACGCTTTAGATAAATAGAAAACTGATTAGCAGTAAAATAAGGAATAATTAAGGAAAGTTGAAAATAAGCCTCATTCTGATATTCACATTTATATAATGAAGCTAGGATCAGCGACCTGGGGGTTTCTCTCTCTCAGGATAAATGATTGCCTAGCGATCCTGTAGGCTGATTCATCACTCTCACTGTTGTCTGCTTCTGCTTCTCTTTTTCAGTGTCTCAGTGCCTGAGTCCTGGGCCAAATTTACAGATGACAATATTCTCCGCTCCCAGAGTGAACGGGCAGCTTCCGCTAAGCTAAGAGACGACATTGAAAACCTCTTGGTTGTGACTGCCAATGAGATGTGGAATCAATTCAACAAAGTGAACTTGTCTTTCACCAATCGCATTGCTGAGACTGCAGATGCTAAGAATAAGATTCAGACGCACTTAGCAAAGGTAAATCAACCGCCAGTGGTACCCCTTAGCTGACCTGGACAGAGCGGTGTGCTCTGGGACTACAAATCTCTCACCACTCCCAGAGAGGCACCATAGGCATGTGACAGCCTGGCCACACAGAGCAAGAAAAATTTAAAACAGCACAAAGCATGCCATTTATTTCAGCCAGGTAGCCAGGTGTCAAAATGAAATTGGAATCCACTGGTATTTGGAACACAAAGAAGGCACTATGTAATGAAAAGTTCTTAGTCTTTAATAGAAACAAAAATATTATTATTAAAGTTTAATGGATCGCTGTATATAACTAGGAAGTGAATTTATTATTAGAACATATGGTAGAAATGTTTTCTGTTAAAGTATTTTAGACCCCTTTTCTGGAATACAAAACCAAATACAGGAAACTGTTAGGTAGTTCAAAGTGTTTCTGATATTGAAAAATTTTAAGTGCTGAAAGCATAAGAGTTTTACAATGACTACAAAATGAAGGAGTCCAGCAGAATTCATATGTTTCAAGATAAACAAGGAGCTCTTCCTTTCCTTCATATCAGTCTTGGAGCTCTTATTGTTTCTGTGGATTATGCTGCATATAGTTTGTTGTGTCTTATTTTTTAAAATTGACAAAAAATAATTGTACATATTCATGGGTGGACAGTGATGTTTTGATACATTTAATGTATGGTGATCAGGTCAGGGTAATGAGCGAGCATATCCATCCTCTCAAACACTGATCATTTCTTTGGATTGGAAACATTCAATATCCTCCCCCTAGCTAGTTGAAACTATATAATGTATTGTTACCTATAGTAAAAACCTATGTAACGTTTCATGAATTTGCATGTCATCCTTGCTCAGGGGCCATGCCAACCTTCTCTGTATTGTTCCAATTTTAGTATATGTGCTGCTGAAGCAAGCAATGTTGTTTCTTCTTTTTAAGAACCTTGCACCATGAGCCATGTTGCCTACGATGGTTTTACCCAGTTGAGGGTACCACATTTTCTCAGGCTGCAGCGATTTACTTTTCCTTCTCATGGTGCCTGCTTTAGGCAACAAATATTAGTTGAGCCAGACAGTGTGTTCCATGCTGTGAAGAGCAGAGAGAAGCATCAAATGTAGTTTTTGTTATTAGGAAGTTTACATTACAGAGAAGAAATACTTGCACATGAAAAGCTCATAAACAATACGAATAGAATATTGCAAATCATGATTATCAAATAACAAGCACAAAAGTGTTTTTGGGGTTTGGAAGGAGAAGTGACCGTTCCAGGTGGGGCCACATCTTGAAGAAAGCCTTGGAGACAGCAAATCAGAGGATGAATTGAGGTCTGTAAAGAGTCTGGTGTGTGGCTGGTGTAGATGGTTTGTGTCCTGGGAGAGGAACATGGAAAAGTAGGTTGAAGACAGGTTGTAGAAGACGTTGATGAGAAGGTTAATGAGGTCAGACACTATCAATTGTAAGAAGACATTCTAAAGGCCTTTTAGAAGGCCGGTGTGACAGAGTTCCTTCTTCAACAAATTTTTATTTACTGATATGTTAGTTTGCCAGGGCTGCCCTAACTCAAAGTACCACAGACTGTGGTAATGAATTTCCACAATAGAAATCAATTTTCTCACTGGAGAGAGAGAAAATTAATTAATGGAGGCTGGAAGTCTGAGATCAAGGTGCCGGCAGGGTTGGTTTTCTCTGAGGCCTCTCTCCTCAGCTTGTAGATGGCCACCTTCTCCCTGTGTCTTCACATCATTTTCCCTCTGTGTGTGTCTGTGTCCAAATTTCCTCTGCTTATAAAGACACCAAAGTTGTATTGTATTAGGGCCACCCTAAAGACCTCATTTAACTTAATCACCCCCACAGAGACACTATCTCCAAATATGGTCACCTTCCAAGGCACTGGCGATTCGTACTTCAACATAGGAATTTTGGGGGAAGAGGCACTATTCAGCCCTAACAGGTACACTCAAGGTATTGTGCTAGGCACTCGGGGATGTACATACATCTCACGTCTTAGAGACAAGACATGCACACAGAAAACGGGAATTTGCATCAGAAAGGTGCAGAAAGAACTTGGAAACACAGATGAAATGTGAACACAGTTTACAAGAAGGAGCAGTTGTTTCCATTGGCAAGAGATCAAGATGGTTTCATGGAGCACATAGTATCTGAAGAAGGCCTTAGTGATAGAAACAGTGAAATGATTTTTAGCTTGGGAGAGAGGTCGAAGCTCAAGTGACAGATTGAAGAGTGCCTGGATGACACAAATGCTAAATCTGTGATTGCACGAGGTCTCTGTAGTGTAGAAAGGATATTGCAGAGACATCACCCAAGGACAAAGCCTTGCACTGGAAGGGAATGAGGAGTAGTTGGAAAGGAGGGAGTTGGAACAACACTTGGCAAGAGAAAACAAGATGAGGGTCTTAAGGAGAGGGAGGTGTCAGAGAGGCCTCGATGTCAGCTTTGAAACTGAAGTTTCATGACAGCAGCTAGGGCCAGAGACAGAATCCAGGGGCCACTGAGAGACTGGGTGGGTGGGAAGTGAAGGCAGTGGGCACAGCCATGGTTGAATACATTTGGCAGAGGACTCAGTTGGGACTGGATGGGAGAGTGGTGGTAAAAACATAGGGTTTCCAAAAAAAAGATGATTCTTGGTTGTGTCTCCAGGCCATGGAAGGGAACCCAGGAAGAGGGACAGTAATGGGGAGGATGTGGAGCTACAGGAGTGCAGAGATCAAGATGCGTGGAGAAGGGAGGCTTTTCAGAGCATAGGACAGGGACTCTCTTTACAGAGAAAGAGGAGGGAGAACCAAAGGGGGATCCATGTTTACGCAATTTGGGGTGGTGGCCTCTTTAAGAAAAAACGAATACAAAATCAGGAATACAAAACTGCCAGTACTCCTCTATTGCAAGTGAGGTACCTGAAACTGAAGCCTGATTCTCTGCAAGGGAAATCCTCTGTGAGCAGGAAAGCAATGCTCAAGTTGGTAGGAAGAGAAAGTGGGAAGAGATGCACAGATATATGGATGTGAGGAGGGAGATCAGGGCCACTCAAAGCCTCACTTTTATCAGAACACAGAGGTGTGCTGGTCAGTAATTAACAACGGCCATTGGGGGCAGCTTGCAGGGAGCCCCTAATTTGGAGCATTTGCCAATTTCTGTAGTTGAAATACTCCCACCCTGGCTGATTTCCAGCTACCAAAATGAGGTTGCCAAGCCTAGGGTTGGGGAGAGAGGCGCCGCCCACTCTCCAGAGCAGGTGCATGCCAGCTCCAGTGAGACACGTGGGTTCCCTGGGGCAGGGCTGGAAAGGATAGACGGTCTTGGTGAAGCAACTTCCTCATCAGCGAGGTCAAGGCACGTGCTGGACATGGAGTGGACAGGCAAGAGGTGGGAGGCGGGTTGTTGAAGGGACCACACCAAAGCCTCAGGCAGTTGCTTCTCTTTGTCACAGACCCTGCAGGAGATTTTCCAGACTGAAATGACCATAGAATCCATCAAGAAGGCCATCAAGGACAAGACTGCCTTCCTGAAGGTGGCTCAGACCAGACTGGATGAGCGCACAAGACGGCCGAACATTGAGTTGTGCCGAGACATGGCTCAGCTACGGTAAGGTGGGAGGGGAAGGCTCGGGGCTCGCTCGGAGGGCCACCAGACCAACTGTGGTGCCTGGCTCTTTAGAAAGCTGCTTTCTGCCCATACGCAGCATGTAGGAGCCTTCTGTGAGAATGGTAGTAATGGGGAGATGTTGAATGCAGAAGAGTTTCAGTGTGGGATGATGAAACAGTCCTGCAGATGGATGGCGGTGACGGTTGCACCAACAGTGTGAATGTACTTAATGCCACTGATCTGTACACTTAAGATTGGTTAAAGTTTTATGTTATGTATATTTTACCACAAATCCTTAAAAAAGGAAAGGACATCAACGCTACACACACAAAAAGTGCTATTAAGCCTTTAACTCATTCGGGGAGGCCAGTGTGGTGTTCGGGTTCTTTTGCATGTTCTTGGAGTCTTCGGAGTTTCCAGAACTCCTGTCTTATAAGCAGCAGTTTGTGACTTTCTGTGTATTTCTCAGCATGGGGAACGCGACAGAAAAGGGACTTTCAGTACCAATTCCACTGACTCCTATCTACTCATTTGCTGTCTTTGTGACTGAGGATCTCATTTAAGTTTATTTCAATGTGTTTCATTCTCAGTAGAAATCAAAGCCAGCTGGTCTTCATCGAGCACAGCTCCTATATATACACAGCAGGAGGAATCTGACCCCACAGTTTATCTACTAAACACTACATGAATTTTATTATTATTTTCACTTTGAAGATTCATTTTGGGATGGACTTGTAATGAACTGGCCAAGATTCCCTCCCTACCCCCGCCACAATCCGGCTTCATTTCCAATTTCCCAATACCTGTGAGTCTGCCTTTTCTTTCTGGGTTTCATCATTGCTATTCTTAGGTCCTAAGATGCTCCATGCAGAAGTAAATCAACTTGATAGCAACTGGAGGAGCCAAGGGCAGTGCGTGAACTCCAGAAGCCTTTCTGGTGCAGTGGGGAGATGCCACTCGCTCTGCTTCCACGATAAAATTCTCTTATCTTGAAGGATTGATCCTAAGGATAAAATAAAGAAATAAGTGGTGGTTTGAGACAGTGGATTTCCTGAAATGGAAGGAAGGGGGATCTTGTGAGGCCAACATTGATGATGATGATAATAATAGTAAAGATAATGATGGCGATAATCAATGCAATGATAATAATAGCTGCTACCATCTCTTAACCTGACTCGATGCTGGGCACTGCCCTAAGCACTTTATACTATCTCATTCATTACCTTCATATTACAAGTGAGGAAACTGAGGCAGGAGTGGGTGAGTGGCTTGGCCCAGGCCACATTTAGTGGTGAGAGAGCTGCAGTTTGAGTCTTTGCCTGTCTCACCCCAGAGTTCTATTCCACCAAGCCATTTGCTTCTCTTTCTCCTGTGTTTTACGTTGTGTAATGCATTTACCATCCCCCTGTCAGGTACCTGATCTCATTTGAGAAGAGTTGGCAAAGTAAATGCTGCATGCTCATCTCCCTCTCACACAGAGGATGAAACTGAAGGTCACAGAGGAGATCATTATGATGAAACACCTTACGTGTATAGCACGCATGTTGTCTGTGTTGAGTGCCATGAAGCGTGCTTTAGGTTGTACGCAAATGATCTTCATTTCCAGGATGAGTTGTATTTCTCCTGGTGGAGCTGTTATCTAGGCCATAGCCACAGAAGAGATCACTCAGGCTGCATGTTTTTCAAAGTGGGTTCCATAGAACCCCTCTTCATGCACAGCTCATTATTTAGGATAAGCAGCTCTCCACTCCAGAGACTACATGGGCCCCTAGACAGCCAACTGGAGGCACCTCTCTGCTTTAGAAGAACCCAGCAGTGAGTGCACACCCACTTGGCCTATTAGAGTTAGATCACCAGTTTTGACTTTATGTAAATGTTATTAGGAGAAGCTGAACTGATGTTTCGTTCTCCAAAAATCTCTGCAGAGTCATCAAAAGTGGAGATGGGAACAAATAAATTGTTTATACTGCCGTTAGACAGACACAGGGTTGCTTTTAAAATGAGTTTTGGGTAGTGGTCTAATAGGACTTCGGAATTATCAAACAATGAGGCATTCACAGCTTCTCCTGAGGAGCTGAATGATTTTTACTCTTTTTTTTTTTTTTCCTATTCCTGGCTAAACAGAATTTGCTTTTCTTTCACTTCCTGCCGACTTCATGGTATGTCTATTTCCTCTGCTCCTTTACTGACTTTTGAACAAAACCTACTTTTGTTTCTGTCAAGTTTTCTTGTTAAAATATCCTTGCCAAAAATCTTTAGGATTATTATTGGGGGAGGGGATTACTTTCCTTTTTAAATGGATGGTTCTGAAAGCAGCCCTTCGGCGGTCTAGATTTAGAAAAAATAAAGATCATAAACTAAGGGGAGTGGGGACTGAGAAAAATTGCTGTTTTCATTTCAAGACTTACTTTTATTTAAAAATGTTCTAAACGAGTTATTTCAAAAGTGATTCTAAACATTCTTGGCATTTTTGGTGGCAGGCCAGACAGACCAGGCTCTGCTCTACTTAAATAATCTTTATGTATATATATATGCACACACACACACACACACACACACACACACACACACACATATATATAAATAAACTGTGGTAGCTTTATTTGTATTTGAATGCAAGACATTTTGTGGTTCTGTAATTCCAAAAAAAAGAAGAAAGAAAGAGAAAGAGTGACTTCAGCAGAACAGCTCTCTGCAATCAGCCAAGAACAAGGAAACTGGGAGTGAAATAGGGCCTTGAAGATGATGAAAAATATATTTCTAATTAACGATGAGAGAAGTGGAAGCATGTTATTCCCTAGTTGTGTCCATGCAGCAGTGTGAAAACAAGTATTCTAACTGCCTACGTTCTATATCTCGATTTTTTTTTTTTTTTTAGCATTGATGTTTTGACATGTATATTTTCAAATGTTCCCTCCCAGATAAAATTTCCACTAGACTCGTATTTGGCTGAAAGGAGTAAAGACACATATATCATCCTGCTCTGTTTCCTACGTTGGGGTTCAGGGTTCCTGTTGAAGCCAGGGAGGGTGGGAGACAAGAGGCAGGCCCCGTGTGATTGTAAACAATCCACCATCAAAAATCCCATTACCAGCCATCTGCGGCAGCCTCGCCGAAGATGTATTTCTTTGCTAGTGATATTTTATACCCTGGGATCTTTAAAAAGCCTTTCTTTTTTAATTCAGTTTGGCCTAAACAATAACAAGAAATTTGCTTTCTGATGAGTTCTCAGGTTTTGTGTTTACCGTCCCCAGACAAAACCAAACTTTGGCACTTAAACTTTAATTCTTCCCCTCCCCATTGGAAAGCAGGAGACAGTAGAGCTTGTAAGATGAAAGGTGTTGCACAGCGTGGATATGTTCCCATGGCCTGTTGTTGCTTCAATCAGCCTGCGTGGGGGCCTTTACCACAGCCTTCCTCTTCTTAGGCCACCTACAAGTGGCTTGGAAGCGAATGCTCCAGGCTCCGTCCTGCCTTTCCTTCCTTTTTATTGCCTTGGGTCTGGGTCTTGTTCTTAGTAGATCCCATGGATTCAGACCTTGGGCAACTCTCTACCTCCCAAGACGTCCTCCGTTTCACCTAGGGCATGAAAGTTGGTCTTCACCCAATAAGTAGTTTTTGCACACCTGTATTTTTGCAGGAGCGGCTGTGGATGTAGCCCTGGGCAAGGACAGCAGATGTTGCAAGCAGACAATCACAAGACCCTGAGTGCCGTAAAAGGCTTGGTCCTTTTGGAAGTCACAACACTGGGCAGCAGATGGTTTCCGGTTTAAGGGAGGGACTTCCGGAAGAAGTGTTAATTCACCTAGGATTTGAGGATGGGATAAATTAGCGGGATGAAGAATGGGTTAGGAGCATTCTGAGCTTAGGGGACAGCAAGAGTGAAGCCCTCGAGGTCTGAGAAATTGCAAGCATATTCCAGGATGTGTCTGCAGATGATGAGATAGGTCTTCCTGGGTCTCTGCTTCTACTCTTCTGTCTCAAGGAGCTGAGAGGGGAATGGGGCCAGGAAATGGGACCCAGTTTCTTATTATGGCCACTGAAGCGCTGAATTTCCTTCTTAGCTTCCTGGATAAGCAGGTACAGCTTACAAACACATGTGGGCCCTGTGTCGATGGAAAGGACAGCTTATGAACCCCTGGGCTCTATTTCCTAGTCTGTAAAACAAGGAAGTTGGGCTTGGTGACCTCTCTAAATTCGTTTTCCAGTTGTGAATTTCTGTGAAACTATAGAATTGCCTTGGCATAATGATTTTAAAATGGTCTAGATATTTTTCTATAATTATGAAATCCTTTTCTATCTCCTGGGACATCTACATTCCCATTGGTTCATTGTCACCATTCTCTTTATATTTCTTTATATTTTATTAATTTCATGCACCTCTCATTTGCTGATAAATATATCCTAAAGTAAAGAAAATGTGAGCTTTGCATCGCTGGTTACAATGTGATGTACTTGGAGTTGCGTAAGCTACATGCTGACCTAACCATGCTGATTCCTTTATGCTGCAGCCTTGTTAACGAGGTACACGAGGTTGACGACACCATCCAGACCCTGCAGCAGCGCCTGAGGGATGCAGAGGACACCCTGCAGTCGCTGGTCCACATCAAAGCCACACTCGAGTATGACCTGGCTGTCAAAGCCAATTCCCTGTACATCGACCAGGAAAAATGCATGAGCATGCGCAAGAGCTACCCCAACACCCTCCGGCTGGTCGGCTTCTGCTAGGGACCCCACCGGGTGTGGTTTTGATACCCCTAAGTTAAGGCTGAGCCAGAGCACTGTCTCAGCATTTGAACCGAATGCTAATATAGTCACTTATTAAAGGATTATGCTGATGGAAATGTACCAACCTCCTGTCTCGGAAAGCCTTTTGTTTGCATCCAAACCTTAATTTTCTATTATTTACTAGGCGTCTGGGTTATGGGAAGGATATGAAGAAATATAATCAATCTAATAGAGAAGGTAAAAAGGATAACTGGTGTGATTCTTGTCATTTTGTGTGTAATCCGAATGGGCTGGAAAGGAGGACTGTATTCTCTCTGAGGCAGTCAGGAATCATGAAGTAGGTGGTTTCTGAGTTTTGCTTTAAAGGATCCACAGTAAGAAGGGGAAAGGCCACTGGGTATGAGGTAGTTGGGGTAATTTGATCAAAAACAAAGGTAGAGAAATACGGAGTGCATTTGGAACAATAGTAGGTAGGGCCAGCTTGGCTGTGATTCATAATGCATAATTCATAATGTGTTCTGCACGTCTCTTTTTGTTCCACTCTCATCTCTCCAATTCAAACTTTTATTACTTGAGCATTGCTTTCATAAAGCCATTTCCATGCTCAGAGATACTCCTCAGTTCCCCCAGCCCCTGAACCTGGAGTTGAACACCCACTGCCCCCCTTCTCCAGGCACCTCGCCCACTGTATTTCTTCATATGTGACACTTTTGTCCTATGTACTGACAATATATTCTTTATATGTTACTTACCTTCACATTTTGTTTATGGTTTTTTAAAATACACAAGTAAAAATGTGTCAGTGTTTTCTGTGTGATTTATGCCTTTGGAATTATGCTCAGAAAGCACTTCTGTATCCCAAGATAATTTATTTATAATTTATTCTAATTCTTTTGTATGTTTAAAAGTGGCATTTAATCACCTGGAAAGTATGTTTAGATGGTGTAGAAAGCATGCTAGTTTTGAATCCTTTTGGTCTGAGAGCTCTGAAATGGGAAGATGAACCAGGAGGGGAGCAAGATTTTCTTTCTTTTCTCTCCTATTTCTCACGCTTCTGTGTCTCTCTCTCTTATTAGCATTTCTCTCTGTATCCTTGTGTTCTCCTTGCTCTGCCTTAACCACTGTCCATTAACCCCAACTCCATTTCCTTCTCTCTCTCTGTTTCTTAAAAGTGTTTTAAGACCTTGGTTAGTAAATTTCACAAATCATCTCAGAATGCCAGAAGAGTGGATGTCCAGATGAGAAGCTTGTATTGGGGTTGTGCTGTGGTCTCAGTATATCATTTTAGAAATCAAATTGTAGGTTTAGTTGTTCTGTTTTTGCCTCTAATGGAAACAAAGGTATATAAATGCCACTAAAATTTTTAGCAATGAGAGTAACCAAATGTTGGTAGTTATGACTTTTAGACAATAGTGGGAATAAACATAAATTCAGCATGTCTCTTATTTGTTATGTGTTTGGGGTAAAACATTTCTGACTTTTTTCATGAACTGTATTTTTTTTTTTTTAGGAATATATGCTTATGCAGTCCTTTTACTGAAGCATATATATTCCTGGCATTACAAGACTGTGATGGGAAGGAAATGTAATTCAGACATAGAAAAGTTTTTTTTGTTATTTTGGTAAACCGTGGGCAAGGCTAAATTCCACAAATAAACATTTGGTTTCTCATCTAAAATGTTGCAGCTACTCCAGGAGGGTAAATATTCTAATGCTGAAGTCCAAGAGCTCCAAGGCTCAGAAGCGTGGTCCTGTTTAAGAATCTTAGGACTACAAATACTGGCACATGATCTGGCTTTATTTATTTAAGCCCAAACTATCTTTAATATCATGTGGCTTTAAGAAGGGCTGCTGGAATGTCAAAGGCTTCCACTTACCCAAGCATCATTCAGATTTAGAAATGTGTGTAATTGCCCCTAAATAACCGAGTCGCCTGTAATTTTAGTAATTTCCATTTCTGTCTCCGGAGAGTGTTGTCATAAACACCTCACCTGGCACTTTTGAGTCCTGAGTTCATGCTGTAAATAGCTGAAGTGTGGGGTCTGATTTTAGGTTATAATTTTTGTTTTGCACCAGAAACGGGCGGATTCCTTCCCTTTGTATGCAGGGCTAACCCAAAGCACAAAGGAGGAGGTGAAGCTGCTGCTCATCATTGTGCCCGAGTCTTCCCTTGCAGCCTCCCCTCTTCTAGCCCTGGCCCTGAAACTGTTCCCAGCAGGGCTGGATTCACCATTGGCACCAACTGCCAAGACCAGCCTTCTATGCAGAGTGCTCTGATGATGCTATCTGAGCTCTATATTAATATATATGGTCTGATAAGTATTCATGCATTCATGGGGAAAATAAACAATACTCAATCTCTTCCCCAGGAATGGTGAATCAATTCACCTTGGGGGCCAGTCCTAGACCACTGGGAATGTTTATCTGGAAGGTTGAGTTGAGAAGGATCCTGAGAGGTCAACAGATAGTGCCATATGAAATGGGTGCTGTGGCTCCTGCTGAAGTCCAAGAGCTCCAAGGATCAGAAGCGTGGTCCTGTTTAAGAATTTTAGGACTTCAGCATTTTGGGAGGCTGAGGCAGGAGGATTGCTTGAGGCCAAGAGTTCAGGACCAGCCTGGGCAACATAGGGAGACCCCATCTCTCTACAAAATAAAAAAAATTAACCAGGCATGGTGGCACACACCTGTGGTCCCAGCTACTTGAGGGACTGAGGTGAGAGAATCACTTGTGCCCAGAAGGTCAAGGCTGTAGTGAGCCATGATCATGCCACTGCTCTCCAGCCTGGGCTACAGAATGGGACAGTTCCATCTGCAGGGAATCCAGAATGGGGAAGTGGCTGCATACATTCCCTCATCCCTCTCTCTAAACAGCTCTGAATTCTTTCTCAGCTCAGAGAAATCCTTGGCTTTCAACATCAGAAGGATGTGTCTTGTGACCTCTGGCTCATTCCCATAGGACCTACCCATTTGCTAATTTTGCTAGGAGCTAGAAGGAGACCCTTTCTGCAGCCCACGTTTTCCTTTTGGCAAGGAAAGACCCCTAAATACATCACCATGACTCCTGAACAACTCAGATGGCATCATGGTAGAGTGAGGGGAGAGCTTATTGAGAACAGGGAGCCTTTCATAGCTATTCTAAATAATATCCGCTTGTGTATGCATAGGGCTGTGGGAACCATAAAAATAACTTTTATTTTGCAAGCACTTTTTTCCCTCCCTGTAAAGTAAAGGTTAATTTTTAAGGTGATGTGAAATCTTTGGACTAAGTTTCAGCATTCCCGTCTTTGGCATTTTAGCCCTGCAGTCACTCAGACATAAGAATGCCTTCCCTACTTCCATAAAAATGATGCTCTGCTTGCCCGAGAACCTGCTCTTTAGCAAAACTGCACATTTTCTGATAATAAAAATCCATATCTGTATTGAGGGCCACCCATTTATTTGCAACGAGCTGGTTGTCTTCATCTCTCAACCCCAGTGCTCTTCATGGGTATAGCAAGGACAG
Organism: Homo sapiens; assembly: GCF_000001405.40. Classification (NCBI taxonomy): domain Eukaryota; kingdom Metazoa; phylum Chordata; class Mammalia; order Primates; family Hominidae; genus Homo; species Homo sapiens. Next base: position 15,300,433 of record NC_000017.11, on the reverse strand, counting down.
GGGCTCCTGAAGAGAGAGGAGGACAAGCAACCTGAGAGGAAAATAATAAGCCAGGTCCACAGACAACACCCATGAGCACCACATGTAGCACAGTCTGAAAGATTAACATATTGATGCTTTGCAGCAGTGCTGGAAGGGGCGACCAAATTTCCCAGTTCCCTAAGGTGGATATCATAGATATTGGTGGGAAATATCTGTGGGAAAATAACCATGCCTCCAAATACTCATGTCCTTGTGAAGTCTTCCCTCCTTGAATATAGGCGGACTCTGTGATCACTTGGACCAATAGAGTGCAATGGAAGTAACACTGTGTCAATTCTATGTCTAGGCTTTAAGAAGGCCTGGAAGCTTCTGCTTTTGGAAGCTAGCTGCCATATAAGAAATCTGACTAGCCTGAGTCCACCATGCTGTGAGGGAGCTTAAGCAGCCCACGGAGAGGCTCCCCAGCCAACAGCCCTAGATGAGCTCTCAGGCTAGGCAGGCACCAACTGGTAGCCATGTGAGTGAGGCCATTTGGGATCTTCCCACTCTCCTAGTGCCCCAGCTGATACCATGTGAGAGAGAAGGGCTGCTCAGTCAACCCACAGAATCTCAAGAAATAATAGATTGTTGTCTTAAACTACTAAGTTCTTAGGTAATTTGTTACGTGACAATAGACAACTAAAGTTTTCACTGGATTCTCAGAAATCAAATTCCTGGAGAGGAAGGACATCTAACATTTGTGGAGTGCTTACTATGATCCCAACATATAACATGACAATCTCCTGAGTCCTCTTGGCTGATACTAGGATGTGAGCTCTTAACTACCATCCTATACTGTTTTTTTTTTTTTTTTTTTTTTTTGAGACGGAGTCTCGCTCTGTCGCCCAGGCTGGACTGCGGACTGCAGTGGCGCAATCTCGGCTCACTGCAAGCTCCGCTTCCCGGGTTCACGCCATTCTCCTGCCTCAGCCTCCCGAGTAGCTGGGACTACAGGCGCCCGCCACCGCGCCCGGCTAATTTTTTGTATTTTTTAGTAGAGACGGGGTTTCACCTTGTTAGCCAGGATGGTCTCGATCTCCTGACCTCATGATCCACCCACCTCGGCCTCCCAAAGTGCTGGGATTACAGGCGTGAGCCACCGCGCCCGGCCCCTATACTGTTAATTGGTCTCTGAGAGGAGAGTAATCCCAGACAGTGGTTCCCTTCTCAGCAACAACAAAAAATGTGTAAAATGATTGCATTATTGGAATTAGATCTGAGGACAGAAGCATTTAAGAAATTTTTACTTTTGGAAAATGTGTATAAAATTAAAACATGAGTGGGATCCAGCTTCTGTGTCATTGATCCTATCTTGAGATTGATACATGTAATGATAATGATAGCCAGCTTTTCCTGAGCAGAACAACTGTACGTGTATTATTTCAACATCATGGCTAAGGTACATACATTTAATTATTTATATTCTAAAATGGGAAAATTGAGACTTAGGGAAGGAAAATAACCCAAAGCCAAACAGGGGCGCATTTCAGAGTCAGGAGTTCAACTCAGATGAGCTTGCTTCCAAAGCTCTTTGCTATCATCCTACAGTGCCTTCTTCTAAGCTGTTTAGAATGAATTAGACATCCTCAAAAGTTGTGTTTTTAAAGGAAATTATTTTAAAACCAATGTTTTAATATCCCAACAGATATTCATGAAGGTGTAATATTTTATTATAAATAATCAATACCATCAGTACAATAAATGTTACCATAGTATTGCCAAGTCTTAGCTCTAAACTTCTTTGATTCTATCTTTAAGTAGAATTTAAGTATAAGAACTGAGTATCTATGTACTCTGTTTTTTCAGATAGAGAAAACCATTCCCTGACAATTTGATAAAAGGTATATGGAGGCTAGTCCCACAACTCATCAATGTCAATGGGTATTGCCAACAGGATGCCAGAAGAGATTGAGTGAGGTACAGTTATTTGATTTCCAGAACTCTGTCATTGAAAACCAACCTAGCCATAAGTGGCCTAGACTACTAAACTATTTACAGCATTCCACCTCCTTAGTCCCTTGTGGATGAGTGGATCCATGTGACCGAGCATAAGGGATGTGAGTCACTTCAGACTTGCATATTTAATTGCCAGTGTGAGATTGTCCAAAGATTTCTTCCTTTTGACATGACAACCGAGAACATTTGAGATATTCTCTGAGCCACCACAATAAACAGAACTTACTTGCTGACCCACTGCAGCCATTCAACATGCGAAAGAAATATATTCGTGCAGTCGTAAGCCATGGACACTATGGAGTTGTTACTGCAGCCTAACCTAGCCTATCCTGACTGATGCACCAACCAGAAGAAACAGCTGAATGCAGGGACTATAACATGAATGGTCATTTTCCACTCTGAAATTCAGACTGTTTAGTTCCCCAGAGTGCAGGTAGTGCTGGCTAGGCAATTGAGCACATCCCATCCCTAGAAATAGCAGGCTAAAATGAAATAGTTTTCAGCCGGGTGCAGTGGCTCACGCCTGTAATCCCAGCACTTTGGGAGGCCGAGGCGGGTGGACCACTTGAGGTAGGGAGTTTGAGACTAACTAGCCTGACCAACATGGAGAAACCCCGTCTCTATTAAAAATACAAAATTAGCCAGGTGTGGTGGTGCATGCCTATAATTGCAGCTACTTGGGAGGCTGAGGCAGGAGAATTGCTTGAACCTGGGAGGCGGAGGTTGTGGTGAGCGGAGATTGTGCCGTCACACTCCAGCCTGGGCAACAAGAGAGAAACCCCATCTCAAAAAAAAAAAAAAAAAAAAAGTTTGTACCTATTTAGGAAACAGGACAAAGCAAGGCCCTCTAAGCACAGAATAGCCAGCCCAGAGGTGCAGGTATTTCTAAGACTATGAGAGCCAAAACAACCCAAGGCGCTTTAGTGTTAAAACACTCAGAAGCTATAGAGTGGGGATGGCAAGCTCAAACGCTTATGGGGCCAGCCAGGAGATATAAGCGAAGGTTATTCAGCTTTCCTGGTATCACTTTACTATAACAGAAACAACAGTGAGGTTCAGTGGCAGCTGAACTTCAGCTGCTGGGTTGGAGAAACAACAAGGAGTTTTAGGGGAGCAGAGAGCAGGCCTCAAATAAGCAGACCTGAAGAACGTGTGCCCAGACTAAAGAGGGAGCCTCTATTCTGCTCTGGAATGTGCCCTGTGTGGCTGGAACTGCTGTACCCTGCTGTTGAGGTTATTGAAACCCTGGTAAGAAACAGAAAGCTCTGGCTTGGAGATTGAAATAATACTATGATGTCTTCAGATGCTTATTTTACAAAGCAACTTAAGAAGGATAACAGTAGAGACGGGTGCCCCAGTTTAGTCCTAGAGCTTAGGTTTGTTTTATTCATACTTCAAATTGCAGTGTCGGTGGCCACACTGGGCCTGAGATGAACTGAGGCCCAGAGATGCAAGAATGTACCAGCTGGGACAGGTAACATGATGTGGTTTTAATTTATAGCACCAGTGTACAGTCCAATAGAAAATGGGAGATTGAGTCATTCTGGGGGACTAGACCTGTAAAATTAACTTTAAAAGTATATGTTGTTAGAAATCAAGAAATATGACCTAACCCATAGTGCAATACCTGTTCATTCATGTCTACAAAAGCAGCATTATAGTGTAGCTTAATTCTATTCATAAAAAATAAAAGAAGCTTGACATTCTCTAACACAAAATTTGAGCTGTCAATTGGGCAAACAGAGGAAGAGGCACATGAGCCGAAGACATGGGCCTTACTACAAATTCCAAATGGATAATACAAAAGGTCTTGACGGCACGTAGTCTTGTGATTCTTTACCTTTGCATGATTTTACAGAAGACTGCGCGGTTAGAGTGTAATTTTGAGTTGAAGAGACATCAAATTAAAATTTAATAACCAGATTGGCATTAGTGAAATACTCTGGCTCAGTAAAGAGAACAAAACAACTAGAGAATTATACTAGTCAACAAAATCCATCCCATGATGAGAATGAGAAGCTCTGTAGCGTCAGTTATGTGATGGATATAATCAAGGCAGCTGCTTATTTTAACATTTAAACCATATCTATATATTTATTTCTGTATATCCATATATATGGATTTTTTGGGTATAGCATCCTTGTTTTTAAGAATTTGAGTTTTAATTTTTTTATGGCCAGGAAGGTGAAGCAAATATATAATATTAATTTACATATATTTTTTCTTTTTTTCTCTGTCCATATTACCTGCATAGCAAATGACTTACATTTTATATCTTAATATTATATAAAATTGTATGACAACATAGAAATATATTACCCTTTTAAGATGATGAAACATTACAGATGAGGCTAAACTCTTTTTTGACCTCTACCACCCCAGTCATAGCCTCTCTCTCCTCAGTTAAATACTGTTATCAGTCAGATGAGACACGCTTATGTTTTTAGTTGTAAAGGCTGCATTGCTTGGCCTTTCGGAAGCCATTGCTATGTCTTTCAAAATAGAGGTTGGAAACCCGTAAGACTTCTTTGAGGAATAATCTAATGAAGTCTTTTTTCGTAATCAATAAAACTCCCTGAAAAATATATAAGCAAGTCAAATTCAGTGGCAAGTGAGAAGAATACACTGAGACCCAGTAGGAACAATAGGATGGTCCAATAATATACAAATAGATCCAAATCTTTGGATTTACTGTCTCCCTGCTCTCGGGCTGGTTGAATCAGGTGTCCTGAGTGACACTAGGCTGGAAACTGGATTTGGACTGGGAATTGTGGTATGCTCGCCTCCAGAGTCATCCTCCTCCTGTCCCCCCTGCCAATCCTTTGAAGAGATGGTCTGTAGAAAATTGCAATTCATCCATTTATTCACGGATTCAATAAACCAATTTTTACTGAACACCCTCTATGTGCTAGTGCTTTATGAGATCATGAAAATAATATGATGAATGAGACAGAAATGGGGTCTGTCCTCACAGAGCTTACAGTCAGTGGATTATACTGGCAACCAATAATCATACAAAGAACTATGTTAATTATGAGAATTTGTAAGGACTTGAGTGTTTGGGCCTTGGGAGGCTTTTCAAAGTTGGGACATTTAAGCAATTATCTGAAAGGTGAGAAATCAATATGCAACACGATGGCAGTGGGAGAGCCCCCATGGGTGTTCTAGATAGAGAGAAACACATTTTAAAAGACCCTGAAAATTTGAGTAGCTATCTATAGGAGTTATGTAGGGGCAGGGCCAGCTTCATTGGTGTGAGACTCAGAAGGGTCTATGCTTGGTTTAGTGCTTTATTCTCACCATCTTGAAATTCTATGTATTTATTTATTTATTTTTGAGATGGAGACTAGCTCTGTTGCTCAGACTGGAGTGTAGTGGCACGATCTCGGCTCACTACAACCTCCGGCTCTTGGGTTCCAGTGATTCTCCTGCCTCAGCCTCCTGAGTAGCTGGAATTACAGGCACGTGCCACCACACTAACTAATTTCTGTATTTTTAGCAGAGATGGAGTTTCACCATGTTGGCCGGGCTGGTCTCAAACGCCTAACCTCAGGTGATCCACCCGCCCTGGCCTCCCAAAGTGCTGGGATTACAGGCGTGAGCCACCATGCCCAGCCCATCTTGAAATTCTTAATAATTTTTGAACAAAGAGCCCTGCATATCCATTTTGCACTGGGCGCCTCAAATTATGTAGCCAATCCTGGGTGTGCGAGTGGGATCTGGAACCCTTTGGAGGGTTTTAAGGCAAGGAGTGACATGAATCTTGAGTCCTGCAGGAGCACTGTGGTTGTGCTGTGAAGAGTGAAAAGATGGACATAGGTATTGCCCTCGAGGAACTAAGGGTAAGGCTGGTAATGCCAAATCCAGCCAAGGCATTTGTTAATAGTAACACATTATAGAACTATATTGAAGGGGATCTGGGGAAATTGGAGGTCCGGCAATCATCTGATAATATCTCCTCGTTGGGATAAGCTATAATCTCTTATACATTGCCTCCCAATCTCTTTCCCTGAGCTAAATACCATGCAGCTCCCTTTGCCTTTTTGACTGAAGGCTCGATTTCTTACATCGATTAAGAAGCTTAAAAACCTGAAAGCTGGCCAGGTGCGGTGGCTCACGCCTGTAATCCCAGCACTTTGGGAGGCCGAGGCGGGGGAATCACGAAGTCAGGAGATAGAGACCATCCTGGCTAACTCGGTGAAACCCCGTCTCTGCTAAAAGTACTACTCGGGAGGCTGAGACAGGAGAATGGGAGCGAGCCCGGGAGGCGGAGCTTGCAGTGAGCCGAGATCACCCCACTGCACTCCAGCCTGGGCGACAGAGCGAGACTCCGTCTCAAAAAAACAAAAAACAAAAAACAAAACCTGAAAGCCATAACTTCCCATTTGAAGCCTCAGATTATCTTTTAGAATTGCTTGGTATCTTTGGCTGAACACTAGGGGCTCCTGTGTAAGGTGGGGCTACCTTTCCAAGGTAGCCTTTTCCTCTTCTTTCCTATCATTCAATGAGCCCAGATGATTGCAATGGGGTCTTTTAGTTGTTTGTCTGAATCCCTACTAATCGAGTTCCATGGACACACTGGAGTAATCTAGAGACAGAGGCTGTCTCCTCTGCCAAATGCAGTGTTTCTGTTGTCTGTGTAGCTTCTGTTCTAGGCATTTCCCATAAATAGTATTTAATGACATTATTGGCAGACACACCACCCTTCTTGTAGTGTTTTATCTATCAGCACTGTCCAATAGGGCTTTCTGCAATGATGGGAATATTCTACATCTTATCTGTCTGAATGACAGCCACTAGCCACGTGCGGCTATTGAACACTGACCAGAGCACCCCATGAAAATTTAGGGCACTAAAGCTTAGCAAGGTTATATAGTTGTTGAATGTGATGCAGTCAGAATAGGGCAAATCTGAACCTAAACCAAGATCTGTTCATTCTCAGTGATCTTTTCTCTATACAATGAATGGGTGGTCTCATGCAACAATTCATTTGCAAAGTCTTACAGAACACCTATTACATGTAATGGTCATTTTGGGGATGCCAAGAAATAAATAGCTCCAATGGGTCAAAAGGGGTGACCAAGAAGAAAGGAAGAGAGAATCGCTTTGTTGATCTCCACGAGCAGAGAAGAAACAAAGGAGGGTCCCTGTGTTGACCTCTGAGAAGATGGAAGAAGGAAGGGAGGGGAGCCCTTTTGTTCACCTTCTGAAGTCCAGGGGTGTTACCATTACTGTTGTACAGTGTAGCCACGTTCTGCGTCTATGTTCAACAAGCAAGATCCTTGATCACTGGAGGGTCTTCATCGTTTGACACATACAGGCTACATGTAGGAAATCCCACTTACGCCACCCAAGGTCTTTGATGAGAGTGAGGCTGAATAACCTGCCCAAGCCCACATAGCCACTGCGAGACCAAGTCCAGCTTGAAATCCAAATCCTGTTGACTTCAGTATCAATCAGGGTGGCAGTGAGTACAGATGCTGCAAACAACGTCTGTGCACTGACACCAGGGTTCTTGGGTGCCAAGGTAAGAAATTTTGATTAATCCTGTTGGGATCAGGAAGCCAGAAAAGCTTTTAATAGAAGCCTCCATGGAACCTACTTAGGAAGTAGGAAGAATAAGCTAGCGGAGGCAGCAGAGTGGAAGGAGGAGAAATCACGTGGTAAGGGTTTGTAAATTAGGGGCTCCTTTCACGCACATCCAGAAGATGTCTTGGAGGTGCTGGGGACAATGGTGCCATCGGAGTGTCAAGGAGAGGAGCTGTTCTGGGAGACCACAGGAAGATGGGCAGTTCCTTTTAGACCAGGAGGTGTTAGCTGACAGTAGACCACGCTGTGAAAACGTTCAGCTGGTCCTTGATGAACACAAGCCACGTGAACTAAACCAACTCATACTCTCAGGGTTTGGGGGTGTCTTAGTCTGTTTGTGTTGTCTGAGACTGGGTAATTGATAAAGAAAGAGATTTATGTAGCTCACAGTTCTAAAGGCTGTAAGAAGCACGGTGCCAGTATCTGCTTCTGGTGAGGGCTTCAGGAAGCTTCCACTCATGGCAGAAGAGGAAGGGGAACCGGTGTGTCCCATGATGAGAGATGGAGCAAGAGAGAGAAAAGAAGATGCCAGGCTCTTTTCAACAAGCAATTCTCTTGGGAACTAAGAATGACACGTTACCCACTCCTGAGAGAATGGCACCAAGCCATTCATGAGGGATCCGTCCCTATGACCCAAACACCTCTCACCAGGCCCACCTCCAACAATGGGGATCAAATTTCAGCAGGAGACTTGGCCAGACCAAACAAACCATATCCAAACCACAGGAGGCGGGGAGCAAGGTTAAGGAATGTGTGCAAGGCGCCCCCAGTCACACTTGAAGTGAAGTGTGTACAGGCAGCACACATGCAGGAAAAGCAAGAAGGCAGAGAAGTTCCCAGCAGGAAAGTCAGAGGAGGTCCAGGGTAGCTAGTGGAGAGAGGGTACCAAGGTGGGTGTGCTGAGGGGCAACATTATATAAGGGAGGTGCGGGAGGCTGAAGATCAGAAATAGAGTTGAAGGACAAGAAGGAGGTCACTGATAACTTTTAATAGTTCTCTTTGGGGAGTGCAGTGTACCCAGATAACACAGGAATTTAAGGGAAAGAGGAGCACGTTCCATGGCAGCAGGGGCGGATCGGCAGTGAAAGGAAGGAGAGAAAAGCAGCAATCAGAGAGACAATGAAGTCAATGTGAGTTGCTTTGACACAGAGAAAGCTGTTCATGTGTGCAGGCTTGCAGAGGGCAAGAAAGTAAAGCATGTATAATACAGCATATATTATCTTCTAGTGATAGATGAAATACTTCATAATAACTTTGAAGTTATTTTTAAGGTAAGATTTCTCTCATTATCTTTAAAAAAACTTTTCATCCATTTTCACTTGATTATTATTCCAGAAGCAGTATTTTTAAACTATAGTAATTATGACTGGGATAGACAGACAGATCAATGAAATAGAAAGTCCAAAAATAGGCGCACATGTGTGTGTGGATCCAATAAAATCCACGGTTCATAACGATGAAGAAAAGGATGGATGACCTAATAACTGGCTTTTTGGAAAAAAAATTAGAGTGTAATTTCATTTGATATGCTAATATAAATTTCAGATGATCATGGACTTTAAAAAGTCATGAAAGTACTAAAAAGTAAATTTAATGTTAATCTAAGCATATCAAAAACATAGAATCCTAGCTCACAATTGTAGGCCATTCAGACCGAAGGAAATTTTAGGTGGCTCTTTCAGAAATCACCTGACGAAGAACTAAATAGAATATGGTGAGAAACTGTTCTGTACTCCCTGCATCCATCTGAACATTTAGAAGTGCAGTAAGAGTGTATTAAACTCAAAAGCTGGAAGGTAGCAGTGAATGGTTCCTAACACACTTTTTATTTGAATTGGGCTTTGGAATTTTTCAAATTCCATGGCATCCTTCAGTTACAGTTTTGAAGTATTGTGTACCCAACAACATGCCACTACTCTCTTCCTCTAGTAATTGAAGAAAATCATCAAATATCTGAAAGGAGTCAAATTCTTAGCAATTAAGTCATCTGCATCCAGCGTCCATCTCTAACAATCCTCATGAATTGCCAAATACATTGCTAAGATATTCCACGTGCCACATGGACAAATCACTTGATATTATTTAAAGGGCCTTAACTGATATTATCAGTGCCACGTAGTAATAATGCCTTAAAAAACACACGCACACACTCATAGCTGGCTGTGGCAGCTCACGCCGGTAATACCAGCACTTTGGGAGGCCAAGGTGAGTGGATCACTTGAGCCCAGGAGCTCAAGACCAGCCTGAGCAACAAAGTGAGATCCCCATCTCTACAGTAAATAAACAAACAACAACAACAAAAACCTCACAACCACTCATTCCTACTTTGAAATCCTCATTTGGGTACCCCTTATCCTAACAGTCTGTGTGGAAAATAAATTTTATATTCTGCCAATACCTTCACACTATGCACTCAGAAGGTATATATACACCAAATAGGCATTGCTTCGTTTTAATTTCCAATCTGAATGTACTTCCTTCATTATTGCATCACAATTAATATGTATAATGTTGAATACCAAGTAGTGAGAAGACTGACATTGAAAAACAACTTTTTTTTTTTTGAGATGGAGTCTCGTTCTGTCATCAGGCTGGAGTGCAGTGGCATGATCTCGGCTCACTGCAACCTTCACCTCCCGGGTTCAAGTGATTCTCCTGCCTCAGCCTCCCAAGTAACTGGGATTACAGGTACGTGCCACCACGCCAGGCTAATTTTTTGTATTTTTAGTAGAGACAGGGTTTCACCTTGTTAGCCACGATGGTCTCGATCTCCTGACCTCGTGATATGCACGCCTTGACCTCCCAAAGTGCTGGGATTACAGGCATGAGCCACTGCGCCCGGCCGAGAAGCAACTTCTTTTATTGTCACGGCATCTCCTTTCCTCAGTGCCTACGTAGCTAGTTTCCATGTATCCTGATTTCAACACACATTTTCCAGTCCTTACCATGACTCACACCATAATTGTTAACTAAAACAAACACCTCGTCTTTTGTAACGTAAGTTTCCAACAGGAAAACACCACCAGCCATTTTTTTCCTTGAATATATATCACTCTTAGTCCAAGAGTGAGTTCCAAATTTGCTATATCAGTGGTTTAATCCAACCATAAACCAAAAGCAAACACAAGTATGTGACGTTGCTCATTGTATGCTGTGCATACGCACTTTATATGCTATTAATACTCTGCCTCATCCAACTTATGTCTAATGGTTAAAGAGTTCTGTCAGTCACTACGTATCACTCAGAGTGGACTAAGTTATGCTGCAGTAACAAATGACCTCCAAATCTTACTCAGACAAGTTCATACCTAGCACAGATCTCCTGAAGGCTCTGCTGCTTGCCTTCCACACTCTGGGACCCAGGCTGGCGGAGCCGCCATTACTGGAACAGTGCCAAGTTGTCATGGCGGCAAGGGGAGAGACAGCATGGTACATGGCAGACCAACTCTTCAAGCTGTGTTTCCACTCTCATTTCCTGAAGCCGGTTATAGGGTCATGTGTCACTTTATGGGCAGCAGAGAGATGCAATCTCTTGATGAGCTAGAGAAACGTAGTGAACAGCACAAATGATTTCCACAAGCGTATGCTGTTTCCTTTCTGAGCAGAAATGTTCAAAAACTAATGAAACTGGTTTTACAAACTTTGGGGGATTATTTTGACCTAAACCTGTGTGTGCTTTGGAGAAGGATTTGAGTGTTGACTGTGTGCCTCTTTAGATAGAAATATTAAGTTTAAAACTAGAAAAGCAATATTTTGTGTTTGTTTTAGGATTTTAAAAATCTCAGTGGGCATATTAAAAAAGGCCACTGTTGAAAAATGATGCAAAATCTTCACATCTCTGTTCAACAATGTTTCTAAACAGATAAATCATTGCAGAGTAGAAGCAGATTCCTTAGTCCAGGGAAATCCAATTTAAAAATTTAACTCTGCAGTTGACGTTATTTGTAGGAAACATATTTGCCTGTCCTTGTTCTAGAATATGCAGATTTATAGTCTATATTTGAACTAGACTGGAGTCATCTCTCTTTTTTATATTTATGATGTTATTTTGAGCAGCAATATTTATATTACTATTTTCATTACAGTTTTATTCTTTAACAGACCAGTTTTGAATCAGTGATTCTTTTTTGTAAACTGAGAATTTAACCCAACAGAATAGTGAAAACAAAATACAGAAACTTTTTTTTAAAAAGAAATTATTTGCAAAGAAAATAAAACTGTGCTAAATGAATTAAGGGAGACTTTATTGTAGAGAATGCATATATTTGACAAAAAGTTGATTTTAAAATACATCAATTTTTTTCTACAATGTTCAACAGAAAATGTTTTCCCACTGGGCAAGTGGGTCAGGAAGGCATATACCAGGAAATTAAATTTAGAATATCTCTGAGTAAAGTATTTAGAGGGGAAGTAGTTATGTGTCCCAGAGATCCTGTATTGTGAAAAAATATAAGCAAAACTCCACATCCCTAGAGATAGATCATGCATAGGACCTTACCTTTTTGATTCTCAGAAAATGAGGTATAATCTGAAAAGGTGAAAACTTGAAATCTCCGGAGAACCAGATTTTTTTCTCTGTGCAATCAATGTCCCTCTCAATACCCCTAACTACATTTTCCCACTTTGTGCAAGAGCTACCTCAATCATTTAATTGACCTTCCTTCCCTTTTAACTTTCTATCTATTTCTATGGCACCAATAGAGGTTTGGAGGCCATTCTCTCTTTCTGCTGCTGGAATATATACAAAACTCTCATTAAGCAACAGAGAAACACTTTCACTTTATCACTCAGGATTGCGATAACTGGCCTGCTTCAGGAAGCCACTGTAAACACCAGAAAAGGTGGGTGGCACATGAGCACTGGCTCTGACTCCATGGCCCTGTTTGCCTGTAGAACCAATGAATGTCAAGTTTTGATGAGTTGCACAGTCCCTTCTGCTGCCCGAGAGAGGACCCTGGAGGAGGAAAGAGAGGGAAAGGCTGCATATGTTCTCTTCACCATTCCTCTAGATGGGAGAGAGAGCAAAATCTACTCTTCTATGGGCCAAAATATGAAAAGACAGAGAAAAGTATTTCTTCTAGTAGACACTAGTGTTAGTGACTCAGAAGACAGTGGCAGCAGTGAACAGCTTGGACGTGGTGCTGGGCTTACATCCAAGGGGCAGCAACTCCACAGTCAACAAAAACTGGATAAGTTGGACGACATGGAAATTAGCAATTCTTGTGCATTAAGGGGCATGACAGACTGAAAAGCAACCCAGGGAGTGGGAGAAAATATCTACAAGTCATATATCTGATCAGAGGTTAATATCAAGAATCTATAGAGAACTCCTACAACTCAACAACAACAAAAAACAGAAACAACCCAATTAAAAAGATCCAGGAAAGTTGTGGAGGACATGGCTGGGAAGGAATACTGGGGCATATGGTGGAGTAATTCAAACTTGAATGACCAGTCCATGAAGGGGCATTAAAGGATGGAGCTGTGCTTTGGGAAGACACTTTGAGCTGTTCTGGGTGGGATCTATGGAAAAAGGGAGGGCTCAGGGGGGCAGGAGAGTTAGGTATGGGTGAGATATGGTTTGGCAGAAATTGCGTTTGGCTAAGAGACAGACTGCAGAGAAATAGAATTCTTATGAATAAAGAGGAAACCAGGAACTCCAAGCTGCCCTGGAAGGATGATCTATTTTTGGGGAGGGGAAGCCAGACTTTCTTTGAAATTTTCCTTCCTTTGGAGATCCTCTATTAATTGTTAAGGTCCCACCACACTTTCTGTGTAGCAGAGTGTTGAGTTGAATTGTGTCCCACAAAATTCATATGTTGAAGTCCTAACCCTCAGTACCTTGGAATGTGACTGTATTTGGAGATAGGACTTTTAAAGAGGCAATTAAAGGAAACTGAGGTCATATGGGTGGGACCTAATCCAGTATGATGATTGTCCTTATAAGACCAGGAGCTAGGACAGACACATGCAGCGGGAAGGCCACATGAAGGCACAGGGAGGAGACGACCATCTGCAGGCCAGGGAGAGAGGCCCAGAGGAAACCAGCCCTGCTGACTCCTTGATCTTGAACTCTAGCCTCCGGAATTGTGAGAAAACAAATTTCTGTTGTTTGTGCCACCCAATTTGTGGTACTTCGTTATGTCAGCCCTAGCAAACTCATACAGGGTGTATAAAAAATGACCCTTTTGATGTCTTATAGCATGGTTGTGGGAAGACATTTAAAATAGGCTTTTGGGTCAGACACAGTGGCTCATGCCTATTATCTCAGCACTTTGGGAGGCCAAGGTGGCTTGAGCCTAGGAGTTTGAGACCAGCTTGGGCAACATAGCGAGATTCTGTCTCTACCAAAAATTTAAAAATTAGCCTGAAGTGTTGGTACGCACCTGTAGTCCCGGCTATTTGGGATGCTGAAGAAGGAGGATCATTTGAGCCCAAGAGTTTGAGGCTGCAATGAGCTATGATCATGCCATTGCACTTCAGCCTGGGTGACAGAGTGAGACCCTGTCTCTAAAAAATAAAATAAAATAAAATAAAATAAAATAAAATAAAATAAAACAGAATAAAATAAAATAGGTTTTTGTAAAAGTTGAGAGACAGCAACAGGGAACCAAACTCACAAACTAAGATAAAACTAACAACCCATCTCAGGCATAAAAGGGTCTGTCCAGGGATGGAAGCCTTTGGGTCCCCCTACCCCTCTATGCCTACAAGGGGGAAGCCCTACAGTATGGCCGTGGGTATTTTGCTATGGAATCTTATGCTCACATGTGCTGAGACCAGAGCTGGCATGCACAACCACAAGTGGCCTGTGCCTGGAATTTGTGACCAAGAAAGGAGGCATAGAACCCAGGTGTCACAACCACAGAATTCTCCAGAAACCGGTCTGTACATCCAGGGACTTCAAATGGCCATAGTGTCCCCATGTGCATGCTGGGAGGGCTGTGCTGAGCCGAAGTATCTGTAATCATTTGGGTGAGAACTGTGTTTTGATGTCCCTGTGCTCCGGCCCCTGCGTGCAGCCAAACAGGCAGGTGCCATCCCATCATCTGCACGTAGAGAGTAGCGATGGTGAGAAAAATTATAGGAATGCTTTCTGGCAAAGACTAATCCTCCAAGATGCTCCAGGAAAATAGTTTTGGATGCAGGAATTGCCAGGTCTGGATAAACATAGTTCAGTCCCTCAGATGTTTGATGTTTTGAACATGACTAAATGTTCGGCTGCATGGCCCTTCATCTGAAGCCTTCAAATAGTTCACATTAAATCCTGATCCTGTCCCAGACAGCGGCCAGTGAAGAGTTATCAGATCCACTGCTCTAGTAACCAAACACCTTGGAGGGTTTATCCTTCAGAGATAAAAGTGAACCAGTGAGAAAGTTAAAGTTTCATACTGAGCTGCTGGAACCACACTGTGCTTACACAGGAGGGTCCAATTCCAGTCTTCTTTGCTAATAAAGTTTCTTTGTACTGGGATCCTCATTTTCCTGATGTTTAAAACAGAAAAAAAGTCATGCCTCAGTATCTGCAGGGATTGATTCTAGGACCTCCTGTGTATACCAAAATCTGAAGATGCTCAAGTCCCTTATATAAAAGGGTATAGTATTCACATACAACCTATACACATCCTCCAGTACACTTTAAATCACCTTTAGATGACTCAAAATACCCAGTGAAATGTAAATGCTATGTAAATAGTTGTTATCCTATATTTTTATTTGTATTACTTATTGTTGTATTGGTTTATTTTATTTTATTTCTTCCTGAACATTTTAATCTCTAGTTGGTTTAATCTGTGGATGTGGAACCCATTGATATGGTGGAGGGCCAAGTGTGATAATAGAAATGTGTCTTGGCATGCATGGCCTCTAAGTATTTTATCAGTTTGAAAAGCAAAAACGGATTGACTTTGCCACAGTAAAGCTCTGGAAGTCCCTGCACATAATAAGCATTCAGGAAGCCTCAGGGGTGATGGTGGTAAAATGATAATGTCCTGATAGCTCTTCCAAGAGGTGTTTATCCCTGCACTAGGGATTCTTGAGACATTCTATGATACTACTATGCTGCACTCTTTCTTGTTTTCTAGTCTTGAAGTCTAAGTGGCAGAATGACACTAGATGAGCCATTAGGTTAGAAATTTAAAACGTTTGAAGCAACATAAACAAGTGAGTTGTCAAACAGCTGAAAATGATGTTTTAACAGCCAAAATGTGACAAATATAAACACAGGGTCATCAAAGTACAGGCATTCTAGTAATACATAGAGGTTTGGAGATTTGTACGTTTTTCTTATTGTGCTTTTATTCATTCATTCAGCAAATACCTGTTTTATGCCAGAGATTGTAATTAGGCAGAGGAATAAAAAATTGTAAGACAAGTCCCAGCCTTCGATGGGCTCCATATATATAGCCTAGAAGGAGGAGTCCAGTAAAGAAATAAATGAAGAAATAAATTCAATAAAGTATAATTAGATCCATAACAACTCGATTTGGTATTCATGATGTCAGCAGTCCGTGAGCAGTCATGCAGGTCTGTGACGTGCAGTAATTTTAATTCTGCTGAGGCACAGAATGAACTGATGAGCTGAGAATAATAAGCAGAAACAAGGCACCAAACAAAAAGAGACCAGCTGACTTCTCGTTGCCCGTGTCTCAGAGATGCATGGTTCTCCATGGTAGCCACCAGCACAGCTGCCTTCTTGTGATAAAATACTTTCTCAGTATTGTCTGGGAGAAACAATCTTGATACAAAAGCCAGATGCTATTGATGATGGAAATGAGGAAAAATTAAATTCTTCTAAGGAAGCAATTGCTCTTATCCAGAAAACAGAAGCATTTTGAGAGGAAGAATAATGCTGTATTAGACACCACCATGGAAAATCATGAAGTGCTCAGAATGTAGCCCTCATGAATAGGATAAGCTTTATTCCATGTACCTTGTGCAATGGTAGGTGAAATATGTCAGGAGAAGATTCATAAAGGAGATGGTCTTGGATCAGATTCTTGGAAGATAAGTCACGTGCTAACCCTCTGACTAAGGTCAAGTGTTAATAAACTGCCTGACCTGTTTGGAAAATACAGGTTGAAAAACCAAAGGGACTTGTGTTTCTGGCCAAGATGGAGTGATAAGGACTGGACTGACTCTCTGGCCAGAAACAACAGCAAAACAAACAAACAAATATCAGACAAAATGTACAGAACAACGGTTTTCAAGACACTGGACATTGAACAACAAAGAACAGTGATCTCTGAGAGACAAGAAATGAATGAGATGAATCCTATAATAGCCTCAGCTCACACCACTGAGTTTCCAGTTCATGACACAAGGAGGAGAAATCCAGGAAGAGCCCAGTGAATTCCCTGAGTTGAGGAGAAAGAACTGAGTTTGGGCAGTCTAAGGATGCTAGGGGTCATAGGACTAAAGTACCAAAGAGGGGAGAGAGAGAGAGAGAGAGACCTTGAAAACTCAATAGAGTACTGATTGGTCCACTTGTGTAAGAACAAAAACAATGTGAGACCCAGGGAAAGGACCAGTCAAAAGAATTTGAGGGAACAATACTTTGTGTTCACACAAGGGTGGAAGTAATACCTGTTTCCACCATCCAAACTGGAAAAACTCATAATTAAGTAGGCTAGTCAGAAAGGTCTTGATTCAGTAGTGGGCAATAATTAGCTCTAGACCTGCCTAACAAATCTCAAAAGCAAAATCAGAAAGGATCAAACTGTTTCCAAGTAATTTAACTGTACCATAAAACAAAGCTCAAAAATATTTGTAGGAAGACAAAAATATCCAGCACCCAACAAGGTGAAATTCACACTGTCTAGCATCTGATCAATATAACCAGATGTGCCAAGAAATAGGAAAAATGACCCACAATGAGAAGAAAATCAATCAAGTGAAACAAACCCATAGCTTACACAGATGTCAGAATTAGCAGACAAGCACATTAAAGTGGTTATTATAACTGAATTCAAGTTGAAAAAGTTAGGTAGAGATGTGAAATGTATGTAACCAGAAATCAAACCTATAGAAATAAAAATGACAACATCTGAGATGAAAAATACATGGGATGAGATTAATGACAGATTAGACCTTGCAGAAGAAAAGGTAAGTGAACTAGAAGACATAGCAATGAAAATTATCCCAAGTGAAACACACAGAAAATAAAATAATTTTATAAAAATGAGGCCAGGTGCCATGGCTCCCAGCATTTTGGGAGGCCGAGGTGTGGGGATTACCTGAGGACAGGAGTTTGAGACCAGCCTGGTCAACTTGGTGAAACTCCGTCTCCACTAAAAATACAAAAATTAGCAGGGTGTGGTGGTGCACACCTGTGATCCCAGCTACTCGGGAGGTTGAGGAGGGAGGACTGGTTGAGTCTGGGAGGCAGAGGTTACAGTGAGCTGAAATGGTGCCACTGCACTCCAGCCTGGATGACAGAGTGACAGTCCATCTCAAAAAAAAAAAAAAAAAGAAAAGAGCATCAGTGCCCCATGGAACAACCTTAAGTTGATTGTGTGTGTGTGTGTGTGTGTGTGTGTGTGTGTGTGTGTAGGCAGCCCTTAAAGGAGGAGAGAAAAGAAAGGAGTTGACAGAAGAAAACATTTGAAGAATGAATGCAATGTTTTTCAAATTTGATGACAATGAAACACAGGTCCAAGAAATTCAATGAAACGGATGTACAAGAAATAGGAAAAAATGATATCAGCGCACATCCTACTCAAATTGCTCAAAGTGACTAATGAAGAGAAAGTCTTATAAACAGACTTTAAAAACCAAGTTCTTTAGAGGTAGAAAGAGATGAAAACAGCAGGACCAGCTTCCTGTGCACACAACCTGTGCAGTTGCGCAAGGTACACTTTGAACAGTCTCAATGCTTGGTTTAATGCCCTGCTGTTGCCATCTTGAAATTTTTAATAATTTTTGTACCAGGGGTCTACATATTCACTTTACACTGGGCCTCACAAATAACATAGCTGGTCTCAGAATAACACATGTTTGATCAGAAACAATGCAAGCAAGAAGACAGTGAAGCAACATTTTTAAAAGCCGGAGAGAAAAATATATCTGTCAACCCATAATTCTATACAGAGGAAGAAATATTTTCAAAAACAAAGGCAAAATAAGGACTTATCAAATTGTGTTCCTTAAATTTGTGTGGTTTACTCCATGCTAACTACACTTGAATAAAATTGTTTTGCAAAAAGGAAAAACAAACAAAACCCCTTTTGGTAATGGTTGATGCTCTGCCCCTCAGCCTTCCTCTGCATTTACCTGTCAGCTCAGGGGAGGTTCCTATACCTGCTGACAGCTCTCCCACCTCAAGCACATGCATCCCTGCTTTGGTGCAGAGGGTGGGGGGGCGGGTTTCAAAGGAGCCGTGGGAGTTTTCTCAGCCTGTATACAAGGATGAAAGTGACAGGATTTAATGCTTCTAGGAGCAACTCTCAACCAATGACAAATGGGAATCAGTGGATAATACCCAAAATGAAGCAAATGAGGCTCAGACAATATAAAGGATCTTCCCTATGCCCATTAATGAGAAGACTGAATTGGGTCCTCCTGCATCAAGACAATGCTATTCTTCTGGATCTGCCCAACAAATGTTAAAAGCAAATCCAGAAAGAATCAAACTGTTTCCAAGTAATGTAACTGTACCATAAAACTAAGATCAAGAATACTTATAGGAAGACAGAAATATTCAGCATCCAGTAAGGTGAAATTCACATTGTCTGGCATCCCATCAACATGATCAGAGAGACACTGGGAGGTGTGTTCTACCTGAGTCTTTAAAAACTTCCCAGCAATAGTAACCCTCTCATAAAAGAATCCCATGTTGGCTTCCCCCAACCCCCCTGCCATCTTATCTTACTTTTCTCATTCCCTACTTTTGATTGCTGGAATCATCTCTCAGATGGAAAGCCTGCACCAAGCCCTTGCCTCCAGGTGAGTTTTTGGAGGACTCCAAAACCAAGACACTTCCCTTCTTGACCAACTTCTCGCACAGTCTTGCACTCAGAATTCCTATTCTCTCCTAATTTAGCAATTCCTTGGTTGCTAAGCTTTACAGAAGATGCCTGTCTTTAATAAATCCTATTGAATTATATCTTTCTTTGGATTCTTGATTCCTCTTTAATAGTTAAGCAGTTTATATTGTAGCTTAACTCCTCTAATTTGACATCTAGATCTGCAATCCCTACGTTGCCATCAGCCACAAAGGGTTATGGTGCTTTTGAAATGTGGCTAGACCAAATTGAGATATGCTACAGTATAAAAAATGTATATTGGATTTCAAAGACTTAGTACAAAAAAGAACAAAACATTTCAATATTTTAATATTAATTATTTGTTGAAATTAGTTTGGACATATTGGGTCAAATAAAATTTATTGTTTAAACTAATGTTTCTTGTCTTATTTTACTCTATATAATGTGACTTCTAGAAGTTTTTTAATTTACATACATAGTTCACATTATAGTTCTATTAGGCAGAGGATTTTTGCAATTGTCCAAGACTGTGAAGGACTCTCTCAGCTTTTGATTGATATTAATTGGTTACTGCAGGTGTCTTCTACCCTGAGGGTAAAAGGAGTTTGAAATCTAATTTTAATACAAGAACCAGGGGAAAAAATTGACCTTTAATGAGTCACTTTCAGATAGTTCATTGCAAGTAATTTCTAGTTTACAAAGCAATAATTGTAAGAACTGTTCATAAGTCAGTTATTTGCCCTTGAAATATCATTTCCCATAGAATTGGTTTTAAGTGATAGTTTCATGCCTAGCTAGCCACATAGGGAATTCAGCCACATGGGGAATTTCAACCACATTCTTTGTTCAGTAGATTTTGTGGCCTGGTTTGAAGACTCAGTCACCATTTTAGACATGGTTTTTTGGAGATGTTGGGTGACAAACAGAGAAAACATCACATTTATTCAAAAGGTTCTTTTTTGCCAGTTGCCGGTGTCTGTTGAGACAGAAATAGGTGCTGGTGATAGGTCTGGCCTCCGGAAAAAACTGGATGTCACCTCTGTCTAGGAAAAGGGCATCTTTTAGTCACTGGATGAAGGGTTTGTTTAAGACCTTGGAGGGCTTCTTCCTCCCTGGAGAGGCCTGTCTAAAGCTCCTGGCTACTTCAGATCATGTCAGTCCTGAAGAGGGAGGTGAGGTATTCTTAGGATTCCAGACGCTCTCCAATTTCATACAGGTTCTTTTAACCCAGAGTAATGTAATGAGTGAAGAGGATTGTGTAAAATGATAAATGAAAAATAAATGTCAGTTTCAGGGAGGCAGTAGGGTCTGTGGAGAGTTGGTAAAATAGAATACATATCTCGCTATGGTAGAGACAATGCTCACCAGATTCTGTGTGCTCTCCCATATTTCCCTGTCCCCTTTGCAGTTGGCTTGGGTCCATTGGATTAATTTTGGTCAACAGGCTCTGAAGAAAAATGACATTTCAGGGAATTAAGAGCACGTGTTCCTCCCTCTACCTTCTCTTTCTTCCCCCAGTGACCTTGGAGGCTACTTGTTGATAAGGTGAGTCACAAGAAGGAGGAATCCTGGATCCCTGAGTCACTGTTTGGATTATAGTGCTTACCAACCCTCATTGGACTTTGAGTGACTAAGAAATCATCTTTCCTTGGATTAAACCACTAAGATTTCGATTTTATTTGCTATTTCAGCAGAGTCCATTCTATCTTGACTAATATACTACCTAATTGTGAGCCATTACTCAGCTCCAAATGACTCCTGCCATACAGTCATGTACACATGGCATTGCCAAATAGCCCAGCTTTTCAAGAGAAGCCAGAAGCAGGGATTTTCATGTGACTCTAGGTTTAAAATGCTGAAAATGAATTCAGTTTTAAAACACTGTGACCCAATACTGTGTAGACCAAACATATCAGTGAGCTGAGTTCAGCCCATCAGCTGCCAGTTTCCAATCTGAGTTCCCTCTAGCCTACTCAAGTATTTTGCAAACTCTAAATGTTATAGTCTCTTTGTAATTTTAGACATAAAAGCACCAATTATGTGAAACAGTGGTGTGGAAAGAAATGTCTCAGAAATTTCAGTCTAATGTGTTATGAGGCCATGACTGACAAAGGACAGCCCATAATCCAAAGTGAAACCACTTTTTCATCTTTTCTGTCTTCTTTCCCTGCTCTCCTGTTTGCTTCTTTCCTTTTCTACCACCGTTAAGAAAATATGTGAGGTGGTGCCTAAGGTCAGGTTTCCCAGAAGCAGACACCGCAACAAGCAACAAGGATTCACAAGCAAGTGACTTATTATGCGAGGGCTCCCAGGGCAGACTGGCGAAGGGGGAGGGGAAACAGGGCAGGCAAGGAGAAGAAGCCGTGCAGGGGTATGATCTCAGGCAAAATCCACAGTGGGTAGCTTCAGCCTGATCCCAGGAGGAACATTGGAAGGTAGGTTCCAGCCCATAATTATCCTATCCCAAAGCTAGCGACCTGACTTCATTTTCCTCAATCTGACAGTCTGGTTAATGGCCAAGGTGGGGTGGGGGGCAGGCGGGTGGGCTCTTGCATTCCCAGCTCTCTCTGCCTGCAGGTTAAGTGGCTCAGAAGCCCAAGCAGGCTACAGAGAAGAGCGGCAGGACTGGCTGTTGGAAGCCGAGTGATGGGGGCAGCCCAGGGAGCAGATACACGGAAAAGATCAAATGGGATTTGACAGAATTTGGGTGGAACTTCAACACTGTCACTTTAGGTATATAAAAAAAATTAAAGCAAGGGGAAAAAAGCTCTGAAAAAAATTTCTCTGAAACTGCATCATTAGTGAGTATAGTTCTTTATATACTCATGGTAACTGTGTGATTTTGGACATCTCATTGAATTTCTCTGAGCCTAAGATAATTTGAGATTACAGTAATCCTTCAATATCCTCAGGGGATTCGTTCCAGGAGCCCCTGAGGATACCAAAACGTGAGGATGCTCAAGTCCCTGATATAAAAAGGTGTAGTATTTGCATATATCCTGTGCACATCCTTGTGTGTACTTTAAATCATCTCTAGATTACTTGTGATTGCCTAATATGATGTAAATGTTATGTAAATAGTTGTTACACTGCATTTTAAACATTTGTCTTTTTTTATTTTGTTGCACTGTTAATTTTTATTTATTTATTTTAAAATATTTTCAATTTGCAGTTGGTTGAATCTGAAGAGCCCTTGGATACGGAAGGCTGACTGTGTATGGCTACTCTGAAGAATGCAAGAAACAGTGTGTGATACGCTTAGGGCTTAGCACATTTTGGTACTCACTAAATTTTCTCAACATCTTCCTTCTACTTGCTCCTGGTACCCCTTATTCAAGCACCAGCTGCCTTCTGCTCTCCCCAGCCTGCTAGAACACACCTGGGTAGGAACCCGCACTGTCCCTAAGCAATGCCTCCTTCCAGCCTTCTCCCTCCACATCTCATCTTTATCCCAAAACTTTGGATAAACTGAATCATGCTCATTTTAGTATTCCTAACCTAAAAATGACTCTCCAGCAATGACATTGAGAAGTGTTAAAAATCTAGGTATGTCAGGGCTGGGCACGGTGGCTCAGGCTGGTAATTCCAGCACTTTGGGAGGAGCAGGCGGGTGGATCACCTGAGGTCAGGAGATCAAGACTAGCCTGACCAACATGGTGAAACCCCATCTCTACTGAAAATACAAAAATTAGCGGGGCGTGGTGGCACATGCCTGTAATCCCAGCTACTTGGGAGGCTGAGGCAGGAGAATTGCTTGAACCCGGAAGGCGGAGGTTGCAGTGAGCCGAGATCGCGCCACTGAACTCCAGCCTGGGCAACAGAGTGAGACTCGGTCTAAAACAACAACAACAACAACAAAAACAAACAAACAAAAAACCTTTGAACTTGAACTGGAATTATAAAATTGACCTAGTGACCTGAGGCTCTCTCCATCTCACTCACTTCCAGTCCTCTAGGTCCAGCTATGACTGAGGTCAGCAGTCAGCCTGGGGTCCCCCACCCCATCTCAGTTGAGGGCTCCCTCCGGGTGAAGAACAGCTTGGCACAGGCTCCCAGGCACACAATCTCTTTCATGTCATGTGACAGGATTGTGATATTTGCAGTTTTGTGGGACGAAAACACATGCAACAAAACTTTGGCCAAGGGTTTATTTCTGTGACATGCTGAGCCACTTACCTTCTGCCCAGAACTATAAGGTTAAAATTTACTTTTATGATTTTGCAGCCATCTATGGAGCATGTGGTATGAGTCAGAAATGGTGTTTTTGCCCAATTCAGAGACTAGTGCAGAAGACAGACAAAGAAAAAGACAACTCAGGTCTAATACATTGTGCTTTTTGTGGGGAAGCGTGGGGTGCTGTAAGAATACAAGAGACGGATTAGTAACCAGTCCTTTCAGGGAGTTTAAGAACTTTCCAAAAAATAACAACCTGAGACCTAGAGGACAAATGAGAGTCAGGGAGATAAAGAGCAGATGGAGGTCACAAGAGAATTTCCAGGGTTAGAATGCCAGTGCCAGGGTCTGAAGGTAGAGAAACCATGAGTAGTAACCCACCCATCACCTAGAAGGGAAAATGTACTGGGACATAGTTCAAAGCACCATCATGCTACCTTTTGGGTTACAGGAAAAAAGGATCTTAATTGGCTAAGAAACAGGCCATAAACAGGTTTTTATTTTGTTCTACTTTGTTGTTTTTATTGCACAACTTCTTAGACCCTTTAGAGTCCTTTTACATGTTTATCAACAAATCCTGCGATGGGCCTTTTTCCTCCCTGACAAGTACTTAGTGTGGCCCATAGAGCCCAGAGAGGGTAGAGCCATATTGGTGAAAGGGCTCAGCTGGAGTACAGAGAACAAAGTGGATGAGAACTCCAGCCAGCACTGGGGGGTCATTTCTGTGGCTCCTTGAGCAGCCCTCGCCAGCACTCCTTGTACCAGCTTTCAGGGACGAACTGGCACTTGATCAACCTTGTCATCAAGACTGTGGCTCCTATTCACAATAGCAAAGACTTGGAACCAACCCAAATGTCCATCAATGATAGACTGGATTAAGAAAATGTGGCACATATGCACCATGGAATACTATGCAGCCATAAAAAAGGATGAGTTCATGTCCTTTGTAGGGACATGGATGAAGCTGGAAACCATCATTCTGAGCAAACTATCGCAAAGACAGAAAACCAAACACCATATGTTCTCACTCATAGATGGGAATTGAACAATGAGAACACTTGGACACAGGGTGGGGAACATCACGCACCGGGGCCTGTCATGGGATAGGGGGAGGGGGGAAGGATAGCATTAGGAGCTATACCTAATGCAAATGATGAGTTAATGGGTGCAGCACACCAACATGGCACATGTATACATATGTAACAAACTGGCACGTTGTGCACATGTACCCTAGAACTTAAAGTATCATAGTAATAATAATAGAAAGAAACTTGAACTAGATGTACACATAGCAACATGGTTAGATTTCAGAAGCAGTGTTGAATAAAAATGAAAAACGATGAGGTCTTAGAGCACAATATCATTTGTATGGATTACAAATATGTCCACACTCAAAAGAATAGTATATATTAAAAATATTATTAAAAAAAAGACTGTGGCTCACGGATGGCTACGGAATAATGCTTCCTACCCCAACTACTTTTTCTAGCCAATGAGGTGCTAAATGATGAGAGTTATTATTATTACTCAGTGCCCTTCTGAAGTAAATGTTCTGTTCTTTATAAACGTTTTCCTGTTGATATGGTTTGGCTCTGTGTCCCCACCTAAATCTCATTTTGTAGCTCCCATAATTCCCACATGTTATGGAAGGGACCCAGTGGGAGATGACTGAATCATGGGGGTGGGTCTTTCCCATGCCGTTCTCATGATAGTGAATGGATCCTCACAAGATCTGATGGTTTTAAAGACGGGAGTTTCCCTGCAAAAGCTCTCTCTCTTTGCCTGCTGCCATCCATGAAAGATGTGACTTGCTCCTCCTTGCCTTCTGCCATGATTGTGAGGCCTCTCCAGACATGTGGAACTGTAAGTCCAATAAACTTCTCATTTTTGTAAATTTTCTAGTCTCAGTATGTCTTTAACAGCAGCATGAAAACAGACAAATACACCTGTTATCTGATTTTCCATAGGTCTTGCATTGGGCACTGAAGAAATGGCATATTGGTTCAGTGTTCAAAGAAAATGTTAATGGTCAAGCTCATTTCACTTTTGGGAGTTCATGGTTCTAGGCCTGGGGCTGTATACTTAGAGGCCCCTCCTCAGCTCTTTCTACAGCAAAGCTACTCAAAGTGTTGTTCCCACATGGGACCAGTGCCAATTCACAAACTTTTAAAGGGCTGTGGTGAAATGAGTACAGACAGTGAGAATAAAACTTTAGAACATTTGATAGAAATTTGATGTTGTCGTGGCATCCAAGTGCATGATAGTGGGCATGTTCCATCTCCCATGGCCCGCCTGTAGGTCATGTCACTGACTGTGATGAATTAGAAATAAAGAACAAACAAACACAGTGCTTCACCCCAGTTGGTTTGAGAAGTCCTCCTCGACACTATACCTCAGAGCACTCCACAAATCTATGGGACTCTCTACAGATCCATAGCGTTCTCCAGAGAACCACAAGACTCTCAGAAAATGCCTGAGAGTCTCTATAGAGTCAAGTGACTCCCAAAGAACTCCAGGAATCTTCTCAATCTCTCTGGCCTTAACCACTCTCCTCCTTTAGAGATGAAACTGAGCCAACTATTACAGTCCATTTTCAGGTCCCAGACAACCAGTGGAACAAGTGGAAGTCAATTTGCTACCGCCAGGGATAATCACCTCTGCCCCTGCTGGCATAGAGACCTATTTGCAAATCTAATGCATTTGGTGTCTAACCCAAAGTCCAGGATTGTTAATGTATCAGTTAGTGTTTGCTGGGTAACAAACCACCCCAAAACTTAGTGTGTCTTAACACAACAAATTACTCCTTTTCACAATATTGAGGGGTAGCTGGGCTTTATTTGGCATCCATTCTGGTCTAGATCAGGCACAGCTATTCTCTGCTGTGGTGGCTCATGTGTCTAGGACCTCAGCTGGGATGGCACAGGCAGTTCAGATCTCTCTCAGTGTTGCCTGTCAATATCCAGTGGCTTGTCCAGCCTTGCTCAGATGATGGTGGAAGGGTCCCCAGGAGCAACAGAGCAAATCCCAATGAGAATGTTCTTTTAAAGCCTCTGCTTGTGTCACACTGTTAATGTCCCATTCGCTAAAGGAGGTCACATGGCCAGGTCCAGACTCAAAGAGTGGAGGAATCAGACTTCACCTCTTGATGAAGGGAGCAGAAATGCCACATCACAAGGGGGCATCCTTACAGGGGTGGGGAGCATTTGGGGCTAGTTTTGCATGCTAATAAAGACTGAAGAGGCTGTGTGATGTTTGCTTTTAGCCTGTAGCTGTTGCTCAATAAATATCTATTGAATGAATATTATTTTAAAAGGACTTCAGTTTTCCTTTCCTTCACATAGTTGAGGTCACGATGTCCAAAATACACTTCTCCCAGACTCTGGTTCTGGCTGTGGGTGACTTTGGATGTCAAAAACACTTAGTCATCTTCTGTTTACTCTCTCATCGTGGAAGAAGCTGCAAAGGTCAGTGACCTTAGTAAAAGGAATTATATGACTTTTGTTTCCTTTATACAAGAAACCGCTGGCCTAGATGACGAACAGACATTTCAATGTGCAATTATTAAGAAGAGACCTGCCAGATTGGGTTCTATTGAGGTATTTGCACATAACATTGTGTGGAAAAGGTAAGGATTGATAATCAGACACTGAAATTGTTGGGTGAAAAGGGGTCTCTCAGTCCCCTGAGTGGGAGCATACCATGTGGACTGCCACTGGGCTTATGCACGGGCTGAGGCACCAGGTTATTTGATATAGCTCCAAGGCTGAGAAGTCCATGCATTCAGCCTCCTAACAAGTCTTCGCTCTCAGCTTGCGGGGTGAAGGTTTTTTCACAAGGCCTTCCAGTTGGGGGTGTATCCCTAGCAATCCACATGAACCACTTTCCCCTGGGTTCTTTGGAAGAAACTCTTCCCTGGGTGACGTGAGGAAGCTGGGAAGGCCTGTGTAATGAGGCCACCAGGATGCTTCCATTTCTCTGGAGGATTTCCTGCCCCTCCCTCATGTACAGATGGTGGCGGCCTTGCTGGGCTTCTGTGCCCATCTCCAGGTTCCTCTGCATCCCACCCCTCCCGGTCCATATGTGGGGATTTGTTCCAGGAAGGGATCTGATCAGAAAAGAAGACAATAAGAGGCAATAAATTACAACAAACTTTATTGGTGGGCCTTGGACAGGGTTTCAGGATGGGGAAAATCCTTCACAGCTGGGGATCTTTCAGGGGCCACTATGGAGAAAGCTAAAGAGAAAAGGGAACTCCTGGGGCAGGGAGACATGGAGACAGGGCTTATTAGTTTAGGTGATACCAACGTCACTCAGCAGTGTGGTGAGGAGTCTCCAGGTCAGAAAGCTCCGAAGGGCCATAGCAGCTTGGAGTCTTAGAGCCACAAGGCTCTATGGTATCCAGGGCAGCCGATGCGAGTAAGATTTCATGGGGCATGCAAAGCAGGCAGGTTCCAAGCGGCTAACAAGGCTGCTTGTTTGAGCTACTTTAAGAATAACTGGATGTGTAAAAATTTGAATTTGAGGCCAGTGGGCTTTTGAGCTGATGGTTCCCAGCCTGCTGTGAAGAAATAAACTACCAAGTGGTCAATACCCAGAGGCCATCGTGGGCTCATTTATAGAATGCCTTACCTGGGTTCTGGGCAGTTCTTCCAAAGACTGTGACAAGGTCACTCCCTGAATTGAATCACTGTGTTCTTCCCCAAATGGGAAATAAACATATGACGAGGGAGAGCCTGAGCCCCACTGGGAACGATGTCTCTCCTGTGGAGAACCACATGACCTCAGACCACATCCACCCAGCTCCTTACTCAGAATCACAGCAACACACTTCTTTGGCATTTCTCTTCAATGTTGGCTTCTATGGATGTTTTCTGTTCCCTCTTCGCTGGCCTGGAGTCCTTAAGCCTCTACCTCCTGCCTTCAAATCTGCCTTTTCATTTCCTGAAGTGACTGTCGTCAGCTCGCCTCCATGGTTAGAGACTAGAATCGTGGAGCCCAATGTTTCCAACAGTGAGGTCCGTGGAACCTAAGTCTTGGAGGTAACCTGGGAATAAAAATTCCATGGTCCCATACATTTAGAAAATGCTTTGTAATCGTGTTTCCTCCTAGCGATTCCCAAGACACAGTTGCAGGTTAAATGATCCAAGATTAGACAGGAGTAAAGCAGGAGAGCATGGGGACTGTCCCCTGGGGAGGATGGGCAGAAACATTTTGCTGGGATGAGGAATTCGAAAATGACCTGGGGTCTCCCAATAATCAAGGAGCTCACAAAATCATAGAATTCAGATAGTCAAGTGATTGCGGTTTCATTATGGTTTCACATTGTGAGGCTGGAACGTGAGAGAGAGAGAGGGAAAAAAAATGGAAGGGGATAGAGAGAGGTAAAGGGAGGGAGGGTAGGGAAAGCAAGAGGGAGAGGGATTCTGAGAAAGAAGGCAATGCAGTAGGTGATAGACCATTGGAAACCATGAGAGTTTTCTCCCTCGGTCAAATTGACCATAAATGTCAGTGCAGTTTTACTCATCTGAACCACATGTCTGACCATGCTCTTGCTGTGGGTTGGAGGGATTCTCATATTTAAAGTCACATAACTAAACCAATGAACTGTTGGCTCATTCAGGCTCCCTCAAGACCAAGAAACTTCAAAACCACTTCTCTTTTTTCCTTTTATTTTTCTTAATCTCCCAATGTATTTAAATAAGTATAAGGTACAGTTATTAAACTCATGGTCTATATAAATGCCTGCATTTTACCATCAACATTGTAAGATGCACAGCTTATTCCAATACTGCCATACCACCTCTGTGCCTGGAGTGACTCCACTTGGGGTCAGTGCAAAAGATGAAGCAAGACCTGGCTCGTGGCCCTCCCAGTGCCTCCCTGGGGTTGACGCAGTGTGCGTTTCCTACACCGAAGTTACAGAGTCACAGACTCCTTATGATGGAGGCACAAGGCTGAGATGTGCGATCGCTCGTCACAATGAATCCTGTTATGTGTTCAGCTCCATGCAGTTATTTCTCCCATTTAATGTTAGAACTTGGAGACACAGTGTTGAACAAATTCTGTCATATTGCATTCTTCAGTCTTCGCATTCTTTCAGTTTTACTTTCATTTTTGTCACAGTGGTACTCAAAGACTGTACATTTGGTGGCATTTAGTGGTCAAGAACCTGGGGTCTTGGCTTCAAGTGGTCAAAGTTTATATATTGGCTCCACCATTTTCTCACTGTGTGGGTGTCTTGGGGGTCACGGCAGTTCTCCCCTCGTGGGATTGTTGGAGGTATTTAATGAGAGGGTTAGCACAGTGCCTGGCACATAGCCAGTGCTCAACAAATTATAGGTGTGCTATTTTGTATCCATCACGAATGGCTCTTCATTTCATTAAACATTCTTCTTGGACATTATTTTTTAATACTTACATAATATTTCATCTTATGACTGTACCAAAAGTTACTCAATCATTCCTCTAGTCTTTGAGATTTAGGATGTTCACACTTTTCTTTGTTATAAAACATATCACCTTTATTTGGCTATGAATACCATTATAGCCAAATTTTTGCATATCCATGACTTTCTAAAGATACATTTCTAGAATTTTAATTTCTGAGCCCAAAATTTAAAGTAAAACAATTATATGAGGCCCAGGCTTACCACTGAAACCCTCTAGATTAGATATTTCCTAGTCTAACAATGAAGAGTAAACATTCTTGAAGTTTTGCCCGGCTTTCCCTTGAACGTCTCGAAAGGATTTGACCTTTGTCTGTGAACTTCCCTGGATTAGCTGAGGTTTCACACTTGATAAGTGGTGCAGGAACTCAGAGATGAAGAAAACATCTGGTCTCCAGTTCATTTTAAGTACAACTGGTGCTCCCTAGGCTCAGAAGTGCACACAGAATGATGCATTGTGGGGACTATGATGCGTCGTGGGGCTTGTCCTCCCAGGGTCCCATCCAGGACCGTTTGCGTTCACCTCGTCCTTGCTGGAGATTAATGCTCCATTTCTTGGTGTGGCTTCGACTGCCTGAAGCAGGCATTTCCTTGGGTTACATGGGCCTTCCTGTGCACCTCTCTCAATAAGGACAATCTCTCACATCAAGCCAAGGCTGCTTTTCTCGACATTTCTATGCCTGGTCTGCAGTGGCCTAGAAAATCCCTGCATTCCTCCCCATTCCGTCCATTCCCGTGTGGCAAGATTGCTCTGCTTCCCCATTTTATTTGAACCTATGCCCTACTGGAGCAGAAGCATTTTCACTTAGGAGTAAACAGTCTTAGAAAAGTTTTAGAGTTTGCAATCCCAAGTACACATCCATTTCTGACTCTTGCTTAAATTGCTCCCCAATCCTCTAGCTGCTAACTCATGAGATGTCAGAGAAAAGACTGCTTTCCCCCCTCCACTTGCATCTGTGGAATCTGGCTTTCCTAAGCAACAATGCATTTGTGAACAGAGAATCCTTTGTACTTGGTCTGGTCCCACTGCCACAACATAATAATTCTGTGACTTCTCTCTCCCACAGGTGAAGGAGTTAATATACAATTTACTCCAAGATACCTTTCTATATTTTAAAGATGTCATTTAGGGAACAGTCCTGTGCCAATGTGAGTTTTTTTTTGTGTGTGTCTTTATGTTGCTTTCTGACTGCGTCTGTGTTGTTCATAAAGAATATCTTCTAGGGATTGGGACCTGTCATAATTTCAAACTTGCTTATTTGTAGAAGATTCTGTCACAGAAGTCAAACTGGCTCCTTCTGTTCCTTTTCTTCTCCCTTCTCCTTCTCTTCCCTCCCCTCTTCCTATCTATATCTCCCTCCCTCCCTCTCTCCTTCCATCTTTCCTTCCTTCCTTCCTTCCTCCCTCCCTCCCTCTTTCCTTCCTTCCTTCCTTCCTTCCCCTCTGCCTTCTTTCCCTGCCTTGCTTGTTCTTTCAACAAGCTGCTCTCACTCGACATCAAAACAGTCTAGCTGAGTCTAGATGAGGCAGGACTGACTTTTGAGGACCCTTCCAGGCCAGCTGTGTCCAGGGCTGGCCAAGAACTCCCACACAGGCTGCTGGCTATGAGGACACAGGAAAGACTTCATTCTTAGTGTAAACACTTTTCAGATATTGACTGAGCACCTGGTGGGATAGATGCTGCAACAACAACTTCATCACCTGGACAAACACCAAATTCAGACTTGCCTCTGGTTTTCTCTCTGGGGAGCCTGCACAGTGAAAAAATTACAGGTTTGGGAGTCAGAGGAATGGACTTTTTTAAGCCCCAGCCCTGGCATTCACTAGCTAGTCCCTGGAGGAAACACTGTAAATTTTCCAAGCCTCAGTTTCTTCACATAGAAAATGATTATAATGATTCCTCTTAAATAAGATACTGCCATATGTTAACAGCATTTTATTAGCTATAAAGTGCGGAAGGGTTTCCTCCCTCTTCAAGAGTCTGCTGGGATTCCACTGTCATGGACAACATTTCATTCTTATGAAATTAAAATCTCACCTACAGGCAGGATTCTGCCAGTGCTTATGCTATACAGACATATGGAATGCAAATGTCCTCGGAGGAGCACACAGCCTTGTTGGCAGGATGAGACAGGATTCTTGAAAGCTGTACTAAATGTGACTGGTGCTGAAAAAAAAATGGATGTCTTAGGATATGTTCTTGCTTTTTAATGGAAAAAGAAACGTGAATGCATAAATATGTATAATGTGAGAATATCTTTCATACAAATAGGACATTAAATGATAGTGTCTATGGAAGCATGATGAGAAGATATGCTAGGAACGTGCTGGGCACAATTAGGGGCACGGTAGAATGTGAGATAGTCCAGGCTGTGAGTACGGGATCTGTAGCCAGAATGCCTGGTTGGAATCCAGCCTCTGTCATTTCTTTGCAGTGTGTCTTGAGAAAGTGACTGAACATCTCGCTGTGCCTCAGTTTCTCCCTCTTCTAAAAGAGGATGATGGGGTGCCTATTTCATACGGTTGTGAGGATTAAGTGATTTGATGCATATAAAATATTCAAGATGGTGCCTGGCATATGCTAAACACGAAGTAAATATAACCTATTATCATCATTATCAAGGACTTGCGGATAACTGATGCTACTGAGCCGATGGAGCGTGGTGTAGCAGAACAGCTCAGGTGCTAGAAATAGCCAGTCTCATTGACTCAACTGTGTTTCCTCAGAGAATCCCGATTCTCATTTTTCCTATCTGTAAATGGAAGGGAGGATAGCAAATAATAATAAATGTTATTTGGTGACTATTCTATGTGTTTATTTTGCAAGAGGCTCAGTGGGATATAGCCTACAGCTTTGCAGAGACATTGCTCAACACAGATGCATGGGATAGGGGTCCCATTTGGCTGAGAAAAGGTTATTGGAAATGGGAGACGAGGAAGGAGTTTTCCTCACCTGACTCTGGGAAGGGAAGAGAGTCTGGCCCAGATGGGTAAAGACAAGTGTGTTGGCATCTGGTAGACAGGGCCAGTGGCACACAACAGTGAACAGCTCTACTGCTGACAGCCAACAGGGACTTCGGGGTTTGGCTGCTGGAGATGGAGGACCTGGGCAAAAGAGACGTGAGGCCAAGAGAGCAGGTCTCAGAATGTGGAGCTCATGGAAGGAGAGAGGGAGGGCTAATCAGACTGCTCCTATCTGGCCAGAAGCCATGCCCCACACTCACCAGGCCCTACCCCTTTTCCTCTGAATCTTTAGCTCTTAGATCAGAAATAATCTTACGTGTCTTCAGGCTTGATCCTGGCCTGACGGACAGCAGCCTCTGTCGTGTAGCCTTTGGAGCTGATCATGGCAGTACCCAGGAAAAGACTGTCTGGAGAGGCTGCAAAAACCATGCTCACTGTTCCCAGTCCCCGTACAGACCATGTCAGAGGAGGACTGAGGGAGGCTCCTCTCTCTCTCTCTCTGTCACACACACGCACACGCGCACACACACACACACAGATACACGCGCACACACACACACCGTTTTGCCTGGCAGAACAGACTTATAACTTGCATAATACTGCAGCAGCCCACACTGTACCTCATCTCCATTTGGGTTCCACAACAGAAGGGAGCTGGAAGGAAATCAGCGACAATCTAACTCCACATGACAACCTGGCTGGACAACGAAACATCCAGCGGGGAGAAAGACACTGGAAATTACCCATACCTGAGCCCCATCCCAAAACACCTGAGTCAGCTTCTCTGACCATGGCCCAGGCTAGGTCATTTGCAAAGCTCTTGAGTGAT
Organism: Homo sapiens; assembly: GCF_000001405.40. NCBI lineage: Eukaryota > Metazoa > Chordata > Mammalia > Primates > Hominidae > Homo > Homo sapiens. Next base: position 15,266,471 of record NC_000017.11, on the reverse strand, counting down.
TCTAAAGAACCACTGCTGTGAAAAATAAAAATGATTTCAGCAAAGAGAGAAAGGTGAAACTATTTTATTGGCACTGGCTGTGATGCTGGCTGTGAGCAGATGCTGGCTGTGGGCAGAACAGGGGAGAGGGCCATTGAGAGGCCCTTGTGACTGGAGAGTCCAATCAAACGTAAAGTGTGTGACAGGGAGGGACTCCTCCAAATTCTGCAGGTCTCTCCAGACTGGGGATCCCTAACACAAGAGGAAGTCTTATGCCCCAAGTGCCAGAATTCCAGGAAACTCATGCAATGAAACCAGTCCTCTTGTGTCAGAGTTTGCAGCTAGAAGCGGTTCAAGGGATGGAGGACTCTCTGGGAGCTGGAGTGGTACGCTGCAAAGAACCTAAATATGCCATAACTTCCTTTACTTCCCTCTCCAAGAATTTCCAATTGCTCTTCCAGCCTATTCTGCCTGACAGGTTAGAAAGTTTTCAATAGTTTTCAATAGAGGTTCGTTTACTTGCATTGAATTATCTCATGAAGGTCAGCTTGATTCGGGCACATTAAAGACAGAGTCGGAAGAACACATTTCCCTAAGTTTTATTCTAATGTACAACACATGTGATCATTTGCGATGGGGTCTAGGCAGACAAGGCAGGTAACAGGGAGTCCTTCCAACCAGGGGTTGGAACAAAGGAGGCTTGATTTGGTGACTCTTGAGACATTTGGCTCACTGCTGTGATGCTGTGAGAGATTAGCTGTGCAATGTTTGGGCTCCTTAAAAGGAAGTTTATTTAAAATAAAACTTACCTGCACGTATGTAACACTGTAGACACAGATCCTTCCCACAGTATATTTAATCTCTGCAGAATTCACTGGGAGGGGAGGGGAGCCAGTGGGACCTCTTGGCTATTACACAGGTTGGCACTTCCAGAGAGAACAGTCTTGGCATCACAGGCTTCAGGCATACTCAAAGCTCTTCTCCCTTCTGATTCCAGTTTCTCCATGCCCTGCAGGGCCTCTTGGGATTATTGTATTCTGGAAAGCAAACAAAGTTGGACACTGTCTCTTTAAATAATAGAGGCTGAGAACCTCTCAGGCCACCATGACATATCCCAGCATTGGACCAGCCCCTGAATAAACTGGAAAGACGCCTGGTCTGGCTTCAGTTACAGGGAGCACCACCAGGGAACATCTCGGGGAGCCTGGTTGGAAGCTGCAGGCTTAGTCTGTCGGCTGCGGGTCTCTGACTGCCCTGTGGGGAGGGTCTTGCCTTAACATCCCTTGCATTTGGCTGCAAAGAAATCTGCTTGGAAGAAGGGGTTACGCTGTTTGGCCGGGTGAGTTTTATTGGCAAACTGTGCCTCTGGGTGATGTGTGCCTATGCTTTACAAGAATTGCCTAATTTCCCACCCCCTGCAAGCCGCAAATGAAAAGGATTGCAGGAGAGATGGTGCATTTGTGTTGGAATTGACTGGAGATTCAGAGGGCTTTTTATATCCTTGGTTAAAAGGTGGATATATACTCTGGCTGGGGAGGTGGGGGGCCATCTGAGAGCATCTAGAAACCCTAATGCATCCAGATTGAAAGGAAGAAAGGAATCTAGATGCTTTTTCCCCCATGGAAAATAGCTGTGCACACACAGCTGGCAGGTGGCCTTGGTAAGCAGGTTAGGGAGAAGCTGCCACCTGTGGCAGAGCCTTGGCCAGCCGGGCTCTGGGTGTGGCAAGCCTGGTCAGCAGGCACTGAGTAGCACTTCCTCTGCCACCATTGAGAACCAGGCAGGAGGCCAGAGGCAGTGAGGGACAGATGGGTTGGGTTTACCTGTCTGGCAGTATATGGTGTGGCTGTGACCTGGGTGGTTATTGATTAAACTATTGGGTTCAAAAGAAAGGAAGAAGCGAGCTGTAGCACCCAATATATGCACTTTTCTGTATGTGTATTAGACTTTATTAAAAAGTTTATTTGAAAATCACAAAGGAAGGGAAAGAAAACCCTGAGTTAGATATGCTCATATTTCTAAAGTGCTTACTTAGAACAGTCCTGAGTATGTTGTGATCACATAAGTGTTGGTTAAATAAATAAATGTCCAAATGGCATAAAACAAAGTAATAATTTCTAGAGCAAATCTAACTTATAAAATGACCTGTGGAGGAAAGAAAACACTGCCATGTCTTTAGACTTTTTTTTCTACTTGCATATGCACTTTCATTTATAAATCTTTATCTATCTATCTATATCTATCTATCTATCTATCTATCTACCTACCTACCTACCTACCTATCAGAGTTACAAGCTACTTTAGTGCAGAGGTGGTCAGGTCTTCCCTGAAAGGTTGATGTGAGAGTTAAATGTGATATAATAATAGTGGTGGCAATTTGGGCACTGGGCCCTTATTATGTTGCAGACACGATGTTAACTGCTTTGTACATATTGTCTCCTTCAATCACCACCATAAACCTTTAAAGCAGGCATTACTATTTCCTTTTGCACCTGAGAAAACTGAAGCTCAGTGAACTTGAGAAATTGCCCAAATTCACAACAAAAGTAAGCAGGGTGATTAGGTTTGTTGGAGCCCAGAGCCAGAGTGCCTAACCACTGCACCATACTGCCTCTCACAGACCATGCATATAAAGTCCAGGCAAAGTGCTTGGCATATAACGGGCACTGTAAATGCAGTGTTTACAAGTACACTTCATTTTAATCTGATAACACGATAGTTTTAAAAAGATCATTGTTTGAAGATCTTTTTCAAATTTATTTTTACTTACCGTAAGAATATACAATTAGCTAAAATAGCAGCTCCTTTCAAATCGTAAAATAATATAGAATTATTTGAATCATTGAGAGTGATGAGCTTCTATGACACAGTACACTAGAGGTAGGGAAGTGTGTGTGTGTGTGTGTGTGCGCGCGCGTGCGTGAACTGCTGCATTTTCAGGCAGAAACCTTTAACATCCACATTCCTGCTCCCTGTCCCGTGCCTCAAGGCTGGCCTGCGCACGGGAGTCTCAGTTGGGCGCGCCTCTGCCAAGCCGAGACTGAAGGGGGCTAGCCTCTCTCCCTGTAACGCTGGGCGGGCCACGTTAGGAGGCTATGAATCAGCTGATTTCCTTGGCTGCTCCAACCCCACCTCAAATGGCCACCTCGCACCCGCCCGCCAAACCCCATGGCCAGGACTCCAGCCAAGGCTGACAGCCAAGCCCGACTGCTGCAGGAACACTTTGCCTAGAGCTTATTCGGTGGTAGTCTGGTTTTGCCTAGGCTAGGAGGAGCCCAATCCCAGACCATGCTATCCAGTAGTCGGCCGGACTTTTCTTCCCCTAATTCGCACCCAAGAGGAGCCCGCTAGATCAATCCCCGCCAATCCTAGGAAGCTGGCATGCTTCGTAGGTGCAGACAGTAATAGCGGGGACCGGCGCGGGGCAGGTGTGTCCGGCTAAGACGCCAGGACAGGGCAGGGGCTCCAGGACCCGAGAGGAGAGGGACTTCTTCCAGCGCTCAAGCGCCCGCTGCCCTCTATTAGTGGGAAAGGAATCCAGCCTCAGCCCCGCGCGGGCGCGGTCGGCGTCGGCGGGCCCAGAAGCCCAGCCCTGGGCATCCGCTGAGCTACATTTGGCTGGGTCTTCCCAGAGTGGGCTGAGGAGCCAGTTTCTCGGTCAACACTAGGTCTCCACGGGGCCAGGGGAGAAGGGAGGTGGGAGGTGAGAAAGCTCAGCCGCCTCTGGTTTCGAGTAAAAGTCGCCGCGGTTTTGCAGGGACCGACTTTTTCTTGAGGCGCATTTAAGGCCAAGTGACTGTCTCCTGCCCTCCCTCTCTCCTGCCCCCTCTCCTCCCTGAGTCCCGCCCTCCCGCACACGCTGACCCAGGGACACACCCTACTGCAGCGACGCAAACAGGGCGTTGTTCCCGTTAAAGGGGAACGCCAGGAGCCTCCCACTGCCCCCTTGCTTCGCGCGCGCGCAGCCCCGCAGCGCAGCTTTGGCGGCGCCAGCAGCGGAGCCAACGCACCCGAGTTTGTGTTTGAGGCCACCCTGAGGATCGGGACAGCTGTTCCTTTGGGCTGTAAGTGATTTGGTGGGGAGAGTGAAGGAGATGGAGGAGAAATGTGGGCATCTTCCAGTGAGGGTGCCAGAAAGCGCAGCGCAGGCGCGGGGCTTTGGCCAGCTCCCTGGGGCTTCTGTTTAGGGGCACAGGGTCCCCTGTGTGTCCTGTTTCCCTCCAATGGGTCTTGGAGTAATACAACGAGGAGAGCCTTTATGGTCTATAAGACCTTACAGGGCAAGGGTGATGGTGCTGGTGTCTGGATAGCGGATAAGGGCGGCCCAGTTCTCGCCTTGCTGAAGAGGCGTTGACTCTGGGACACACTGGCAAAACAGTCCCTGTGGCGGACATCCCGAGAGTGTTGGACTCCTGTGGTTCCCCAGTTCCCAGCCTCCTGCCATCGGCTTAATTCAAACCCTCTGGGAGTCATCAGAAATCCTTGTTTATTTCTTCCAGTGCATTCCAGAGTTTCTTTGAATGTGATGCTTGTGGAGAGGAACAGAGGGGCCTGGGATTGGGTACTTTCCAAACTGGGTTATTGAAACGTTGTCTCCCTGGCCCAAGACTCTGCCTAAAATGGTCCCCAGAGTCTCAGCCAGATCTTTCACAGCCATGCATGTCCTCTAACAGGTCATCCCAGCCTTCAGTTCCCCCAAAGTTTAAAATGAGGGGCGAGGACCGCATTACTTGGGATAAATGTCCTGCCGGCTCTGACCGGCTGAAATTCTCGGACTCAGCCTTTTACCCTCTGTCTCTCTCTCCCGTCCGCTGGACATCTACTCCCTTCGGTCCAGGCTCCTGGGCTCCTGTCCCACCGCACCCAGACCGGAGCTCAGGCTTGTTGGGGTTCGTGTCCTGGCTTTGAGTGCCTGGGGTGCAGACTGGACCCCTAGGCGAGCACGTGGGTCTAGCGCAAGAGCAGAATGCCCCCTGACCCCAGGGGCTGCCTGGGGAAGCGCGCGGTGGACGGGAAGCGCAGGGTCCGGGCAACCCTCTCGAGCCATTCTTTTCTTTCCACACTACTCTGGCTCTGCACCACCTCTCCGGAGCCGCCAGAGTCTGCGCGAGGCTGAGCTGGGGCCAGGACCGTTCCTCTACGCTGGCAGAGTTGGGTGGAAACTTGGAGACAAACGGAATGCGGAGAGCACTGGGGTCTGGGAAACCAGCCTCCTCGCCGCTGTCTCCCCCACCGCATGCCACGGCTGTCTCCAGGTCTCAGACGGAAATCTGGGCACCTACTCCCCTCACCCCTACCTCCACCCCATAGGGGAATTCACCATCTGAACCGGGGTCTCGGAGAACGTGACCTCTCACCTTCCAGGGAGGTCGCCGGGAGGTGCTTGGGGTGGGTGGAAGCGTGCAGTGGCCTCTGCTCATATTTTCTGGAAACCCCTCCGTTCCCTGGGTGGTTTTAGACGTGCGAACCGCTTGTTTTGTTTCCAAAAGCAAAAGATGTTCCGTTGCAGGCGGGCCCGGCTGGGCGCTGGGCACTGGGCGCTGGTCCTGCAGGCGGCTGCTGCCCCCTCTCGGCGGCAGGCGGCGCGAAGGCTCCTGACCCGCGCGGGCGGTCGGGCTGCGGGCGCTGGGCCAGGCCGGGCCTTCCGCTAGTGCGCGGGACCCTCCCTCTGCGCGCGCCTCCGTCGCTCGGCCCAGTGCGTTCGGCCTCACGCCCAGCGCTCTCCTCGCAGGCAGAAACTCCGCTGAGCAGAACTTGCCGCCAGAATGCTCCTCCTGTTGCTGAGTATCATCGTCCTCCACGTCGCGGTGCTGGTGCTGCTGTTCGTCTCCACGATCGTCAGCGTGAGTGCCTGGCGGGGAGGCTCCCTGCGCGGCCCGCCCTTCCCCATCTGGGTTCCCAGCCCGTGCTCCTGCTGGTTCAGGACTGTGTTATTTGCAGACAGTTGGAAGTCTCAGACGTCCCAGGGAAGTTTCTGGCAATCTGCCCCCTTCCAGTTGCTTTGAGAAAACGAGAGCAGATTCAGTGATAGGAACCAAGCGAGCGCTGGGCTGGGTTAGCTGCGCAGGTCTCTATTTAAGCCAAGTAACTTCAGAGCCGATCTAGGGTCCCCGACCTTCATTTGACAAGATTGTTTAACTTTTTTTTTTCTTGATGCAGCCTCGTTGAAGAAGAGGAGTATTTATGATTTTTTTTTCTCCAAACCATAGTCAGATGGGTGAATTAATTTATAAAACACCCTTTTAGGACTTGAAATTGGAAAGTTAAAATGGGCTTTTCTGGAAAAGAGTTCACAGGTCCCATGTCGGCTTTATGGCATGAACACAACACATTGTTAGTAAAGCTTCCACTGGTAGGAACAGGCCATCAGAGTAACTTCTGTTACAAAACTGTCCAGCCCATTAGATCTTAAAGTTATTTTCTTGGCGATGAAGATGAGCAGACATTCAGGCAGTTTTCCAGTGGTGGCTTTCACTTCTTAATTTAAGGCACATTGTAAGCATGATTTTCTTTTTCGTTTTCTTTTCTTTTCTTTTCTTTTTTTTTTTTTTTTTGAGATGGAGTCTCCAGCCTGTCACCCGGGCTGGAGTGCAGTGCCATGATCTTGGCTTACTGCAACCTCTGCCTTCCGGGTTCAAGCCATTCTCCTGCCTCAGCCTGGGATTACAGGTGCCCGCCACCACGCCTGGCTAATTTTTTTTTTTTTTGTATTTTTAGTAGAGACGGGGTTTCACTATGTTGGCCAGGCTTGTCTCAAACTCCTGACCTCATGATCCGCCCACCTCTGCCTCCCAAAGTGCTGGGATTACAGGTGTGAGCCACCGTGCCCGGCCTGTAAGCATGATTTTCTAGTCTCTGTGAGAAATAATTATGTTGGGGATTTGTGACTTAGTTTAACATTTACAAGCATCTTCACAGTATCTCCATTGTGCCTGGTGATGATGATATCAGACTGATAGGAGCTATAAACAAGGAAATAGACTGAGAGAGGCGGGCTTGGGGAATGATCCCGAGATGCTGGGAGGAGAGAAGGCTTGAATGCAGGTGTCTAAGGTTGAGTTCATGGCTCCTTCTACTATAGTAAACATCTCTGCACATAATCGTTTCTGTGTGCATGTGGAACTTCTCCATTTACAAGGTGCTTTTAAGTCATAAAACGTTGGCTCTTACCATGCAGGGGTGGGCGGTGTGGCTAGGTGGATGCGGGTGCTTTTCGCCATCCCTGGGCCTTTCTCCTTCCCCTTTTCCTTCACTCCTCCCTCCCTCCCTGACTCAGGATATCTATCTGATTCTCTCTAGCAATGGATCGTGGGCAATGGACACGCAACTGATCTCTGGCAGAACTGTAGCACCTCTTCCTCAGGAAATGTCCACCACTGTTTCTCATCATCACCAAACGGTGAGGCTGGTTTTGTGCTCCATGAGCTTGTCCTCAGACGCCTGTAACACGTTTCTCAGCCCAGAGCTGGAAACGCTTATTGGAAGACACAAGCCAGAATGTCGTTGCTGGGGTGGGGTGGGATGTGACAGGGAGCCATGAGTCCAGGGAAAATGGGAGGGGTGGTGATCTCGCTGGGGAAGCTGAGATCCTGGGCATCATTGTGATTCACTCTACCTAGAGACATGCCCTTAGTGCCCTCCTGATCACTTAGGATAATGCTTTTTGTGATTGAAAAAAATATCGACCTGGGAGCTGTGAAGGTGGTATGATAGCTAAGCCTTTGGCAGACCCCCTTGGGACATTGGATCAAACGTGTATCTTTGGTTTGGTGGCTGTCTCTATTCAGAAATGTCCTGCCCCTTTCTGCTGCAGTGACAGTGGGGCTAGCTCACTGCACCGTCAGTTACATGGACACAAGACTGGCTGCCTTTCCAGGTCTTGGGCCTCAGTGATGCCACCTAGCATCAAAACCTTTGAATGTTTCCTTGTTGCAAGATGGGGACTTGAAGCTATTTGCAAAACCCTAAGCTAAGCCTTGGGGTCCTTAATCCAGAAGATCGTATTTCTCCTCTGTCCTCAGCATCTTTGCTTGTGAGATATGGAAGCCAGGCTTCATGAGGGTCAAATTAAGGGATAATTGGCAGCAGAAGCACCAACTAGGTACCCAAGGCACCCAGAGGGAAAGGAACACCCAGCCAGGAGCCCTGTGTGTTTGGATGCAGACAGGTGGAGGTAAACAGGATGAGCTGTTTTGGTGGCTGGGTAGGCCATAGCGATTGATGTTAAGAGCCCGTGGACCTGGATCCACATGATCTTTTGTTCCAGAAGATGTGTCCTCAGGCTGGAAGGACCTAGAGATACAGCAGAGCTTTCCTAACATCCTGGGTTTAAAAGGCCACGGAAATACAGCTTTAAATGTTGCTGGAGCTACTCATAGATCCAGTATATATGTTCAAGATGCTACACCAGACGAGAGAAACCAGTTTAGATCCAGTTCAGTAAAACAGGCAGTGAAGTGGCCTTTGGTCCTGGCTTTGCATAATCCAGTTGCTTTGCTGGACTTTCCCTCTTACAGCTCAGTACCCAGTAATACCCAAGCATGTCCCCAGCTGAAGCATTATAAACCAAATTCCTTGAACCACAGTACAAATAGAAACTGCTAAAATAATAATTTGGTAATTTACATGGAGAAGATACGCAAGGAGTAGAAAACCCTGCTTTATGTTTTTACCTTCTGGGTTGGGGAGGGAGCAGAGAAAAGGTCCCAGTCCTATTGGAGTGAGAACAGTGCTTAATCTTGTCTCTGAGTGTGTGAAAGGCATTGAATTAAAGCCATCCCAGAAATTACGTGGTGGGTTTGCATGGTGAGTTGGCAACTGAGTAAATGAAATACTCATGAGTGCCTGAGAATGTGACCGTAGCACTGCTTGTCCCCAAAGCCACAGCATCCGGTTTCTCCCCCTTTAGGGTCTGGCTGAAGTTCCCGGAGCACTCCGGATGGGAGTCTCCGTACTCGCTACTGACACCTGGTGGTTACAAGTAGTGACTCAGCCCGAAAAGGGCAGGCTTTGGTGCTCACAGGCGCCATCCCCAAGTGGCATCTGGCCACGCGGCTTGGCACAGAATCCTGGACTCTTGGGCCCGGAAGGGGGCAGTTTTGGCAGGCGTGTTAAAACCCGGCGAAGTTTCAGCAGAAACGAGGCGGCAGAGGAGTTGCTAAGTTGTGCTTAAACCATCTGCAGGAAAGAAAGCAATATTGACCTGTAGCATGTTACAGATTGACATTTGGTGTCTTCTGCCGTTGGAAATAGCTGTCAGTTGGTGCTAGAAGCAGATCTCAAAGAGGCACTAGGGTTATTTTAATCAGGAAACTTCTTATCTCTCAACTTGTTCCTTCTGTGCCAAGCTCATGTTCTTGAGTTCATTTACAATGCCTCCTTAGTGTGGGTTTCAAATCTGCCTCGTTGCTTTCCGTGAGGACCCCAGAGTGTCTGTTTTCCACATCTCCCTTCTCAGCTCTCACAATCAGGGCATTTTGAAAACATCTGGACACTGCACCTGAACATGCTGGGTTTGTTTTCACGCCACTCAGGCTTAATCTAAATTTGAAATTTCCATTTACACTTCCCCAGTAGTGGTTATCTCTGCCGCTATCTTCCCCAACGTGGCAGCACTTGCTACGACTTCAGCCTTAAGTGGCGAATCCTCCAGGGCCTCTTTGATTGAGTTTAACAATTGTGGCTGCAGACAATAAGCTGAAAAAAATGTGTACTTTTTAAAACATTATACTGTCTTTACAAATGAACTATGCTCATTGCGAACCATTTAACTTGTCTGTATTTGCTCTTAGAAAGTATATTTGAAAAAAAATACTTGTTAAGTAATCAAAAGTAATTTGTTATTGACATCGATTTGTGAAGAATATGTTGCAAGTGTGAAAAAATAAATAGTGGTGCAATCTCGGCTGACTACAACCTCCACCTCCTGGGTTCAAGCGATTTTCCTGCCTCAGCCTCCCGAGTAGCTGGGATTATAGGCGCCCAACACCACGCCTGGCTAATTTTTGTATTTTTAGTAGAGAGGGGTTTCATCATGTTGGGCAGGCTGGTCTCGAACTCCTGACCTCAGGAGATCCACCCACCTCACCTCCCAAAGTGCTGGGATTAGAGGTGTGAGCCACTGCGCCATGTGACTTGGTATTTTTTTCTGAAAGGACTCATTTTTCTGGTGCATGACCATGACACTTCACCTCTCTCTGGGGGTTGCCACTCATGTTGTTTTCTACATGAATGGGGCCTCCTGGCATCGTGCCATGAGGCAGTCTAACATCTAGGTTGTGTAGTTTGAAAGAGACACACCAGATCTTGCCCCCAGGCTACATCTTAATATTAGAAATAGTTTTAGATTTTTAACTAACTGACTTTGACTCCGCCTGCCTTCTCGTTTTTCTAAATGTGTTTGTATACTTTCTGGCACCCCCTCCTTATCTGCCTCGTGTGGGCAGAGGTAAGAGAGGCTTAGTGTGGGGATATTCGTTATGATATTGTATCCAGTGCCTCTCCGGCCCAGGGAATACAAGGATCTGGAATGCATGGGCCTTGCCTTGATGGTCCCGAGCCTGGTCGAAGAGTCAGGAGATAGATATGGAAGGGTGAATCACTCCCTTGGAAGGCAGAGCAGGCCAGGTGCCCAAAGGGAGGCAGGCAGACAGCGTCTGAGTTCAGGGAGGAAGCGGATGGGAAATCTCTGGTGGGAGGTAGAATCTGATCCATCCTCCAAAGGATGGGCAGGATTTAAGTCAATACAGGCAACGGGGAGGAGAATATTCCCTGTGACCTAAGGTAAGGGTAGAACAAGGCAGGGGATGGGGTAGACTGGTTGGCTAGTGTTCTGGTTAGGATTAGGATTGATTGTGTATAAGAGAACATCTTCAAATGATAGGGGCTTAAGTAAGATCATTTATTTTTCTCTCTTTTCAAAGAAGTCTGGAAGTAGGTAGCCTGAGAGAGGTATGGAGGTTCCATGAAATTGTCAGAGATGCAGACACTTTCTAGCTCATTTCTTTGCCATCTCTTGGGTTTGGCTGTCATCTTCAGGAAACAAAAGGCTGCTAGAGCTCCAGCCATCTCATCCATGATTCAAGCAGTAGGGTGGAGAAAGGAGGTGGGGAAGAATGAATCTCCTTTTCTTTTAATGAAATGTGACATGGTCACACCTACACCTATTTACAAGAGAGGCTGAGAAATATAGTCATTCGGCCTTGGGGGAAGCATGGCTTTTCAAATCATAGAAACCTGGCAGCAAATACCTCTCTGTAAGCCTGGTGTGGAATACTTTCCTTGAGGGTTTGACCATCCCCTCCCATACCCAATCATACTCTTTTGCAATAGCTCAGTTGGGCCCTATGCAGTTCCATAAGTCCCAGTTATTTCAGCATTCTTCAAAGAGTCCATCTCTGCTGCATCCTGGGCTCTGTCAGCCACCCCACCATTCTCACATGGGCTCTTCTCAGAAACTTTAGGACCTGTTGAGGCTTCTCTCTCTCTATTTCTACCACCTCTCCAGGTATAAGTAAGTCTTATTATTATTATTGAGACAGAGTTTCACTCTTGTTGCCCAGGCTGGAGTTCAGTGGCGCCATCTTGGCTCACTGCAACCTCCGCTTCCCGGGTTCAAGCAATTCTCCTGCCTCAGCCTCCCGGGTAGCTGGGATTACAGGCATGCGCCACCACGCTTGGCTAATTTTTTGTATTTTTAGTAGAGACGGGCTTTCTCCATGTTGGTCAGGCTGGTCTCGAACTCCCGACCTCAGGTGATCCACCTGCCTCAGCCTCCCAAAGTGCTGAGATTACAAGCGTGAGCCACCATGCCTGGCCATCTTATTATTATTTAATGAGTCCAGACCTCTCTTCTGAATCCCAGACCTGTTTATCCAGCTGTCTCCTGGCCACTTCCCTTGGGATATCTAAGAGAGGCCCCCAAGTCACTAGGCCAGAGACAGTCCTTATCTTCCTCTGCCAATTCAACCCCTCTGTCACTTTCTAGTATTTTAGTGAATGCTGCTTCACCAGCCAGCAAGCCAAACATCTAGAGTCTGCCTTGACTTGACGCGTTTCCTTCTTTCTCTTCTCAGCATTGTCACGGGTCCCTCAGGCCACCCCATTGTTCCAATGCCTGTTGCCCACCTGTGGTCACGCTGCTTCCTCGTTTGTCAGAGGCGCCAGGGCAGCCTCCTAACTAGTTTGCCTGAACCCTTTCTTGCTCCTCTGTGACTCATTTTTCATATGGAATCCAGGCTGATATTTAAAAAAGCACAAACCTAATTATATCACTCCTCATTTTGAAACCTTTCAGAGGCCGTTCATTGGTCTTAATCTTCAGATGAAAATCTTTAACAAGGCCCATCGGAATCTACCTGAATGATCCACTCCTGCTTCTGTTAAGTCTCACCTCCCATCTCTCTTCCCCTCATCTTGGAATTTCAGCGTTTTCTCACGTCCTGAAATGTGAACTTCCCACTTCGGGAGTCTCTCCATTTCTCTTCTGATCTTTCATGCAGGACTATTTCTTGAACAACTCTCGTGTACCAGAGACTATTGCAGGTGCTAAGGTTACAAGAGTGAACAAGAGCTTATGTTTTACTGGACAAACCAGTCAGTAAACATGGAGAATTTGGGGGCAATGGTAAGAACTATATAAGACAGGGTAATGGGATAAAGAGGGATTGCAGTGGTGAAGGAAGGTCTCCTTGAGGAGTGGCCAGGAGCCAGCCATATGAACATCTCGGGGAGGTTCCATACAGAAGGACCGTCAAGTGCAAGATCGCTGGGGAGGGAAGGAGCTTGGCGTAGTTGAGGGACAGAGGGCAGGGCAGACTAGTGGGAACAGAGAGTGAGGGGTAAGTAGAATCACAGACCATCTCAAAGGTACCCCCCACCCCCACTAGGAAGGAGTTGGGTGCACATGGATGCATTTCTAATCTTTGTGATTTCCTTAGACCTGCTGTCTTCCACGGGTTTCTCAGTGGTCCATTTGATTCCAAGTTGGAGTGACAGTCCAGAAGCCTCTATAAGGCAGAATATATCAGAAATTGTACAAGGTAGAAATGCATCGGTATATTTTCAGTGATTATTTTGGGTGACGGGATTCTTATCACTTTGGCTGTTTTCTTTCTTTTGCTGCCTTACCTGTTTTCCTCATTGAGATCTTTTATTTTCACAATCAGAAAATAACTGTGAACATTTTATGTTAGAAAATTGGTTTTGAGTAGTAAGTAGGTTCCCTCTGCCTTGATTAAGAGAGTGGAGCCCTGGGGCATGGCACGCAGGGTCCATGGCGTCGCTTTGAATGAGGCCAGTTCCTGGAGCTTTAGTTTGCAAACTCATACAATCTGGAAGGCTCTGGTGAGGGGGAGGGGTGTGCCAAGCCTCCTCCCCAAGACCCTATGGGTGAGTTTAAAATCTACTGACCCAAAGGATTCAGGCAAAACATTTGCCCTGCTATTGAATGAACCAGTGCTTTTTGTTTTGAAGTCTCCAAGATCCAAATATCAAGTCCAAGTTCTCACAAGCATTCCCCTGCTTTTTGTTTAATTTGTGTGGACCTGACGTGTAGCAGAATGGGTCAGAATACTGGAATTAAGCCACAGGCGGCTTGGGAGCCCAAGAGCTAGAAGGGCACAGTCCTGGCTTGCCCTGGCCCCTGGCTGGTCTTCATCAGCTTCAGTGATGAGGCAGGACCCAGGCAGTTTGTCTTCAGTAAAATCTGTCTCTCAGGGCCTGTCCCTGCTCACAAAGTCCTCTCTTGTCTCAGAAGAAAAGGTAGTTGATAAACTTTTTCATGCTGAGGTGTTAGGCACAAAAAATGTGCCCCTTTTTGAATCACTTTTGTTTTTAAAAAGGAGGCCAGTGCTCAACACCAAAGCATGAAGGGAATTGTTGAGCTTTCCTGTAATCTGTCCCCAAACGTCCTTGGCCACCTCCATTGTCTAAGGGCAGTACCTGCAGCCCCTCATTTCCCAGTGACAACAGGTGGGTCTGCTCTGCCACAGTGTGTGGGCGGGACCAGCACCAGACGCTGAGAAGATGACCACTTACTACTCTTCTTTTCCATTTAAACAGCAGCAGCAGCAGCAGCAGCAGCAGCAGCAGCAGCAACAGCAAACTCATGACTATCAATAGGTTGTGTGAGGAATTAGATCAATGCTTTGGGTTGAAAATTAGAGAAACTAAATCTTGCCAGTCTCAGCAGCCCCCAACCTGAGCCCTTGGTGGTCTCCTATCATCGCTGTCTTCAAAACGATCCCAGACTTGTTTATCAATTTGGTGACACTGTCATTTTGGCAAGGACACCAGACAATTTCCTTGTCTGTGGCTCAGCTTTTGGCCAGATTTTAGAAAACACGGGAGACCTTCTGCATTTATGGGTTCATGTTTTACATTTTAAAATCTTCGTGGCTCCCTCAGCCAACCCATAATCTCTACCCAAGGAATGGCTCTGGATTTTACAGGCTCTTATGAGATGCTGAGACCCTGGTGGTACAAGGGAGGTACAGAGGACGGAATGTGTTGTCAACATGCCAGGATTTCAACCCTTAGGGTTTCTCTGATGCCAATACCCAGGAATTAGTATGAAATGTTTGTTTGAACCTGTGTCTGAACTGTATGACCTGGAATCTATAGTCTTTGCTTTAAAAAAACTTCAATTGTATCCCCAAGATTTCACCAGCACCAAGAAAACATCCCTTGCATTTCAGGAGCAGGGACTGGCCATGGTGCAGCCTGAGGTTGTGGATGTTGATCTTTGGTGCCCGAGAGAAGGCTGTCTGGGATGAAGCCTTCTGACTGTGGTCAGGTCCCTGCCAGTGCTGGGGGCCACATGAGTGTGCAGTCATCCACACACAAGTGGCCCCCAACACTGGCAGGGACCCGGAGTCATCTGGCCCATCCCTCCTTCCTATCCCATCGAGCCACAGACCCCTCTGCAATATGCCTACCACATGTTCATCCTACCACTGATGGGGAACTTATTACCTTCAAGAGAGCCTCTTTTGTTTTTGAAGAGCTAATAGTGAGATCCATTCATGTGTTCTTCAACTCTATTGAGCCTGTCCTATGTACTGGGCACTGTTCTAGAAATGGGGTGCACAGAGATGAACAAGAAAGAGCAGGTCCCTGCCATTGTGCAGCTCACAAGGAGTTGGAGGAAACAGGCAATACACAATACATGCATCACTATGGGTAGTGGAACATGCTCTGCAGGAAACAAATAGGGTGATCCAATGGAAAGTCATCACTGGAGGAATGAGCTGCTCAGGGAAGGCCTCTTCCTTCCATAGTGATGTGGTCTGAGATTTAGAAGACAGGGAAGGACCAGTTATAGGAAGAACCATGGGAAGAAAATTCTAGGAGGTAAAGGGAAGAACCAAGGCCCTGAGTTAGCTGAAGAAAGGAGGGTGGGGAATGCGGGAGAGAGGGATGGGAGCAGGATCGCTGGTGCCTCACAGGCTGTGGTACTGAGAAGGACAGTTGGGACATCATTGAAGGGTTTTAAGCAGAAGAGTGTCATGATTTGATTCATGTTTTGTAAGCTCATTCTGGCTGTTGAGAATGAATTCTGGGGAGAGGCAAGAGTGGAAACTGGGGACCAGTGAGGAGTTTGTGGTCATAGTCCAGACTGGACATGATGATGACACTGAGATGACAATGATGACAATGACAATGATGTTAAGAATACAAACAGCTCACGTAAGTGCCAGGCATTCTTTGAAAAGCAATGCATTTAATCCTCACAAGAACTCTAGGAGGTAGCTGGTGGCTTAGCTAGGGAGGGGAAGTAGAGAAGAAAACAGGTCTCATGACAGGGTTTGCTGATGGGTTAGATGTAGGGAGTTAGGGAAGAATGATTCTAGATGACTCTACGTTTTGGGCTTGAGCAACTGGTGTGTAACTGAATCTTGGACTGAGATGGGGAGACTGGAGGAGGAACAGAAGATTTGCGGGAAGGTGTAGAAATCAGGATTTATATTTTGACCATCAGAGAGGTCAGCAAATCACTTCAATTTAGAAGTCTTTGGCTTAGGGGAGAGGTCTGGGCTGGAAATTCAAAGTCAAGAGTCATTCCTCTATACCGAAGGGTATTCAATGTTGTGGTGCTGAATACAGTTACTTGGGGAGGAGTTGAGAGCAGAAGGCAGAAAAGGGGAACAGGGTTCAGAGCTAAGTCTTGGGCATGCCAGGGGTTAACGAGGGTACAGGAAGGAGAGGAGACTGGGGATGAACAGCCAGTGATGAGGGAGGAATGCCAGGAGATATTGTCACTTAAGAAATTACCTCGGCTGGGCGCGGTGGCTCACGCCTATAATCCCAGCACTTTGGGAGGCTGAGGCGGGCGGATTACAAGGTCAGGAGATTGAGACCATCCTGGCTAACACGGTGAAACCCTGTCTCTACTAAAAATACAAAACAAAATTAGCCGGGCGTGGTGGCCGGTGCCTGTAGTCCCAGCTACTCGGGAGGCTGAGGCAGGAGAATGGCGTGAACCCGGGAGGCGGAGCTTGCAGTGAGCCGAGATCGCACCACTGCACGCCAGCCTGAGCGACAGAGTGAGACTCCGTCTCAAAAAAAGAAATTACCTTGTTAAACCCAACACTGCCCCTCTTTTGTCCATTCACTTCTAGTTGCCTTCATTCATGCCTGATGTGCTGGACTTGGGTTTTATCAAGTTGCTTGGCACGTCCTTAAAGAATTTAAATCTCCACAGTGCCTCCTGGACAATGACTGCAGGGTGACCCCCGTCTCTCCTCTACACGATGACTCTTCAAACAGTTGACGATTGCAGTTTTTCTTTCCTTCCTTCTTTCAGTGGCTTCTCTGGTGCTGGTCCCAGCTGCATAAGCAGGGCCTCTTCTTGCCCTTCTGAAGTTTGGTCAGTGGTTTGGCTTGGCAGGCTGATGAGCAGAGAATAAGGGAAGCCGCTCTCTCTTTGCCACACCATTCTCCTTCCACCCTCTCTAGTTTTTGTGGATTCTAAGTCTGAAGAATGGTGGTAGAATAATTTAATTCATTAGATTGCAAGCATATCATTGACTTCTCTGCACCCCCAGTGTGTTGTAGTGGAAAAACTAGTAGTCTGGGCATCAGGGAATCCTTGTTTTTCTGCACCGGGTCTGCCTGTAACAAATTAGGTAACCTGGGGCAGGTACCCTGGTTTCCTAAAAGCAGAGCAGGCATTGAGGTAGGACCTGAAGTTGAGGTAGGACCTGCACATTGCATGGGTCCCGGAGCCTCTGTTCATGTTCAGGATGTAATTGTGGCATCGAGGGATCCTAAAAGGAGGTGGCCTCTGAGCTGGGCCTTGGCAATGGGGTAGAATTGCAGTAGGCAGAGGGAGCAGAGATGGGTTTTGTGCTTGTAAACGGGCATTGGTTTACTGTCACTGGTGGGGGTAGCAGCTCTTTTGTTCTAGCTCTTCATTTCCATAATGCGTGTTCTTTTTTCATACTTTAGGGGAAAGAAGGAGGAGAACTCTATTATTTCTATGGGGAGAATTCCTCCTAAACCTGAAGATCTTAAAACTAAGCGAATTATTCCCTGTTCATTCTCCACTGATGCAGTTCATGACTGCAATTGCAACTGCCTTTCCCGTCATTTTCTATGGCCAAACTCAGTGTTTTTAAGTGAGCTCTTCTTTTAAAAAACAAAAACAAAAACAAGTCTCCTGATAAATCCGTTTGAAAGACACTAAGTTTTGAAAGTTAAGCAGGCTTTGATCATTCATGGTACATTGTGAATTACCAAGGAGGGAGATTGATATCCTTCATCGTACAATGCACTCCCCTCCTTTTTCTTTTGTATCTGGTGGAGTAAGTCTTCCAAGAGCAATTCTTAGAGAAACAAAGCCTACTCTGTTTCCCTGTTTCTAGAGTTTTCCAACAAGGGTATAAAAAAGCCTCAGACAGCTTACTATTATCCAGTAACCTCAGGTACCTCAGTGGCTGCGTGTTATTCCCTTTAGAAGTCCAAAAACTCACTAGCAGAGCAAGAATATGGATGTCAAAGTGCAGAACTAGACCCTGACAAACTAGCTCTGTGCCTGCCACAAAGCCTCTTAATTAGGAATGCAGTTCATTGAATAACTGTATCAAAGTTAGCTGGAATACCTTGACATGAAGATTCCTTCCACTTACTGAGCAGTTTGTGCCCACTAGTGGCCAGACACAGGCTTTGCTCTAGCTAAAATACCCCCAGGATTACCTGTTGAGAGAGCCGCCCACGTCACCTTCATCGCCTTTGTGAGCTCCATGCTGGCACATAGTTGTCTCCATCTGTTTTGCTTTCCGCATGAATCATAGGCAAAGTTAGCCTGACCAGCAAGCCCATTTCAAAGCCACCAGCTGGGGGAGAAGTTGAAGCCCAGGGGGCAAGACCCACGCTGGGCTTTGGGCATGTTTGAGCTGGTGGGCGAAGCATATGGGCAAAGGCCACATTGTTTAGGATGGAGGCCTTTCAGAGACTCAGCTATTTCTGGAATGACATTCATACTGAGAAATAAGGAAAATGGCGATCTGTGTGATGGTTGTGGGTTGGGAGGTTTGGGCGTGGGAGTCCTGGTCTTGGGGTCATGTGTTTTGAAAACAGTCTAGCACTATGCAAATGGGAGGTGTTAATAACTCTTTGCCTCTGTGATTTACCCTCTCATGGCTTTTTCTCTCTTGGCCTCTCCAAGGTCTCTTCTGACTCTTGCAACTGTCCTTCCTTTCACTTTCAACAAAACCTGTTCTCTTGAGTCAGAACAGTTTTATGAATTGCCCAGAGTGGGACTTGATATGGGGCAGGGTTGGTTCCATGCTGGTAATGAAAGATGCACATAAACTGTTACATTGAAAAGTGCTTCATACTTTCTGAGCCCTTAACTCACTAGGTTGTAGGCCCTGGGCTAAGAATATAGCTGAGGGGGCTGATGTATTTCCTTCATTGCTCAGCTGCTCCTACAGCAGGAATCTGACCTTGAAATGAGCTTTGATCTTTGTGCAACTCGAGCTTCCCACTATCTGCTGGGGGAGCTAGGTCTGGGTGCTGCCACGGCCCATGTCAGAAAGCTGTCAGCAGCTCTTATACCGGACACTCTCAGAACAGGAGGCCTGCAAAGAGCTTTAGCTTTAGTTTTGTTGTTGTTGTTGTTTTTGAGACAGTCTCGCTCTGTCGCCCAGGCTGGAGTGCAGTGGCGCCATCTCGGCTCACTGCAAGCTCCACCTCCCGGGTTCACACCATTCTCCTGCCTCAGCCTCCCAAGTAGTTGGGACTACAGGTGCCCGCCACCACGCCCAGCTAATTTTTTGTATTTTTAGTAGAGACGAGGTTTCACCGTGTTAGCCAGGATGGTCTCAATCTCCTGACCTCGTGATCCACCCGCCTTGGCCTCCCAAAGTGCTGGGATTACAGGTGTGAGCCACGGCGCCCGGCCTTTTTTTTTTTTTTTTTTTTGAGACGAGTCTTGCTCTGTTTCCAGGCTGGAGTGCAGTGGTGTGATCTCGGCTCACTGCAGTCTCCGCCTTCCGGGTTCAAGTGATTCTCCTGCTCCAGCCTCCCAAATAGCTGGGATTACAGGCACATGCCACCACACCCAGCTAATTTTTGTATTTTTAGTAGAGACGGGGTTTCACCATGTTGGCCAGTATGATCTCGATCTCCTGACCTTGTGATCCACCCGCTTTGGCCTCCCAAAGTGCTGGGATTACAGGCATGAGCCACCACGCCCGGCCAGAGCTTTAGTTTTTAATTCCAGTGCTCAGCACCAAGGTTGGATATTGGCTTAAAACTTCCACTGGAAACTCCACAAATGTTTAGCAGGCCTCCACTTTGCACCAGGAACTGAGTGTGGCCTGGAGGACAGCAGGTACTCAACATAAGTTCTACTATTTATTGCATACTTGCAAATTGGGTGGGGCGTGGGGAAGAGTATCGCCACACTGGGGCTTGTGTTAATCTATAGTTTAGCCACTTGGGATGTTGGTGTCACACTAGGTTTGATCTAAATAGAACAGGTTTGTAATTGACAGCATTTTCACTTGCATTATATTTCTCTGAACTCGAATCATTATTTTCTGTACAGCTGACTTGTTTTGCTGTAGCAGAGTTTGGCAGATAATAGCTTGCATGTCGAATCCAACCTGCTTTTGTAAATAAGATTTTATTGGATAAATGGCTATTGAAGGAATGGGTCACACCCACTCATTTACATCTTGTCCATGGCTATGGCTGATTTTGTGATACAAAGGCAGAATTGAGTAGTTGTTAAGAAGACCGTATGACCTGCAAAGCCTAAAGTATTTGCTCTCTGATTCTTTATAGATAGTTTGCTATCTGTGCAGATATTTGCACTCTGACTCTGTAGCACCCTTATGCTGGAGAGGAGATATGAATTGATACCAAAGTTGTATCAAAACACTTTTGGAGTTCTGGCCAATGTGCTAATAACCTGGCTTGTGTGAACATTGTGGCTCTCATTTTCTTTTTTCTTTTTTTTTTTTTTGAGACGAGTCTTGCTCTGTCGCCCAGGCTGGAGTGCAGTGGCGCAGTGGCGCGATCTCGGCTCACTGCAAGCTCCGCCTCCAGGGTTCACGCCATTCTCCTGCCTCAGCCTCCAGAGTAGCTGGGACTACAGGCGCCCGCCACCACGCCCGGCTAATTTTTTTTTTTTTGTATTTTTAGTAGAGACGGGTTTTCACTGTGTTAGCCAGCATGGTCTCGATCTCCTGACCTCGTGATCTGCCCTCCTGGGCCTCCCAAGTGCTGGGATTACAGGCGTGACCCACTGCGCCCGGCCTGTGGCTCCCATTTTCATACTGCTTGGTGTGACCCAGATGGAAATGCTCCAGAACCTGGCCCCTCAATAACAGCCTGTAAATGCTTGTTTACCCTGTTTTCTCACATCAGCCTTTTAGGTGGGGTTATTTGCACTATCCTTTAACAGCGCTTCAATAACAACTCTTTTGTTTGATCATTATGACAACCCAATAAAATATATTAGTGCCTCAAGTACGTAAAGCAGAATTCAAGGCCAAAAAAATGTATGTGGCAAGTTAGGTGGGCGGTCAGAAGAACTTGGCAACAGAGCCCAGCCCTGCCTGGGCTGTCCTAACCAGAGCACATAAATGCTGGAGAGAGTCAGGCTTTGCACGTGCTCACACGGGACCCTTACCTTGGACAGGATCAAAGCCCTGTCATTTCTGGAGTGTGTGATATCTGCTGTCTCTTACTGCGCTGGTTGTTACCTGTCTATTCCAGTTCTGATGAATGGCTCTGATTGGGGAGCAGCATCATCTGAGCTTAGAAATGTCCTCAGGGCCCTGTGGGGTTCCCTTTGAGCAACAACGAGAGCTCTTGAATCTTGCACCAGCCTTTTGGAGCTGGAATGGAGTTTGCTTTCTCCTGGGCTGGGCTCTGTTTTTTTTCCTCTCGCTGTCCTTGTGTAGCTTTTGATCAATGGCACTGGAGGAAAGGAAAATCCCTTGTTGTTTTCCTGGGCATGTGGAAGCCCAGTCCTGCCCAGAATTCCACTAGCCCTTTGAGTTTTGGAATCCTGACTCTTAGTAAGTCAATAGAGTGCTGCATCTGTTTTTACCTTTGTAATCTTTTAAATTGGTTTTAATTATTTAAGTAATACAAGTATTATAATACATGAAAATATCCTCAACTGAAAGGCTTCTTGACCAAACTCTTCTTCGTTGCAACAGTAGTTCCTGGGGGAACCCACTGACATCAATTTGACACAACTTTGGCTCTTTCTCTACGAATATTTGCATGCCTGTGGATGTCTATACGCAATTACATAGTTTTTTGGTGTTTGTTTTCATAATGATGACATGTTGTGTGTGCACCTTACTCTTTTCATTGTCTTGGAGACCTTTCAAAGACTCTTCATTTTCTAACTCATGATTTTTTTAACTGCTGCAAAATATTTCATTGTGAGGATATACCATAATTTATTTTCCCTCATAGAAATGCTACAATCAATGTCCTTATTTATTTTCCTCTGAGTATATGTTCACTGTTTTTCCAGGATATAGTAGATAAGCACTTGAACACATATAGTGTCATTACGCTAGAGGTGTTACAATTTTTAAACTACTTTTAATGGCAAAAATTACAATTACTTTTGTATCAACCTAATATATTCTGCCACAAAATGGCTGGTCACAAAAGGATTATAATAATAATATTATTATTATTCCTGTGAATGGTGTCTGCAGGTAGCTATCACTTATTTGTTCTGCTGATATTATCCATTTTTTTTGAATTTTGCCTATTGGCTGGATGAAAATTGGTGTCACCCTCCTCATGGGTTTCTCTTGCATTTCCTTGGTTGCTAGTGAGGTTGGGCACCTTTTACGATGTTTATTGGCTGTTCATATTTCTCCTTTGCTAATCACATGGCTTTTCAATTTTATACTTAGCTGTTTTCTCTTTGTTCTGTCTGTAATTTAATTTTGTTAATGATGCGAACTAGAGATTTAATTTTATGTTTTACCAAATGAATAGCCAACACTATGTATTGTCTGTTGTATTTTTCCCCACTGGTTTATATGATGTTGTGTATTATCTACCAAATTTACATGTATGCTTCCAAAGTCTTATTCCATCCCATTCTTTTATTTTTCTTTCATGATTAACACCATATTTTTGAATTGCTAAAACTTTATAATATAAATATAAGCTTTGTATGTCTATAAATAAAATACATTTTATTAATTATAATTATATGTTATATAATTATAATATAAGCACTTGAACATATATACTTCTATAATTATATATTATATAATTATATATCATACTTCTATGATATGTTCTATAATTATATATTGTATATATCATAGTTCTATGATATGTTCTATAATTATATATTATAAAGTTACAATTAATTGTATATTTAATTTATACCATATACTGTAATAAGCAAAATATAGAAATATGTTTTAAATCTGGTAGGTGGTATCTTGACTCATTGGTTTTATATGTTTTTCTGATTTTCTTTTTGTTCATTTGTTCGTTTTGGTTTTTAGTTGCTGTTGTGTTTACTTCAAATTTTTTCTTATCTGTCATTGCTCATTGTTTTTTAGATGAATTTTTAATTGATTTTTTTCCAGTTCCAGTTGCAATATGGATTAGGACAGCATTGAATTTGTAGATTATTTTGGATGAAATTGGCATCTTTATAACTTTGAGTGTTTCTATCCAGGAACTTAGTATGTTTCTTTAGTACTTCTTTTATGTACTTGAATAAAATTTGTCTAACTTGTTGATGTATCCCCAAAGAACCAGACATTTTTATTAAATGTATTTTAATATTTTTTTCTGTCTCATTAGTCTGTGCTTTTATCCATATTAAGTCAATTAATTTTTGGACTTATTTCATTGTTTTTTTTCTGGCTTCTTGAGTTGAAAGTGTAGTTCACTCTTTTTAAGGATTTTTCTAGCAAATGCTTAGAAGTGTATACATTGTCCTCTGAGAACTGCTTTGGTTACAACCCACAGGTGTGCCATGTGGCTCTCTATATAATTCCTTGCTGAAGAAGTTTTTACTTTTCATCTTGTTTTTTTTAATCCGAGGAATTATCTGGAACACTGTTTTTAAATTTCCAAATTTATTTTGGCTAGTTTGTTTTTAATGTCTAATTTCTGTTTGCCTTTAGGTATATGTTGAGCCTACATCATTTCTGCTTCTATATTTATTGAGATATTCTTTGTTGCCCTTATAGTCAGTTTGAAAAGCTGTCCCATGTGTGTTTGAAAATAACTTTGCTATATAGACACAAGTTTTCTATACATCTATTAGGACAGATTTGTTAATCCTCTTATGTAATCTATATTCTTTCTTCTTTTTGGTCTACCTGACATCTATTTTGAGGAAGGAAGCTAAAGTCTTCTACTGTTATTGTGATTTTAACAATTTCTTCTCATATTTTGATTACTTTTTGATTTTAACTTTTTCAGGCCATGTTATTATATGCATAATGATTTATTTTCTTCAGTCATAGATCATGTAAACCAGAAGTAAAGATCAAATAAACCAAATCTTTCCTCTATGAAACAACCAAACAACTCTCTGGCCACTTTTATCCTTTCAACATAAGTTCTATTTTTTATTATTAATTTATCTTCTTTCTTTTTTGTTAACATTTGCCTGAAGCTTCTTTTCAGAATCTTTTTTGTTTTTGACTGTTGCTTGTTTTAGGTGTATCTATTATATTAGAATATAGCTACAATGTCTCTCTTTTTTTTTTTTTTTTTTTTTTTTGAGACAGAGTCTCTCTCTGTGCCCAGGCTGGAGTGCAGTGGTGTGATCTTGGCTCACTACAACCTCCACCTCCTGAGTTCAAGCGATTCTCTGCCTCAACCTCCCAAGTAGCTGGGACTATAGGTGTCCACCAGCACACCTGGCCAATTTTTTTGTATTTTTCGTAGAGATGGGGTTTTGGCATGTTGGCCAGGCTGGTCTTGAACTCCTGGCCTCAAGTGATCTACCTGCCTCAGCCTCCCAAAATGTCTTAATCAAAGATAAAATTCCATATCTTATGAGTGCCTTGAACCCATTCACATATAATGTGGTTGATGATAGACTTACTATCTTAATGCATGTGTTTTATTTATTGTGCTTATGGTTGAAAACCATCTTCTTCATCTCTGGATCATCAGAGTCAACCAGAGGGCTTGGCTCAAAGCAGTAGGTATTCAACAAATGCTCATTGAATAAAAATGTCCTTGATCCTCTAATTCTGATTTGATTCGAGAAATAACTTATGGCAAAGAGCTCAATTGTAATGGGGTTGGGACTAAAATTCAAGTTAATGTTGAAAGATGTTTCAAGAAGTATTTAGGTTATATTATTAAATATTAGACACTTTCTGTTTATATAGATTTAACATATAAAGATTTTAAGTTTTCTGTGTATGTGAGGTCTCGTAGTAGTTTCTGCTGAAAATGACAGGGGCGCGGGGTTAAGGGTGAAGACAGTATCTCAGGATTGGAGAAGGAAATCTAAGATATTGTCTCCACCAGCCATACTCCTCATGAACATGCACATGGAAGGACATTTCCCAGCCAAAGTGAATCCCTTTATTTGTTTTAGTTTCAGATTTGAGTCTCAGATTTCTTTGTAATTCCAGCTGCATCTACCAAAGTGCTAGATAATTTTTTTATTTTAAGCAAACAATATTATGAGAACATTATCTTTATTGCAAAGTGCTCCTCCAGAAGAACCTCTATGCTGGATAAAGACAAACATTTGATTAAGGTTATGTAAGAGTGAAATCAGGATGGCTCACAACCCATTAGCCGTCATTTTCTTACTTTAATTGACAAAGAAATTGAAAAAATGAAAGAAGCATATGTTGTGCTTGAATGTGAAGAGTGCTAGACTAGAATCAAAGGCCTCTTAGATTTGGCTGTGTCATTTGGGCTCATGAAAACACCTCTGGAAATCTCTTTCAGTGCAAAGGAGCTGGACTAGTTGATCTCTCAGGTTTCTTCCAACTCTAAAATATCTCCAGTCTGTGCCTTGGAAACATCTTAGGTGAAAATCTAGGAACAGTTAACCTAATTTGCACCCTTAAAATTCTGCCATGAGCTGCTTACAACTCAAAACAAGTTTATCTTACTCAGTTACTAATTATAAACCATCCAGATTTCAGAGCTGTGAGTACTGGGTGAAGCATTGAAGGTATGCTTTTGAAGCCATTACATATGGCAGTTACTGAGCTGAAAGGATTAAATGCTGCAGCTTCCCCAGTTGCCCTTCCTCCATGAGAGCAGTGCCTGCCCCCAGCATTCTGTGGCACTTGGAAGACAAGACAGAGGCCAAATGCAGATTTTTACCCTGGGCTTCCCTCTACAGTGTGGAACTCAGGTTGTTTCTTCTTTCCTCCCTGAAATGACATGAGTTTGCAGCGGATGGTGAACTGAAGAAACCATAGGAGGCTCTGTCTTCTTGCCTGAATTTCAGTTGGAAGCTTGGAGATTTGGGGTTCAACAGAGATAAGGAAGTGTAAGCCTTCATCCCGTCTGGTGGTTGGCGATCACACACCGCTCTGTGCTGAGGCTAATGGCCATGATCAGAGTTGACCAAAAAAAAAAAAAAAAAAAAATACGGGTTGTCCAAGCAAATTGATTTCCATACCTATAGAGAGCATACCTTTCTTCATCAGTATTTTCTTCCATTCTTCCAAAAAATTACTTTGGGCTCTAACAGCCATTCCCGTGATCTTTACCTCTCCTTGGGGAATGCAGATAATTTGAATAGTGGTTTTAAGCTATTTTTCTTGGAATACAGAAGTTCTGATAAGCCCTTCAAAGACCCCTGAGGGCAAGAAGAGGGAAGGTAGTAGGCAGGGCTCAGGCCCTCTTTAACACAGACACATGTACATAAGTAACACATTTGCACCAACACTGGAAGGAAATTCAATATATTTTAAAATGACTTTAACTCCTAGTGATGGAACTATAGATATTTTTTTACAGCCCTTCCCTGAATGTTCACATGTGTTTTTTATATATATGTGTGTGTCACGTATTTGTATATGTGTATATACACATATATATAGAAACACGTACATATTTGTATGCATATTTGTACATATAGGTATATATGTATGTAATGTGTACATATTGGCACATGTGTGTGTTTGTATATGTATATATCAGTACATATAGATGTATGTATATATGTATATATTTTTTCCTCCAAAATAAACAATAAAGAATGTCTTCTTAGATTGCAAAAGTGAATTGTCTGAGTTCTGCTAAGGAAAAAGGACTTCTGCTTCTGCTGCCTGTGAGGACTGTGCTGTCAGCAGTCATGGCCCTTCAGGCCCTGCACCTCGAGGCAGAGCCCTCCCCCGGCCATGGCCAGCTCTCCTAACCAAGTGTCTCTTTCCCCCAGAATGGCTGCAGTCTGTCCAGGCCACCATGATCCTGTCGATCATCTTCAGCATTCTGTCTCTGTTCCTGTTCTTCTGCCAACTCTTCACCCTCACCAAGGGGGGCAGGTTTTACATCACTGGAATCTTCCAAATTCTTGCTGGTAAGTTGTGGATGGTAAAGTCCATGTGGAAGCGGGGTGCATCCAAGTCTGCGGAATGATTAGTTTAGTAGAAGGATGTGGCCTCAGAATGACTGATGTTCATGAGTCTCCCCACTGGATGCTTTCCATAAAGTGAGGGTGGGTGCTTGTATGTGTGGGTGTGTACCTGTATGTGTCTTAGAACTTGGGACTTAGAACTCTCCCCTTCTCCCTGGAATGAGATGCATATGAAAGAGAACTTAGAGGATCTGGAAGGAAGGTCCCCACCCAAGCCAGGCGTATCAACAGGAATGAAACTGCAATCTGGACACATAATCAGAGGTGAATACTGAGGCTATCTGTAGAGCAAAGGTCAGGCTTGAGAGCTGTTTCTGTAGATTACATTATGCCTCCAGAAAATGGCCCTGATGTGCTAAGAACTAGCAAAGTAGTTATCAGGTATGTGTCTTCCACCAATAGGTAGTGATGAAGCCACACTGACAAATTCTCACCTTCCTTGCTTCCAGTTCCTAGATTCTACTGGGCTTTGATTGACTGTTGTCATCCTCTGGTGTCTTCATTTTGACACTCTTGTGTCACATATTGTCATTTCCAAACATGGGGCTATGACAACACATGAAAACACATGAGAGGTCTCCTTAATCTCCTGCCTAAACTGTCTTCAAGTTCCCTCTTTAAATACGTTATTAATATGCATAGTGTGCAGAGTCCTAGAAACTTCTGTTACACAGGGTGACATCTTCCAACTTTGTCTCTGGATTCTGCCTAGCATCTTACATGCTTACATCTTACATCTTACATCTTACATCTTGCATTCTGCCTAGCATCTTACATTAGCTCTTACATGTCTGTCTGTTGACTTACTGTTGACTGAACCAGCAGGGCATTGGAGAGAAGTAAGAGCTAGATGTAGTGGTGGATTCTGTGGTCCAAATTCATAGATCACAAACTTCATATGTACCAGAGTATGTCTAGGTACTGGGAGATGTTCTCAATTCTGACCCTCTGAGAGGGCAAAGGATGTAGCATCTCTTCTCTGAGTTGGTTGTCAGAATGCCCATGGTACCATTTCACCACTCTGTCCCCAGGAGCAGTCATTGGAAGGTTGACGTAAATAGGGTTGTATGGGAAGACACAGCCCAAGGTTAGATGTTGGTGACCTTGTCTAGAAGACAGAGAGTTCCCCTTTCCTGAAAAAAGGAAGTAAATGATTAACCACTTCTCATTAAACACTCAAATACAACATTTCAATACTCATGGTTTTGAGATTTCAAAACCAGACAGTGCTTTGCTACTTACACATGTCTTATGACACCAAGCCAAGCTCCTGGATGGTTGCTGGCTCTGTTAAATGACTAATTATGCAAGGAGATATCATTTCTAGGTACGTTAAAGTGAAGAGTTACCCTTACTCAATTTTCAGTTGGAATAAAAACAACTGTAACATATTCTGGGGTTTCTTTTTTTTTTTCTCACTCGTTTTAGTTTGATATCAAATCAAATAATGATCATATCCATTGCATCAGTGGATATGCCCTCAAGATAATATGGATTTAGAACCAGAACTTTCATAATGTATTTCTATTGAAATGTTAGTTTCATAAGCGATGATTGGGTTTTCATGCCCATGTGTGAGATGTGCCTCGCTCAAACCTTGTTATGATTTGGCACGTTACCCATCTGATGTGAAAAAAATTACATTTTATTTGTACAGGCTCGTTATTTTACTGATGAATAATTTGAGCCCACCAGAGGATAAATGAATGACCAAGGTCACCCAGCTCATGACAGGGACGGTTGAGTGTTACACTGAATATAGTGAGGTACTTCTTATATTTTAAAGACAGAATGCACCAAAAAATTTAAAGAACACAAAATCCAAGGCAGAAGCTCTGCCTTTTATATTATCTTTTATTGGAACTGATTTACAATGGAAGGTAAATGCAAATTTGCACCATGTATTATTCTGAAGTTCCAAACATCTGTGATGAATACAAGCCTGTACTATAAGACCCAGTCACATTGAAAATATGGAGCTGAGAAGAGGTAAGCTGCTGTTGAATGGGCTCCTTGGGATAGCCAGTACCTTCATCTTCATTCATCCTGCTGAGCTGTTTCGGCTTTAAGTTCTTTAACAATGTCTTTTTAGCAACATCATTACATCATTTTAGGCCAAAACTCAAAGTCCAGAGATAAGAACCCTTAAGTCACTCATGTAACTGCACTGTGTGTTAAAAGTATTTCAGTTCAGCCAAACACTCTTCTCCTAGGTATTGCGATTTAAGTATATTTACTAATCCACTCTTGCTTCACTATTTTCATTCTCCTCCAAAGTCAATACAAGATGTTTAGAACTGTGCTGGAAGTGCAGAATTCCGAATGTAAAAGCGCATGACTTTGTCCTCTTTATCCCCTTTACATCTAGCTGCTTACGTCTCATGAAACTGAATTTTCAGTTATCTGTTGGTCCACATTTGAATAAGAAATTATCTTGAATTTGAAATGCTGAGCTGTAATAGCAGTTGTAATTTGTAAGTCCTGAGAGTGTCCTGTCCTCCGTTGTTAATCCCAGTCAAGATCATCTGAGAGTTGGTCTCCAGGGAACCTCAGATCTCTAGGATGTTGCACTGGAAATGGCTGCAGGATCTTTCCACTAATTCTGAGAACTGAAAGAGTTAGGAACTCTATTTGGAGAGTTCCTGGTTCCCTTATCGTGTGACAGTTCTAAGTCAATTTTGTCATGTGGTTTTCTGACTCACAGACTAGTAAGAAGTTAGTAATTAGAGAGCTAAGTAGATTAGGGTTGTTGGAGATGAGAAACCCACGTTTTGGGAAAACCTGGCAAGTGACAACTTAACATCAAGGAAGTAGTCAGAAAAGCTAAAACTGACAAACAGAAGGTAGAAGAAAGTAGCTCCACACTCATGGGATGTGAAATCTACAAGCGTGCATGCCCGGCAAATGCCTCTCCAATGCACTGGAGCGTTTTAAGTGGAAACCACTAGAATCTCTGTGTAGTCTCCGGAAGTGGCTGTGAGGGCTGCATTATCTCTGCACAGCTTCCTCTTGGTGGGCCCAGCTGTGATCTTTATGGATGGCACACATCAGCTTTCAGGAAAAGCACATGAAAGGTGCTAGGGCTCTTGGAGCTGACTGTAGGTTTGGGAGTTGTCTGTCTCCTTGCTCTAGATTACAGCTCTGTGTGTTGTGTGGGGTCTCCATGGTTTGCCAAATTATCTCTTCCTCACTTAGCCACAAGGCTGACAGTTAGGAACTATCTCTTCTTGATTGCATTAGGTTGGCTGCTTCCTGAATGCATATCAAAAGGCTCCTTCCTTTAGTTCAGTGCTTTCAACCTGAGCTGTGCATCAGAATCACCTGAGGTCCTTTAAAAAAAAAAAAAAGACAGTGGGCGGGGCGCAGTGGCTCACGCCTGTAATCCCAGCACTTTGGGAGGCTGAGGTGGGCAGATCACTTGAGGTCAGGAGTTCAAGACCAGCCCGGCCAACATGGTGAAACCCTGTCTCTACTAAAAATAAAAATAAAAAAATAGCCAGGCGTGGTGGTGCGTGCCTGTAGTCCCAGCTACTTGGGAAACTGAGGCAGAGAAGAATCACTTGAACCTAGGAGGTGGAGGTTGCAGTGAGCCAAGATCATGCCACTGCACTCCAGCCTGGGGGTGACAGAGTAAGACTGTCTCAAAAAAAAAGAAAAAAGAAAAGAAAAAAGACAGTATTCAGGTCTCATCCCTGGAGACTCTCATTTAATAGTTGTGGGATGGATCCACTGCCTAGGTGACTCTGATGTGCATTTAGGGTTGGGAACCACTGACATAGCCATTAAACTGTCCCTAATCCCACTGTAAGGTTTTCTAGGATATTTTCCCAGAAATAACTAAACCACCTTCTTAGAGAAGGAACATCCTGATCCTGCGTCTGGACTTTGGAGTCATTCTTATTTTCAGAACCTATAGCCATCTATTCCTTGACAAGATCTGTTGGGTTGGGTTGCACTAGACTGGAAAACATCAAGAAATTAATCTAGACACAGACCTAAAAGGAAGATTTGCACGTTTTGATTTATTTTACTGCTTACACCCAGCATCAAGCTCCATGTGGGGCACATAGAGGAGCCTGAATAAAACTATTATTGGTTGGATGATTAGATAATTGTGTTTCCTCGGCAGAATCAAACTCAAGTCAAATGTGTGGTTACCGGGATTAAGAACAGAAAGAATAGAGGGGACTCCTGAGTGAGTTTCACTTTCTCTCTCTTTTTGTTATTGTTGTTCATTTGTTTTGTTAATAGAAAGATCAATATAGCTATAGAGCATTTAAAATAAAAGGATTTGGGCCAGGTGTGGTGGCGAATGCCTGTAATCCCAACACTTTGAAAGACTGAGGTGAGAGGATTGCTTAAAGCCAGGAGTTCAAGACCAGCCTGGGCAACAAAGCGAGATGCCATCTCTACAAAAAATGATTTAAAAATTAGTGGGGTGCCTTGGAGCACGCCTGTGGTCCCAGCTATTCAGGAGGCTGAGGCAGGAGGATTGCTTGAGGCTGAGAGGTCAAGACTACAGTGAACTATGATCAGGCCCCTGCACTTGCTCCAGCCTGGTGACAGAGTGAGACCCTGCCTCTCTAGGAAAAAAAAAAAAAGAATTTGGTGGGGGGGGATTAATAAAAGTTCAGTGCCATCCTGTTCAGAGTGATTCAAAGGTGGCTTAAGTCAAATACCACATTTAGAAATTTTTGTTAGGGACGGATGATTATGGATGTCTCACTGGCCATGCCCAAATCAGAGTCAATGCTATGGGTGGCTTTCTAGGCAGCAATGGTCATTTGGATACTGAAAATGTAAAAGGAGTGGGCTTCAATCACAGAAACACAGAGAAGTCTCTTGCTTTCAGAGGAACAGGCCTCACAGCCCCTTCCTGCCCTCCCTTGTTGCCCTGAGGATGAAGTGGGAGGGAGAAAAAGGCACCCACTCATCAACCCAACATCATAGCTGCACCTTCCAGTGACCACCCTGGTGGTCTCACTGACATCCCTTTCCAGCCAACTTCTCTCTGACTTCTGCCCCAGGCTCTCAAATGAAAGTGCTTTTGCGAGGTTACCAAAGTACACTTTGAAGTCTTTAATTTGTTGGATCACTCTGCTCCTTTCAATACTGTTAGCTACTTACTCTTTGAAGCTCTATTCCCCTGGCTTCTGAGACATCGCTGTGTTCCCACTTGCCTGAGTGAACACACCAGGCGGTCATGCTGGCCTCTCCTCTCTCCCTCACCCCACAGCCAGCCTTCTACTGAATCCTGCATTTGGGTAGCATCCTCCGTAGGCATTACGCCCATTTCTTTGTCTTGACTCACTAACCCCAGTGCAGCTATGCAAAGGCCTCCTCATGCACCTTCCAGCTACCTGCCTTGTCCCTGCCCCTGAATCCATTTTCTGCACCATGGCCAGAGTGATCATTCTAAAACGTGCGTCTGATCATGTTTCTCCTCTGCTGAAGTTTCCTCAGAGGCTTCTCATCACAGCTTCCTTAACATGTCATGTAAGGCCCTCTCTTTCCTGACCCTTAGTGAGCTAATCAGCCTATTATATGAGAGTCCGTGTGGCTTCTCCAGTTCTCCAGTTTGGACTCAGCGCCCGTCTATGCTCTTGGGGCATCTGGTGCATTTCCTTCCCTCTCTCGAAATTCCATCGAACTATATTGAAATTATATGCAAATGTCTGTCTTCTAGACACACAGTCCTTAAGGTAGGAGCCATGTCTCACTTATCTTGGTACATCTAGAGCAGCAGCTAGAACAGGGCCCGCATGCAATAGGCACTCATTAAATGTTCACTGAACCAAAGGGAATGGAGATGATAAGGATGTACTGGGAATTCCCTCAGCTACTTCCTTTGACCTTGGCCCCTTGGGTGCTTCCTTCCAGAGGCTCTGGGCTCTAATCACTCTCATGGGGTTGCAGTCACTGTTAAAGGAGCTTAAGACTTTCTCTTCAAAAGGGCTTTAGGCAGAACTTGCAGGAAGTTGTTGCAGACCTACCCATCCTGAGACAGGGAGAAACTCTTGTAAGTTGAATGCTCAGCACATTTGTATTGTCTGGACAGGGTCAGTGTCCTTCTGCTTAAAGATGACCTATGCTCCCAGACTCAGGCCCCTACCAGGGAGTCCCGGTCATTG
The DNA here is from genome assembly GCF_000001405.40 of Homo sapiens. Classification (NCBI taxonomy): domain Eukaryota; kingdom Metazoa; phylum Chordata; class Mammalia; order Primates; family Hominidae; genus Homo; species Homo sapiens. The sequence goes on along the minus strand of NC_000017.11, from coordinate 15,233,282 downwards.
CCAAAGAGCAGAACATCTGCCTGTGCCTCAGGGCCTCACTTACCCTTGCCACAGGGACCTGGTGATACATCTCCACCTACTGGTTGCTGAGAAAGTGAGTCACAGTCCACTTACTAGGGGTATTTGGCTTTTGGAGATGACTACTGGATGACATTAACTGTCTTGGGTTGCAGACAGAGGGAACCCAGCCAAAGAATCATCCTTTTCTCTATTTCAGGGTACATCTATTGCTTTACATGCAGACAATCTTGTAATAATATATTCCCTAAAACATCAGTCTCATGACAACAATCATATAAAGTGTGTATCCTCTCTTTGGCTTTGTAGATATCTAAGTTTACTGCTTATCACGGTTAAGCTTAGAGTCATTCACTTCTGAGATTCTACTAAGATGAAAGTCATACACATTAAGCTGTGTAGTTAGTCGCTGCACTTCTCTATACTGCCTCTTTCTATCCCTCTTGTTCAAGGATGGAATCTGGTATCTCCTCTTAGTCAGTGAAATCGGGGAGTAGCTGGTCCACTCAGCTCCTGAGGCATTTCTCATGCCAGATCTGGTTAGACAGCCCATTTGGGAGCCCTGCCTGCATGATGATAAGTGTTGTCCTGCCCTGCTAGCACTCTGTTAACACCTTTCTCTCTGCCAAGGTCATGTTTCCTTTTTTATAGCCCTGCCTTCATTAGATAAGTCAGACAGAGCCCAAGAGACAACTTCAGTATTTCTTAAAGACAAGAGTTAGCACTTTGGAGATGCAAGCCGTGGAAGAGTGGGGCAAGATAATTAAGGATCCTGGACCTCAAGGCAAATAAAGTGTGTCCCCAGCAGATCAAAACTGCTGTTTTCTGCAATCAACAATTAACCCGCAATGATTTCGCTCCTGACATGGCCATCTTTGCTGTCTTCTGAACTTCCTGTAGGTGGCAGGTCCTGGATGCTGTCCCATTTTGGTTCCAAGACTATTGTGTGGCTCTCTTGACAGGGGCCAGTCAAGTGGCAGTTTTCTCCTCTGAGTTGCAGGAGGACAGGCTTAACAGGGTGGTTCATGTGGCGTATTCCCACTTCTGCACTGTCTTCAAACAAAGTTGCAGTGTCCAGTAAAACAGCAGCCCAAATAGCAGTGAGGTTAGATGTAGGTGGCCGGGCGGTGGGGGGGCGCGGGTGCATTGGGAACTCTGGAACTGCATGAATCCCACACGGCATACTGGATTTATAATAGAGTCACTCAGAGCTTCTCAAAGACCCTGTTTTCAGGGAGGAAACAGACCAGGCTTTGTGCAGCTCCAGGCTGGGGTGCTGACATCACTGGACCCCTCCTTGTGGGGGGACGCTGTCTGTCACGTGAGCTGGGGCCATCAGTTTGAGCGTGGCTGCTCCACAGGGCCCAAGATGGAGGCTTTTCTTCTCTTTCCAACACCGAAGGGCTGCATTGGTGGGCCAGGGAGGGTGGCCTGACCCACCTGCATATCCAGTGCCCTTTAGCCTTCTTTGGGCTTCAAATGCAACCTTGGGGCACCCAGGGAAATGGAGCTTGCCTTTGATCATCTTCCCCCTCTGCAGCGTGGCTTCCCAGTCATACTGTCGGCTGCATCCTTATTCCTCACTTTCTTTTTCCCTCTCCACACATTTCTTTGTCTGTTTGGCAGTGCCCATAGGCATTGCTTGCTTCACCTGGTATGTGGCAACTCTGTTAGGGGGACCATAGGCCCCTGTGGTCTGCATGGAGCTTAATCCTTTTACCATGGCGTGACTCCAATAATGGTAAAATGTCACTTCACTTCCATTGGCTTTAGGTAATGCCACCACTCACTTGTAGAGTGGCATATAGATTTCCAGGGGTTTCCATACCCAACCACCCTTGGAAAGAGACAGGTAGGTTTTTCTTGCAGCCTGAATGCCTGCTGGCCATGTAGTGTGGCCTGGGAATTGGTGACAGTGAAAGAAAGAGAAATAGGGCAGAAAATGTAAAGAAAACCCTCAGGTATTAAGGCCTAGGTGGCCAAGATTGGAAATAGAGAGCAAGTTGTTTTCCTTGTTCCCATATTTTTGTGCTACCTCCTTTCAATTCTGGACCTGGAAGCAGATTTCCTTCCAGAGGTAGAAATGTTCTTCCTACCCAGCAATTGTCAGCATCCGGGGTGGCGGAGAGGGGGCCGCTCTGCCATGGACTCTCCGTCACCCAGCTTGTCCCTCTCCTTCCCCAGGTCTGTGCGTGATGAGTGCTGCGGCCATCTACACGGTGAGGCACCCGGAGTGGCATCTCAACTCGGATTACTCCTACGGTTTCGCCTACATCCTGGCCTGGGTGGCCTTCCCCCTGGCCCTTCTCAGCGGTGTCATCTATGTGATCTTGCGGAAACGCGAATGAGGCGCCCAGACGGTCTGTCTGAGGCTCTGAGCGTACATAGGGAAGGGAGGAAGGGAAAACAGAAAGCAGACAAAGAAAAAAGAGCTAGCCCAAAATCCCAAACTCAAACCAAACCAAACAGAAAGCAGTGGAGGTGGGGGTTGCTGTTGATTGAAGATGTATATAATATCTCCGGTTTATAAAACCTATTTATAACACTTTTTACATATATGTACATAGTATTGTTTGCTTTTTATGTTGACCATCAGCCTCGTGTTGAGCCTTAAAGAAGTAGCTAAGGAACTTTACATCCTAACAGTATAATCCAGCTCAGTATTTTTGTTTTGTTTTTTGTTTGTTTGTTTTGTTTTACCCAGAAATAAGATAACTCCATCTCGCCCCTTCCCTTTCATCTGAAAGAAGATACCTCCCTCCCAGTCCACCTCATTTAGAAAACCAAAGTGTGGGTAGAAACCCCAAATGTCCAAAAGCCCTTTTCTGGTGGGTGACCCAGTGCATCCAACAGAAACAGCCGCTGCCCGAACCTCTGTGTGAAGCTTTACGCGCACACGGACAAAATGCCCAAACTGGAGCCCTTGCAAAAACACGGCTTGTGGCATTGGCATACTTGCCCTTACAGGTGGAGTATCTTCGTCACACATCTAAATGAGAAATCAGTGACAACAAGTCTTTGAAATGGTGCTATGGATTTACCATTCCTTATTATCACTAATCATCTAAACAACTCACTGGAAATCCAATTAACAATTTTACAACATAAGATAGAATGGAGACCTGAATAATTCTGTGTAATATAAATGGTTTATAACTGCTTTTGTACCTAGCTAGGCTGCTATTATTACTATAATGAGTAAATCATAAAGCCTTCATCACTCCCACATTTTTCTTACGGTCGGAGCATCAGAACAAGCGTCTAGACTCCTTGGGACCGTGAGTTCCTAGAGCTTGGCTGGGTCTAGGCTGTTCTGTGCCTCCAAGGACTGTCTGGCAATGACTTGTATTGGCCACCAACTGTAGATGTATATATGGTGCCCTTCTGATGCTAAGACTCCAGACCTTTTGTTTTTGCTTTGCATTTTCTGATTTTATACCAACTGTGTGGACTAAGATGCATTAAAATAAACATCAGAGTAACTCACTGGTCTCTCTTGAGTTTTTGTGGGAACTTGGGTGTGGGTACAAGGTGCCTGTTGGAGCAGGATGAAGAGCTTCAGTGGAAAGCAAAGTTGAGCTGGAGATTTGGGTTACAAGATGGTGCTAAGGCACCAAAATCATAGCTGTTTTACAAGCTACAGGGAGCACATGATGCCTTCATGATGTCTGTGCAAAGGTTTGCTAATTGGAGACAGTTGGGAATTGCAGCTGAAATGGAGGCTGTAAATGGACTGGAAGGCACTTGAGTATTCATTTAGTTCAACCCTCTCTGGTGCTCTGTTGTTTGATGACCCACATGGAAAACATGGAGGCATGTCATGAGCTGCCCTGATATACTGGGAATGTTGGCAGAAGCATCTCAGATCCCTCACCCTGAGGTATGATATGGTGAAAGGTCTGAATGATGGTGACTTGAGGCCACACTTGCAGATAAAACATTGGTTGGCACCAACTAAGCTCCTAATGCCATCCTGAAGGAGAGAAAAGGCCACCATTGTCACCCAGCTCAGGGTTTCTGAGTTGTGTCTCATGCGTCCATATTTTTACCCGTCGACCTTTTGTTGTGTGTCTGCAAAATAACAAGCAAATGATGTGGTTGATAGTCCTTAATATTTATTGTGCAACTATTTTGAATTGGGTACCAAAGATAAAGAAGTAATGACATATATCTTAACATCGAAAGGTCACATTTTAGTGAGAGGTACAAGTAAACAAGTGACTATATTATAATAAGGTTAAGAGCATAGAAATGAGAGCCTGGGTTTGAGCCTGTCCTTTGCTGCTTACCAGCCATAGGGGCCTGAAAAGGTTACGTAAACACTAAGATTCAGTTTTCTCATCTATAAAATGGGGATGCCAATAACAAGGGTATAGGGCTGAGGGGATTTCAAGGAAGTTATATGGATAAAGTGTTCAGCATAGTGACTAGTACCTAGAAAGACTCTATAGATTAGAGTGGTTATCACATATGTTACAACAGAGGTATATTTGAAAGAGCATGTAGGAGAGACATTGACTGTTATGCAGGATTCTCAGTATCAGTCTGCACACTGGAATCTCCCATGCAGGAATTCCCATTAGAGATTTGGATTCCCTGTTTCCATGATGGGACCCACCCATCATGGTTTAAAGAACACTTCTGGTGATTACAGCATGCAACTGGGGATGACACCTCTGAGCTAGTGCAGGAGGTCTCATACTTCAACATGCTAGTGAATCACCTGGGAATCTGATAGCATGCAGATTCTGAAACTTTAGGCCCAGGTGGGGATTGAGATTCTGCATTTCCAATTAGTGCCTGGGTGAGGTGGATGCTGCTTGTCCACCGACCACACTTTGAGTAGCAAGGGCCTAGCATAAAGCCACCTTCAGGTACCTTGTGCTCTTCTGTCCTTGGGTGTCTGTGACGGAAGGACTTCTCTTTTCTGAGGTTTTCAGTAGTGACTGCTACTCTGCTTTTGACTCAGATAGTTTTAAGGTGGCACAGGTGGCCATGAGATGCATGTGAGATTAAGAAAACTAGGAATTTTATTTCACGAGCTGGTACTTTGAAAACATACACTTTTATTTCATAAACTTTTCTAACATTTCATTAAAAATTAATAGGGATAAGAATAAAGAAGAAAAGCAAAAACGGCCCCTAAATCTCCCTACCCAGGTAACACTCTTGGCATTTAAAAAAAAACCATATATCTAGGATTATAACATCCTATCTTGTATCTAGAGGGAAAAATACAATCTGAAAGCCTCTTTCCCACCTACCCATAGTCTTTTGCCAAAGGTAACCGTAAGACATAGTTTCTTATGACTTCTTCCAGGAAAGAAAATTGCCCACATATGTACATCCATCTATGTATTTTTTAAACGTACACAAAAGTGATCATACTACTCACTTCTGCACCTTTTCATTTAATGATAAAAATTTGAGATCATTCTATACCATTCTATACCAGCATATACCTCATGCTTTTTAGTGAACACTATTTTATTCTTTCAAAATTCTGCATAGTATTTTATTGTATTGTTGTACAAACCTTTATTTACCAGCCCTCCATTGATAGATATTTTGGTTGTGTCTACTTTTTATTATTAATCAAAATATTTCTGTGGACATCCTTGTACATGAATATTGGTGACTTTTAAAAAGTATATCCAAATCTTAAATTTCTGGTAAGGATGTTGCCAAAACAGAGGGTGTGTATATTTTGAAGAATCTAATAGGTATTTTCAGCTTAGTCTCCAGGAAAATTACACCAACTCAGTTGACAGTGGAGCCTTACATTCTACATGGAACTCATGGAGTCCCCCCAAACAGAGAAGGGTTAGAATAAAACACTTGAGTAAAAACAACTTATCTGCTATCAGTTCCTTGGGTCATGATTGTTATTGATCTCTCATCTATGGGGACAGCTTCGCTTCCTTGGGAACTTGTCTGCCTTGAGGATCTGTAATGATAGAAGGGACATTATACTGACCCTACACAAACAACAACAAAAAATTACAAAGAAATGCTATGAACAATTGTATACAACAAATTAGGCACCTTAGATGAAATGGACAAATTCCCCAGACACAATTACTGAAACTGACTCAATATGAAATAGATAATAAGAATAGGCCTATAATGAGTGAAGAGATTGATCTATTAATACTACTACTAATAAATTATTCACAAACAAAAAAGCCCAGGCCCAAATGGCTTCACTACTGAGTTCTACCAAATATTTAAAGAAGAATTAATACCAATTCTTAACAAACTCCTCTAAAAAATAGAAAAGTAAGGTAGGTAACACTGGCCTCTTCTTATGAAGCCGGTGTTCCCTTGATACCAAAACCAAAGATATCACAAGAAATAAAAACTACAGACCAATATTTCTTATGAATATGAATTCAAAAATTCTTCACCAAATAATAGCCATTAGAATCGAAAACACATTTGACAAAATCCAATATCCTTTCATGATAAAAACACTCAGCAGACTAGTGATGAAGGGGAACTCCCTCAACCTGATAAAAGACAACTATGAAAAATCCATACCTAGCATCATATTTACTAGTGAAATATTAGATGCTTCCTCTCTAAGATCAGGAACAAGACAAGGACGTCTGCTCTCAACACCTCTATTTAACATTATACAGGATGTTCCATCCAGTACAATTAGGCAAGAAAAAGAAATACAAGGCATCCAGATTTGAAAAGAACATAAAAACTATATCTATTCATAGATGATATCACCTTGTATATAGAAAATCCTAAGGAATCCACTAAAAGCCTATTAGAACTAGTAAAGAAATTCAGCAAGAATTAATATACAAAAATCAATTATATTTGGTGAGCTGATTCTAAAATTCAAATGCAATTAAAAATTTAAAAATTAAATTAAGAAAACAATTCTACTTATAATAGCATCAAAAAGGATAAAATAAATAGAAAAAAATTTAAAGAACTGCAAAACTTATACTGTGAAAATTATAAAATATTATTGAAAGACATTTAAAAAGGTCTAAATACGAGGAAAGCCATTCCAGGTTCATGGGTTGGAAAGCTTCACATTGTTAAGATGGTAATGCTCCCACCCTGTTTTCAGATTGAATGCAATCCCCAATAGAATCTCAGCAGACTTCTTTATAGAAATTGTTAAGCCAATTATAAAATTCAAATGGAATTGCAAGAGAACGAGAATAACCAAAACAATTTTGAAAAAGAAGAACAATGGAACAATGTAGCAGGATTCAACTGTCTTGATTTCAAAACTTACTATCCAACAATGGTAATCAAGACAGTGTGGTATTGGCACAAAAATATATGCATAAATCAGTGGAATAGGATTGAGAGTCTAGACATAAACCCACATATCTAAAGTCAGCTGATTTTTGACAAGGGTGTCAAGATCATTCAATGAGAAAAGAATAGGCTTTTCAACAAATGGTGCTGGGACAAGTGAAAATCCATAAGCAGAAGAATGATGTTGGACCCTTATCTAACACCATATACAAAAATTAACTCAAAATGGAACAAAGACCAAAATGTAAGAGCTAAAACTATAAAACTCTTAGAAGAAAACTTACGGGTAAACCTTCATGACCTTGTATTTGGCAAAGGATTTTTAGATATAGCACCAAAAGCATAGGCAACAAAAAAGTTGGTAAGTTGGATTTCAACAAAATTCAAAATTGTTGTGCTTCAAAGAACACCATCAATAAAGTGAAAAGACAATACATCACATAGAAGAAAATATTTGCAAAGCATGTGGCTGATAAGAGCCTTGTGTCCAGAATAAGTAATAAACCCTTACATCTCAATGAAAAGATAATTATTCCAATAAAAAGTGGGCAAAGGCCTTGAAAAGGCATTTGTCCAAGGAAGATATAAGAATGGCCAATAAGCACAGGAGTAGATACTCTGTCTCATTAGTCACCAGAGAAATGCAAATCAAAACCATGAGATATTGCTTTACACCCACGTTGGCCAGAATAAAAAAGACTGATAATAACACACATTGGATATGGAGAAATTGGAACCCTCCTACACTGCTGTTGGGAATGTGAATGGTGCTACTGCTTTGGAAAACATTCTGACAGTTCCTCAAAAGATTAAACATAGAGTTACCATGTGACCCAGCAATTCCTCTCCTAGGTTAGTACCAAAGAGAAATGAACGCATATGTCCACACAGAAATTCATACACAGATAATCAGCATTATTATATTAATGAAAGGTGATTTATCTAATATAGTATTACAGAAATTCATGGATATGCAGCATTATAACAGCATTTATTTACAATGCAACCCAAATGTCCATTAACTGTTGAATGGATAAACAAAATTTGGTATATCTATATACTAGAACATTATTTGATGCTAGGAATGACGCTAGAATATTATTTGTCTATAAAAAGGAATGAGTTACTGATACGTGCTACAACACGGACACACCTTGAAAACTTTAAGCTAAATGAGAGAAGCCAATTGCAAAAGACCACATATTATGTAACTTCATTTATACAAAATGCCCAGAACAGAGATATCCATAGAGAAAAAAAAGTAGATTAGTGGTTGTTTAGGCCTAGGGAGTTGGAAAGGGAATGTCGGGTTGTACTAGCTAAATGGTACGATATTTCCTTTTAAGAAGATGAATATGTTTTCAAATTGACCATGGTGATGATTGCACATCCTTTAAGAAATGTGAATATACAGCAGCTGGCAAGATGGCCAAATAGGAGGTTCTCTGGTCTGCAGCTCCCAGGGAGATCAATGCAGAAGGCAGGTGATTTCTGCATTTCCAACTGAGGTACCTGTCTCATCTCATTGGGACTAGTTAGACAGTGGGTGCAGCCCACGGAGGGCAAGCAGAAGCAGGGTGGGGCATCACCTCATCTAGGAAGAGCAAGGGGCTGGGGACCTCCCTTCCCTAGCCATGGGAAGCCGTGAGGGACTGTGCCATGAGGAACAGTTCATGCTGGCCCAGATACTACGCTTTTCCCATGGTCTTCGCAACTCACAGACCAGGAGTCTTCCTCCAGTGCCTATGCCACCAGGGTCGTGGGTTTCGAGCACAAAACTGGGTGGCTATTTGGGCAGACACTGAGCTAGCTGCAGGAGTTTCTTCTCATACCCCAGTGGTGCCTGGAACGCCAGCGAGACAGAACCCTTCACTCCCCCAGAAAAGGGGCTGAAGCCAGGAAGCCAAGTGGTCTAGCTCAGTGGATCCCACCCCCAAGCAGCCCAGCAAGCTAAGATCCACTGGCTTGAAATTCTCACTGCCAGCACAGCAGTCTGAAGTTGACCTGGGATGCTTGAGCTTGGTTAGGGGAGGGGCATCAGCCATTACTGAGGCTTGAGTAGGCAGTCTTCCTCTTACAGTCTAAAGAAAGCTGCTGGGAAGTTCGAACTGGGCAGAGCCCACTGCAGCTCAGCAAAGCCGCTATAGTCAGACTGTCTCTCTAGATTCCTCCTCTCTGGGCTGGGCATCTCTGAAAGAAAGGCAGCAGCCCCAGTCAGGGCTCCTGTCTCCCTGGAACAGAGCACCTGGGGGAAAGGGTGGCTGTGGACACAGCTTCAGCAGATTCAGATTTAAACATTCCTGCCTGCCACCTCTGAAGAGAGCAGTAGATCTTTCAGCACAGCACTCGAGCTCTGCTAATGGACAGACTGCCTCCTCAAGTGGGTTCCTGATTCCCGTGCCTCCTGTCTGGGAGACACCTCCCAGCAGGGGTCAACGGACACCTCATACAGGAGAGCTCTGGCTGGCATCTGGTGGGTGCCCCTCTGGGACGAAGCTTCCAGAGGAAGGAATAGGCATCAATCTTTGCTGTTACGCAGCCTCCGCTGGTGAGACCCAGGCAAACAGGGTCTGGAGTGGACCTCCAGTGAACTCCAGCAGACCTGCAGCAGAGAAGCCTGATGGATAGGAGGAATCAATATTGTGAAAATGGCCATACTGCCCAAAGTAATTTGTAGATTCAGTGCTATCCCCATCAAGCTACCATTGACTTGCTTCACAGAATTAGAAAAAACTATTTTAAATTTCATATGGAACCAAAAAAGAGCCCACATAGCCAAGACAATCCTAAGCAAAAAGAACAAAGCTGGAGGCATCACGCTACCTAACTTCAAACTATACTACAAGGCTACAATAACAAACAGCATGGTAGTGGTACCAAAACAGATATATAGACCAATGGAACAGAACAGAGGCCTCAGAAATAATGCCATTCATCTACAACCATCAGATCTTTGACAAACCTGACAAAAACAAGCAATGGGGAAAGGATTCCCTATTTAATAAATGGTGTTGGGAAAATTGGCTAGCCATATGCAAAACACTGAAACTGAACCCCTTCCTTACACCTTATATAAAAATTAACTCAAGATGGATTAAAGACTTAAACATAAGACCTAAAACCATAAAAACCCTAGAGGAAAACCTAGACAATACCATTCAGGACATAGGCATGGGCAAAGGCTTCGTGACTAAAACACCAAAAGCAATGTCAACAAAAGCCAAAATTGACAAACGGGGTCTAATTAAAATAAAGAGCTTCTGCACAGTGAAAGAAACTATCATCAGAGTGAACAGGCAACCTAGAGAATGGGAGAAAATTTTTGCAGTCTATCCATCTGACAAAGGGCTAATATCCAGAATCTACAAAGAACTTAAACAAATTTACAAGAAGAAAACAAACAACCCCATCAAAAAGTGGGCAAAGGATATGAACAGACACTTCTCAAAAGAAGACATTCATGCAGCCAACAAACATGAAAAAAAGCTCATCATCACTGGTCATTAGAGAAATCCAAATCAAAACCACAATGAGATACCATCTCACGCCAGTTAGAATGGTGATCATTAAAAAGTCAGGAAACAACAGATGCTGGAGAGGATGTGGAGAAATAGGAACGCTTTTACACTGTTGGTGGGAGTGTAAATTAGTTCAACCATTGTGGAAGACAGTGTGGCGATTCCTCAAGGGTCTAGAACCAGAAATACCATTTGGCCCAGCAATCCCATTACTGGGTATATACCCAAAGGATTATAAATCATTCTACTATAAAGATATGTTTATTGTGGCACTGTTCACAATAGCAAAGACTTGGAACCAACCCAAATGCCTATCAATGATAGACTGCATAAAGAAAATGTGGCACATATATACCATGGAATACTATGCAGCCATAAAAAAGGACAAGTTCATGTCCTTTGCAGGGACGTGGATGAAGCTGGAAAGCATCATTCTCAGCAAACTAACACAAGAACATGTGGTGTTTAGTTCTCATGTTCTCACCACATGTTCTCACTAATAAGTGGGACTTGAACAATGAGAACACATGGACACAGGGAGGGGAACATCACATACCAGGGCCCTTTGCGGGGTAGGAGGCTAGGGGAGGGATCACATTCGGAGAAACACCTAATGTAGATGACAGGTTGATGGGTGCAGCACACCACCATGGCACGTATATACCTATGTAACAAACCTGCACGTTCTGCATATGTATCCCAGAACTTAAAGTATAATTTAAAAACAGAAATGTGAATATACTAAAAGCCAATGAATTGTACACTGTAACTGGGTCTATTTTATGGTATGAGAACTGTATCTCAATAAAGATGTTAAAAAAGAAAAGAAACAGCTGTTTGCTCCAGCTGTTGCTAATTCTCTAATTAAGTCTGTTCTTTCAGTTTAAAAAGTAATACACCTTGGCCGGGCACGGTGGCTCACACTTGTAATCCCAGCACTTTGGGAGGCCGAGGTGGGCGGATCACGAGGTCAGGAGATCGAGACCATCCTGGCTGACATGGTGAAACCCTGTCTCTACTAAAAATACAGAAAAATTAGCCGGGCGTGGTGGCGGGCGCCTGTAGTCCCAGCTACTTGGGAGACTGAGGCAAGAGAATGGCGTGAAACCAGGAGGCGGAGCTTGCAGTGAGCCGAGATCGCACCACTGCACTCCAGCCTGGGCGACAGAGTGAGACTCCGTCTCAAAAAAAAAAAAAAAAAAAAAAAAAAAGTAATACACCTTTTATTCTTGTGGTTTTGGTTATTTTTTATTTTTATTTTTGAAGGGATGAGATTCTTATTCCTTCTGAGCAAGATGAAGCAAAACAGGATATTGGAGATGAACAGTTAACATATTTCTTCACTAACACAATCTTGGGTTTTCCCAGGGGATTGTTTTGATGACATTTATTTTCCATCCTTGGGCACTTCTGAGAAATATTTCAGTCTTAGGAATTTACAGCAATGGAGTTTTGATTAGAAACTGCCCCCTTAGCAGCTGCTTTCTGCTCTGCTTTCAGACTTCAGGGAGTGTGTTGTTCACCGAATGGCAAATGCATGGAGGGAAATAGCTGTCCAGGGTGGCTGGCTTGCTCCTTTGCCTTTCTTCTCTTTCCAGAATCATGTACCCTTCATGCACTTCATGCCTTAGCAGACCACAAGTCCAATTTTGTCTCCCTAACGCTTTTGGGTGCTGAAAACTCTGCTTAGTTTTTCTGCCCTTAGCATTTTCTTTCAGGACTTTTCAACCTCTTGGTCTGTTTATTAATTGGCAAATTCCTTAAGGGGAAGTTCAGGAAAGAGTGTTGGGCTAACTTCAGTGGGTTTCCTTTTCTCTAACCTGCTAGTCCCTCAGGTCCTGATGGCTTTGGTATCTCTCAATGCTTTTAAGTAGATTTTGTTTTGTTTTTGGTATTTCACCCAGATTTTCCAGTAGTTCTCAGCAAGAATTTATCTGCTGTAAGCTATTATACAAGAAGGCCCTTCCATTTTAAAAACAAACATTCAGTTTTTATTTTGAAAGAGTTAGGTTAAACTTATAAATTAATTGGGGGAAAATTAATATCTTCCCAAGCAGGTATATAGTATGAATAACTCTATTTAGTTCTTTGTTTATACTTTACTAAAGTTTTTGTTTTCATTATAAAGATGAATATATATTAGTGAGTTTCATTAATAAATATGTTAATATATATTAACCTTGTTTCTAGGCATTCACATACCTTATGGCTTTCGTGAATTGATTTTATTCCGCTATATCTTATTGTCAGTTCTTGTGGGCATGTTGGAAACCAGTTGAGTTTTTTTAAATTTTTTTTGAGATGGAGTCTCACTCTGTCACCCAGGCTGGAGTGCAGGGGCCTGATCTCCACTCGCTGCAACCTCTGCCTCCTGGATTCAAGCAATTCTCCTGCCTCAGCCTCCTGAGTTAGCTGGGATTGCAGGTGCCCACCACCACGCCCAGCTAATTTTTGTATTTTTAGTAGAGATGGGGTTTCACCATGTTGGCCAGGTTGATCTCAAACTCTTGACGTCAGGTGATCCACCACCCTCAGCCTCCCAAAGTGCTGGGATTACAGGCATGAGTCACCGTGCCTGGTCACCAGTTGAATTTTCTAAACCAGTTGTATACTTGGTTCCCTTACTGAACTGTGTTTTTGAGTTTCCCTAATATTTTTCCAATTAATTATTTTAGCTTTTCACGTTAGTAAATAATCACAGCATGAGCAAAAGCAGAAAAAAAAGAGATAATATGCCTCTTCTGCCTTTCCTAAAAGTTCTTAATTTTCTTTATTGCCTTCCAAAGCATGCCAAATAATAGATGTGATAATGAACATCGTTTTCTTTCTCTTTTTCTGAATTTAATGGCAATGCTAGTGCTAATATTTCTTGATTCTCAACAGGGATTTTAACCGATAATTTATATTAAATGTTACCATCTTTTCAGATTTTATCAGGAAGACTGTTTTATTTTTCTGCCTTTAAGCAATTACTGTGGTAAATCCTATTAATAGTTTTTTAAACATTGAATGGTTTGTTAATGAAATAAAGTCCCCTTCTTATTGGTGCATCGTTCTTTTAATACGTTGACTTTTTTTGCTAGCATTTTATTATGGCTTTTTTGGTGTTCATAAATGAGATCGATTTTTTTTTTTTTTTTTTTTTTTTTGAGACTGAGTCTCGCTCTGTCGCCCATGCTGGAGTGCAGTGGCGCTATCTCGGCTCACTGCAAGCTCCTCCTCCTGGGTTCACGCCATTCTCCTGCCTCAGCCTCCCAAGTGGCTGAGACTACAGGCGCCCGCCACCACGCCCGGCTAATTTTTTTTTGTATTTTTAGTAGAGACAGGGTTTCATCGTGTTAGCCAGGATGGTCTCCATCTCCTGACGTGGTGATCCGCCCACCTTAGCCTCCCATAGTCCTGGGATTACAGGAGTGAGCCACTGCGCCCGGCCAATGAGATTGATTTTTAAATTTTTATGTGTTCTATCTTTAATGAGTTTTAATTTTAGGGTTATGTTAAGGGTGTCACATGACACAAGTGCACATTTGTATGTGTGATTAAGGGGCTTAGGTAACATTGGTCTTATTGGTTTTCTTGATGATTTCATAGAACTTAGCAGTGGAAACTTCTTGGCTCTCGGATAACTATCCTATCAACTAAAGGATGTCAATTTGATACCTTTCTCAAACTTTTGTCCCACGATTTGTGTCCTATTTAAGCATTTGAACTCCTAATTTATTTTGATAATTTAGATATTTTTTAGGAAATGGTACATTTTATTCAGATTTTCTATTTTGTTTTCATAAAGTTATATATGCTTTTCTGACAGTTCTTCTAAATCTCCTGTACCAATGTTCTTGTTTGTAATTTTGCACGTTTGTGTTTTCTCTTTTTCTTGATTAGTCTTGGTAGTGGTTTTCTCTCTTAATTTATTAAAAAGTATTATATTTATCAATTTCATGTATGTCTTTGTAATTCATTAGCACTTTTATTTTTCTTGCTTTTCCCTTCCTGCTTTGAATATTCAGTTTATTATTCTTTGCCAAATCTTCCTTTGAATTCTAATAATTCCTTGCTTCATTAGTATTGATACTATGATAGTTATGCATAAAGAATTTTTATGGTTATAGCCCTGTCTGAATTATCCTGGTCTGAATTGAGAATGTAACATGGCCCTATTTGTCCTAATCAATGTTTATTGCACTGGATTTTACTTTGTGTGAACATTACATTGCCATTCCATTTCTTTTTGTTTACATTTCTGCAATATCCCTTTGTGCATGCCTTGACTTCTTTTTTTTTTTTTTTTGAGATGGAGTCTTGCTTTGTCGCCCCACTGGAGTGCAGTGGCAATATCTCGGCTCACTGCAACCTCCCTCTCCCGGGTTCAAGCAATTCTCCTGCCTCAGCCTCCCGAGTAACTGGGACTAGAAGTGTGCACCACCACGCCCAGCTAATTTTTTGTATTTTAGTAGAGATGGGGTTTCACCATGTTGGCCAGGATGGTCTCTGTCTCCTGACCTCTTAATCCGCCTGCCTCGGCCTCCCAAAGCGCTGCGATTACAGGCGTGAGCCACTGCACCCCGTTGCATGCCTTTACTTTTAACATCCCCTCTTTGGGCATGAATTATGTATCCTTTACTGTGATCTCTTTTTCAGTGTTTTGGAGGACATATATCTTGGTTTTTTTATGTTATTGCATTTTTAAATGCTGTTGAACCCATATTTATTTAATTTTTAGACTTCTATGAAATAGAAAAGTGTCATAAACTTTTCCTGTCTTCTCACCTCTTTTCCCTTTATTCACCATTTCTCAGGTTTTATTAAGACGAATTGGGTTTTTGGCTGAGCGTGGTGGCTCAAGCCTGTAATCCCGGTGGTTTGGGAAACTGAGGCATGAGGATCACTTGAAGTTAGGAGTTCAAGACCAGCCTGGGCCACATTGCAAGCTGCCATTTCTACAAAAAAAAAAAAAAAAAAAAAAAGTTAGCCAGGCATGGTGGTGTATGCCTGTAAACCCAGCAATTTGGGAGGATGAAATGGAAGGATCCCTTGAACCTAGGAGTTTCAGGTTGTAGTGAGCTAGGGTCATGCTACTGCACTCCAGCCTGGGTGACAGAACAAGATCCTGTCTCAAAAAAGAAAAAAAGAAAAAGGAAAAAAAGGTGAACTAGATTCTTAAAATTCATATTATTGCATTTGGGAAGAAAAGGTAATATATTTTCCTCATTCATCACAAGGTTTATGGCTGACACTCCTATAACAAAGACAGACTAACAAGAGAAAAGCATAACAAATTTATTTTACCAAAGTTTTACATGACACAGGAGCCTTCAGAAATGAAGACCCAAAGACCCAGGAAAAACTGTGTTTTTATGCTTAGGTTTTGTGAAGAATGGATAGATA
The DNA here is from genome assembly GCF_000001405.40 of Homo sapiens. Lineage (NCBI taxonomy): Eukaryota > Metazoa > Chordata > Mammalia > Primates > Hominidae > Homo > Homo sapiens. Next base: position 15,217,071 of record NC_000017.11, on the reverse strand, counting down.
GTGTATGATTGGACAAAAAGCGGATGTGACCTAGTAGTAATAAGCTTGGGGGAACTTAGCAAGCCTGTTTGTTCAGATGCTTCTTGGCCTCTCTGTGTAACATTCCTTCCCTGCAGACATAGGGCAGGACATTTGTCACTTAAGGGTCTTCAGGAGAGAAGGTCAGAGAGACTTTGCCGCTTCTGTGGTTTTCTCAATTTTCTTCAGCTTAAAATATTCAGTATGACAAGATGCCATATTTAGGGATAGCATTTCCTGTATCCTATCACATACGCATAACTTGGAAATAGGTTGTATCATTAACAATCACTTTTGTAGTTTTGTATCTGTCTCAGCAAATATTTTACTATCACTGGCTTCTGGAGCTGGTCCAGTATTTTATGCCATGTCATCTTCATTCTTTAATCCTTAATTGGGCTTCATTTTTTAGTTTGTTGGAGGACATCTTCAGCTAATTAGTCAAGAAAATATGGATGTAATATTTTTGAAATTGTGAATAACTGAAAATGTCCTTCTGTTAACTGAATACCTGAATCGGTTGGAAATAAAATGCTTAGTTCACACATTTTCTCCACAAAATGTTAGAAGATATTACTTCTTGGTGTTCAGTGTGGCAGCTCAGGAGCTTAAGGCAACTGTATTTTGTTCTTTTCGGTTACCTTATTTTTTCCCCGTGTTGCCTATGGAACTTGATATATATCTTTAATAAATATTTGTGTCATGAATAAATGAATGAGAAAATGTTTCTGGCTGGGTGTGGTGGCTCACGCCTGTAATCCCAACACTTTGGGAGGCCAAGGTGGGAGGATAGTTTGAGGCCAGGCATTTGAGATCAGCCTCGGCAACACAGCAAGACTCAGTCTCTATTCTTGAGAGTAAAAAATGTTTTTTAACACATATATCAATGTGTTACAATACTGAATATAAAAACTTGTTGCCAATCAGTAAGAAATAATGCAAATACTGGTAGAAAAATGGATGAACGTAACCAGTCAATTTGCAAATGAAGAATTAGAAAAGGTGCCAAACATGAATCAAAAATTACAAATTAAAATAAGATTCTTTGTCTACTAAATGGGAAAAGAAACATTAGTATATGATCATAAGTTGATACATCCTCTCTGGGGAAATATTTGTGAATATGTATCAAAATTAGTGGCTCATGCCTGTAATCCCAGCACTTTGGGAGGCTGAGTCGGGCAGGTCACTTGAGGTCAGGAGTTTAAGACCAGCCTGGCCAACATGGTGAAACCCCATCTCTACTAAAAATACAAAAATTAGCCGGGTGTGGTGGGCGCCTGTAATCCCAGTTACTCGGGAGGCTGAGGCAGGAGAATCTCTGGAACCCAGGAGGCAGAGGTTGCAGTGAGCCAAGATTGTGCCACTGCACACCAACCTGGGCCACAGAGTGAGACTCCGTCTTAAAAAAAAAAAAAAATTAGCACATATGAAAATATCCTTTGACCTAACAATTTTTCCTGTTGGATTTTACTCTAAGGGAATAGTCAAGGCCATGTGCAAAGATTTAGCGTCTTCAAAGACGTTCATTTCAGATTTGTTTATAACAGGAAAACTTGGAAACAATAATAAAATAGTATTTAAGTAAATGATGATGCATCCTTAAAATGAAATGCCAGCAGCTATTAGAAATGTTGTTGTATCAGAATATTTATCAAAATGGAAATATAATCACAATACATTGCATTACATATCACATTATAAAATGATAAAAGCTAGCTATAAAACAGTATTTTGATAAAATTCTCATTTCAACTTAACTCAGAACATTGTTGTTGATTATCTACAATACCACAGTAGGTTTAGTGGATCCAACTTTGAACAGACTATATTCTCTGTGAGGAAGATCACTTCTATAAATTGAATTATATCAGAATCAAGGTGTTAATAGAGTCATGGATCTCCAGTTCAGTGTAAAAATGAATACTCTTCTTAACTCACACTCAAAAGTTTATTTGTAGACATATCATATGCTCTTCTCTCTTATAATCTTTTAGATTGTTACAAATCTCCCACGGAGTCCACAGAAGGCACTCAGCAAATGATGTTGAATTGAATCTTGATTTATCACTTTGATGTTCAAAGTGAGAAATGCAGTCTCAGCTGGTTAGACAGCATGAGTGTTGTCAGGGTGTGTGTGTGTGTGTGTGTGTGTGTGTGTGTGTGTGTGTGTGTGTTGAAGAGAGAGGAAATGTGCTATGAACTCAATCTCTATTAGTACAGAGAAAATGTCAGTTTGTCTTGTTGGCCACTCTATAGGAAGAGTCATTTCTATACATTTGGCAGTGTTCACATTGTTGCACTCTTTTGCGAGGGGCTGTTGTGAATTGCAAGAGAATTCATGATTGATTTATTGATTTGACATAGTTGATAATGCCTTTTAGACCGTATCACTCACAGTCTAGTCTGCGCATTCCAAAATTTAAATCTACATGTTTAGAATTTCAAATGATACTGTTTGGAATTTATACTGGTTCTCTCTCTCTCTCTCTCTCTCTCTCTCTCTCTCTCTCTCTCTCTCTCTCTCCTTCTCTCTTTAAAAAAATTTCAGATGGAGCCAAGGTAACATAAGATTTTTAAATGCCTAAGCTGTATTACTGCATCACAGATATAGGATATACAATCTTCAACATGTTGATTCCTCTTGTTTGGGCCAGTAGGTTTAAGAGTTGGGGAGTTACGACGATCATCTTGAGATGCTTACATGGTTAGGACCTAAGTCTCTGAGAAATACAAGGTGAGTCTATATCTCAGATAGACTGCAGCTGAAAAACTTTTCCTAATTGTCTATCAGGATGTTGAGTACAAAATCATCCCTTTTACCCTCTTACTCTTTTGGGTTCCATTAGATATTTTCCAGGATAATTCTATTGCTCTGCCAAATTAAGAATAACAACAGCAACAACACAAAAATCATTTTCTGGTGCATTTTCCTAAAATTTATAACACCATTCTGTATTCATTCTATTCATCCTAAAGCAGGTGAATCTTGTTTTATTTATTTGAACTCTAGAAGTATAGGAAACACTTTCATTACCTATGTAGATAGATGATATCAGCCTTAAATATTTAAATTACTGGCGCTTTTCTTGTTCCACTGCCATATAGGTAATTCAAGAAGGCATCATTAACAATTTATGGGTTTCAAAATAGATTTCCAGCAGGGGGAGCCCCTGCTTGGGTAATAGAACTATTGGCTCTCTTGTTCCTCTTACCTAACTTCAAACCCACAAACTAAAAATTTTGAATAGAATTCATTTTCATAATTTTTTTCACTCCTAGCTGTACTTGTGCACTAAGCAAAATATACTTTTTAAATGGTCAATGAAATGAACCAAATGACTATTTCTATGTGTAGACCCCAGGGCAGGAGGCTCCCAGGGGTGAGCCACTGGCTTTGGTGGCTGGCTAGCTGACTACGAACCACCTGAGGCTGTTTGGAATTTCTTCCATCTGTCTCCAGGGCTTGTTGATCCCACAGTATTTGTCTTGCAGTGAAGAGACATGCTTTTAACACACTGGGAAGCTTTAAATGGGTGTCTGGTTTGTTACTTTGAGTCATTTTCACCCGAAGCCTTCTTAACCATCATGCTGCTTCAGATGAAGCCACTGATGAGAAAAGTGAAGCGTGAGATCGATCCTTTGCAAGGCTCAGCACTAAAGTCCCACCATGGACTTTATCTCGTGCCCTCAGGGGCAGAGCGTTTTAGGTGGTCCCTCTTTAGGGAAAGAAATGAAAGTGGCCTTGTAGTGATTTCTCTGGATTAGGGGAAGAAGAACGCCTAGAGTTCATAAATTCAATCCCATCATTGTCTCCACAATGCCAAACAATGGTGTTTATTTGTTGTTGTTTTTTCATTCTTGAATTGACTAGGAAGTTAGCTTGCTCTAACTTGTCATTAAAAAAGCCATGTAGCCCAGGCATGGTGGCTCACACCTGTAATCCCAGCACTTCAGGAGGCCAAGGAGGGTGGATCACGAGGTCAGGAGTTCGAGATCAGCCTGGCCAATATGGTGAAACCTCGTCTCTACTAAAAATACAAAAATTAGCCAGGCGTGGTGGCATGAACCTGTAGTCCCAGCTACTCAGGAGGCTGAGGCAGAAGAATCACTTGAACCCGGGAGGCAGAGGTTGCAGTGAGCCAAGATCACGCCACTGGACTCCAGCCTGGGTGACAGAGCAAGACTCTGTCAAAAAAAAAAAAAAAAAAAAAAAGGCCGTATAAGCCTCAAGAGGCGGCCAGCCCTGTGTGAGGTGGAAGTTAAGAGCATGGGGTTCAGGCATCTTGCATTCAAATCCAGCTTTTTCACTGACTGTGGGATGTTATTTGAACTTTCCAAGATAATAATAGTATCTATATCACAGAGGTGAGTGCTAAGTGACATAATGCTGGCAAATAGTAAGCACCTAATATGTGTTAGGTATTATTGTTACTGTTGTGTTTATTAGGCCCTGTTTGTCTTTGGGGACTTAGAGTTTTTCATTTGAAGTCCTTCAATTCTCTTCCTCATTCCTACCATCTCCCCTTCACCCCTGCAGCTTGCTGAAAACTGTAGGACACACAGGCAACTGTTAATACTTCAGACACTATAGAAATATCATAATATCGTTTCATACGGGCTATACAATGTGGCATCATTAAAACATAATTGGCTAGGGTTGAGCAGAGGGAACAGTGAAATTAATTATAAACTAATGTTTATATTCACTGTGCAAATAAAGACCCTAAGAAAGACAACAGGCCGGGCGCGGTGGCTCACGCCTGTAATCTCAGCACTTTGGGAGGCCGAGGTGGGTGGATCACCTGAGGTCCAGAGTTCGAGACCAGCCTGACCAACATGGAGAAACCCTGTCTCTACTAAAAATACAAAATTAGCCGGGCGTGGTGGCGCATGCCTGTAATCCCAGCTACTCCGGAGGCTGAGGCAGGAGAATGGTTTGAACCCGGGAGGCGGAGTTTGCTGTGAGCCGAGATCGCGTCGTTGCACTCTAGCCTGGGCAACAAGACCAAAACTCCATCTCAAAAAAAAAAAAGAAAGACAACAAAAATGACAGGGACAGATCTTCCTTTAGGAAGTTTACAACCTTGTTGGAGAAGGTAATTTAGACTCTTGGGAATGTATCAGGGTAATTAAGGGGTCATATGAATATAGGCTTTGATTAAGTAATGAGCAATGTTTGAATTTTGCCCACAGTCTATTTATCCAACAAAATAAGGTTTCCAATAAATATTTATTGTTATAGTAAAAGATCATCTGTACAGAATGTCTTGGACAAGACCTATACAGATTTCATAATGCTCCTGGAGTTTAACTATATTATTTCCAAAAACGCATTTTCTTTTGTTGCCCTTTGATGAAGTGCCAACATCTTCTGGATGTATTTTCTTTGTTTTCTGATCCATTAATGGATCAGGAGCTAGGATATCAAAGGAGCAAGGTATAATGCGTATTTTGAATTACAGGCCTTTAGAGATCAGTAGATGCTGGAAGAGACTTTTCCCCTATCTGCATAAAGACTGGGCAGATCCACCAAGGAGAACATTGTTTTTCCTCCCTCCCTTGCTGTCAGTCCTTAACCTCTCCTGAAGCACAGGATGAAGCTGTTCTCTGAAGTATCTGCCTAAAGTCCAGACCTACCAGAGTACAAAACAATTACCACTTGTCTTTCCTGAGTTTTCGTGAACTGAACCCATATCATAAGAAAGAAGACTAAAGTCTGTTAACAAACCTAGAGACTTTTTTCACAAACCACTTTCTTCCCTGTGGGCCTAACAGACTTTGTCTAAGACCGTTGTATGTTCTTCAAACCCATTGAGTTCCCCTAAAAATAAATCATTTACAATCTCCCAAAAATCATCCACACTTCCCATCTCCCTTTCCCCTAAGAAGTAGGGTATATCACCATCCATATCCCACTGGGATACTGGGCAACCACTGTGATTCTTCCCCTGTGCATGGTAGTAATACATTTGTATGCTTTTTCTCTTCTTAATCTGCTTTTTTATTAGTTCATTTTTCAGTGAACCTTCCAAGAGCAAAGGGGAAGCTTTCCCTTCACCACTGCAATATAAAATATATATTTGAATAATTATAACTCAGTGCTTTACAACATTACCCACCTAAATATATAAAGGACTGAGAATTTTGTGTTATCACTGAGGCCACTGTGGCATTCCCATCATCTTCCTACACAGCCCACATCACCATGTAGAATGGCTCATCACCACATCACCAGCTAGATTTCACCCCATGCCCCACATTGGAACAGATTCATATATGTACTCTAGAGCCCAGAAGAGTGCTCCGCATATGTGCTGTATGTATGTAACTAGCTCATTTACATTTTGCATACCAGCAATTTCATATGATTTCTGAACAAAATTTCTACTAGCACACAAGCTAATAATTGCTCATCTACATTGGACTGGGCAAAGCTCCTTTCCAAAGCTACAGGTCTGGCTCATGGAAAGCCCATGTGACATTCCACATACAGTCACCTCTCTGTGATCAGAGCAACCAGCCAGCCACAGCATCCTGCATTTTGCTTGTCCAGATGTGAATTAGAAGCCTGCTTTTTTTTGTCCCTCAAATTACAGGGGACACATATCAAATTATCTCAGTGGTTGTTAGGAAGCAGAAGGTTAATTATGTTGACTCCAATCCCCTGCAGTAAGAATCAGAGACTCCTGCAGGAAAGGGCAGTGTTCAAAACTTTCAATTGACAAGAGAGTAAGCATTGACTCTGCCCAGAACATGGTAGTCATCCGGATCCTATAAATGTAATCCTGGAATTGTGACTGGAAAGGAATAGGGAGCCCCAGAGGAGCGTGTGGGTTTGGTTGTTTGGAAATTTGCTTGAGTTAAATAGGTAATACAGGTCCTAGTTTTCAATTATTCCCTCATCCCTCCCTTTTTCTTTTGCCCATTTTATGTCATGCAACATATTTCTATCATCCAGGATCAGTTGGAACTGAGGAGTGCCCATACTGTTCCCCTCTTCCCAAAACCCTCGTGGGTGGAGTGGGAAGCGACAAGGTATGGAGAAGGATGACAGGGTGGACACAAAATCTCATTTTAGTTGTCGAAAAAAAGTCCTAGAAAACAGAGTCTACAGAGATGGCCCCCATGACAAAGGCTCCAATGGCACTGATTTTTCTCCATTTCAAGGCACCAGAAATTTTTTTTTCTTTAATTTGAGAAAAGGGAGAGGGAAAGATCTTCTAGAAGTGTGTGTACAACAATAATAATGCTATAACTACTTGTCAAATGCTTACTAAAGAAATTAGTATAATTCTCAATACCAAGTTTCAGATTTTGATCCATGTGTTCTGGGCTAGATTGAGGACCTTAAACTGGCCTCTCTTTATTGGACTTCTCCAGAGAGTCACTCTTACTCCTGACTCCACGAAAGAAAAGTTTACTGTTATAAAATTTTGTATTTTTTTTCAACGACCTTGCTCTTTTCTCCCATACTCCTCTATATAATCTGCCATTTGGGTGGGAGGAAGCTCTAGAGGTCTGTAATGGAGACAGTAAAGCAGGGTTTGCAGGAGGAAGAGCTGTTGAGGAATTTTTGCGGGAACAGGAGTTGTGGTGGCCACTCTAGGACTGCAAGGTACCCCACAGGACACACGGGAGACACACTTCAGACTGAGCTGGGGGAACTTGACATTACAAAAGTAAATGACTCTTCTCAGGGAGCTTTAGAGATTTCCAATGGTAAGGAAGGATGAGTACAAAGAACTAGGACCAGTTGAACACACCCAGCTGTTCCCAAAATGCCACTTGCACTCTCTTTCTAAAAATGAAGTGTTAAGTCACAGAGAGGAGAAAAGAGATGACTGCCTCCCTTTTTCTGCTATATATGGAACCTTCAGTCATTTGTTGTAGGTGAGTTGCAAGCATTTAAAGGAATTAGTTGACCTTCGTGTTTTGCATAAATACTGATCACAGAGAAACTTTAGAGTATTGTCAAATGGTCTAGATCTGCATTGTCTCACACAGTAGCTCTTAGCACCATGTGGCTATTGTAAAATGTGGCTGGTGTGACTGAAGACCTGAATATTTAACTTTCTTTTCTTATAATTAATTTATATGCAACTCAAATACAGAATATTTGAAATTAATTTCATCTCTTTGCTTGTACATTTTTGAAAATATTTGAAAATAAATTTGTTGAGTGTATCAATAGTTCACTCTGAGTAGTTGCTCAGGGTATATGAGTTCACTGTATGAGTAACACAAATTCATCTGTTAATGGACATTAAGATCGTTTTCAGTTTGGGGCTATTCCAAATAAAACTGCTAGGAACATTTTTGTACAAGTCTTTGTAGGGGCATATATTTCCTTTCCTCTTAGGTAAATACCTAGAAATAAAATGGCTGGGTCCTTTGGCAGCTATAAGTTTTGACTTTTTTCCGTCATTTGATATCCTTACCAGCAGTGTGTAGGAGTTCCTGTTCCTCCACAAACTTGCCATCATTTGGTCAGTCTTCAATTGTAGCCCTTCTAAAAGGTATACAGTAGTATCTCACTGTGGTTTTAATGTGCATCCCTGGATGACTAATGACACAGAACATTTTTTGATGTTCTTATCTGCAACCAGTATATCTTTGGTGAACCATGTTCAAATATCTTGCTCATTATTTAATTGGGTTGATTTTTTTTCTTATTATTGCGTTTTGAGATTTATTTCTATAGCCTGGATTCAGGCCCTTTGTTAGATATAAGATTTACAAATAATTTTTGCCAGTCTGTAGCTTATCTTTCCATTTTCCTAATAGTGTTTTTAAAGAGCAGAAGTTTTTAATTATTTGCTGAAGCCCAGTTTATCAATGTTGTATAAAAAATTTACATATTTTGGTGTTTGCATCTAAGAAATCTTTGCCAAGCCCAAGTCACAAGATTTTTTCCTATGTTTTCTGCTAGAGTTTTATAATTATTTTATATCTAGGTCTATAATCCATTTTGAGTTAAGTTTTGTATATGATGTGAGGTATGGATTGATGTGTTTTGTGTGTTTGTTCTACATGTAGGTAATCATTGTGCCAGCATCATTTGTTGAAAAGAGTATATTCTCCACTGAATTTCCTTTATGTCTTTGTCAAAAATCTGTTGTCCATATGATGACTTTTTAATAATCACCATTCTGACTGGTGTGAGATGGTATCTCATTGTGGTTTTGATTTGCATTTCTCTAATGACCAGTGACGAGCTTTTTTTCTTTCTGGTCTATTTCTGGTCTCTTGATTCTGTTCTTTTGATCTGTTTGTCTATTTAGATGCCAAAACACACAGCTTTTGTTACACGGTTTTGTAATAAGTCTTGAAATCAGATAGTGATCCCCCTCCAAATTTGTTCTTCTGTTTCAAAGCTCTTTGGGCTATTCTATGCCCTTTACATTTTCATATGACCTTTAGAGACAGCTGGGCAATTGCTACAAATCATGCTGGAGTTTTCATTAGAATTAAGTTTAATTTAAAGACCAATCTGAGGCCAGGCGCAGTGGCTCACGCCTGTAATCCCAGCACTTTGGGAGGCCGAGGTGGGTGGATCATGAGGTCAGGAGATGGAGACCATCCTGGCTAACACAGTGAAACCCTGTCTCTACTAAAAATACAAAAAATTAGCCTGGCGTGGTGGCAGATGCCTGTAGTCCCAGCTACTCAGGAGGCTGAGGCAGGAGAATGGCATGAACCCGGGAGGCAGAGCTTGCAGACAGCCGAGATTGCGCCACTGCACTCCAGCCTGGGCAACAGAGTGAGACTCTGCCTCAAAACAAAAAAAGACCAATCTGAGGATGATTGACATTCTAATGAAATCGAGTCTCTTGATCCATGAACAAGATATATCTCTTCATTTATTTAGATTTTTCTTTTTTCTCCCAGTGATGTTTTAAATTTTCATTGCACATGTCTTATATGTCCTGAATCAGATTTGTTCCTAAGCATTTCATATTTTTGATGTAATTGTAAATGGCATTAGTTTTTAATTTTTATTTCCAAGTAATTGTTGTTAGTACATAAAAATGCAACTACTTTTGTATGGTGACTTTGTATGCGACAACCTTGCTAAACCCACTAACTAACTGTAGTAGCTTTTTTTAAATTTAAATTTAAATTTTAAGTTCTGGGGTACATGTGGAGGATGTGCAGGTTTCTTACATAGGTAAATGTGTGCCATGGTGGTTTGCTGCACCTATTAACCCGTCACCCAGGTATTAAGTCCAGCATGCATTAGCTACTTTTCCTAATGCTCTCCTTCCTCCCACCCCACCCCCTGACAGGCCCCATTGTGTGTTGTTCTCCTCCCTGTGTCCATGTGTTCTCATTGTTCAGCTCTCACTTATAAGTAACAACATGCAGTGTTTGGTTTTCTGCTTCTGCATTAGTTTGCAGAGGATAACGCCTTCCATCTCCATCCATGTCCCCACAAAGGACATGATCTCGTTTCTTTTTATGGCTGCATGGTATTCCATAGTGTATATGTACCACATTTTCTTTATCCAGTCTATCATTGATGGGCATTTGGGTTGACTCCATGTCTTTGCTATTGTGAATAGTGCTTCAGTGAACATACATGTGCATGTATCTTTGTAATGGAATAATTTATATTCCTTCGGGTATATACCCAATAATGGAATTGCTGGGTCAAATGCTTTTTCTGGTTCTAGATCTTTGAGGAATCACCACATCATCTTCCACAATGGTTGAACTAGTTTACATTCCCACCAACAGTGTAAAAGCATTCCTATTTCTCTGCAACCTTCCCAGCATCTGTTGTTTCTTGACTTTTTAATAATCACCATTCTGACTGGTGTGAGACAGTATCTCACTGTGGTTTTGATTTGCATTTCTCTAATGACCAGTGACGTTGAGCTTTTTTTCATATGTTTCTTGGCCACATAAATATCTTCTTTTGAGAAGTGTCTGTTCATGTCTTTTGCCCACTTTTTAATGTTTTTCTTTTTCTTGTAAATTTGTTTAAGTTCATTGTAGATTCTGGATATCAGACCTTTGTCAAATGGATAGATTGCAAAAATTTTCTCCCACTCTGTACGTTGCCTGTTGGCTCTGATGATAGTTTCTTTTGCAGTGCAGAAGCTCTTTAGTTTAATTAGATCCCATTTGTGAATTTTTGCTTTTGTTGCAATTGCTTTTGGTGATTTCATCATGAAATCTTTGCCCATGCCTGTGTCCTCATTGGTATTGCCTAGATTTTTTGCTAGGATATTTATAGTTTTGGGTTTTACATTTAAGTCTTTAGTCCATCTTGAGTTAATATTTGTATCAGGTGTAAGGAAGGGGTCCAGTCTCAATTTTCTGCATATGGCTAGCCAGTTCTCCCAGCACCATTTATTAAATAGGGGATCCTTTCACCATTGCTTGTTTTTGTCAGGTTTGTCGAAGATCAGATGGTTGTAGATGTGTGGTCTTATTTCTGAGTTCTCTATTCTGTTCCATTGGAGCGTGATGTCTCCAGCTTTGTTCTTTTTGCTTAGGATTGTCTTGGGTATGTGAGCTCTTTTTTGGTTCCATATGAATATTAAAATAGTTTCTTCTAATTCCATGAAGAATGTCAATGGTAGTTTAATGAGTATAGCATTTAATCTATAAATTACTGTGGGCATTATGGCCACTTTCATGATATTGATTCTTCCTATCCATAAACATGGAATGTTTTTCCGTTTGTTTGTGTTCTCTCTAATTTCCCTGAGCAATAGTTTGTAGTTCTCCTTGAAGAGGTCCTTCACTTCCCTTGTTAGCTGTATTCCTAGGTATTTTACTCTCTTTGTGACAATTGTGAATGGGAGTTCATTCATGATTTGGGTCTCTGCTTGTCTGTTGTTGGTGCATAGGAATGCTTGTGTCTATTGCACGCTAATTTTGTATCCTGAGACTTTGCTCAAGTTGCTTATCAGCTTAAGATGCTTTTGGGCTGAGGCGATGGGGTTTTCTAGATATAGGATCATGTTATCTGCAAACAAAGAGAGCTTGACTTCCTCTCTCCCTATTTGAATACCCTTTATTTCTTTCTCTTGCCTGATTACCCTGGCCAGAAATTCCAATACTATGTTGAATAGGAGTGGTGAGGGAGGGCATCCTTGTGTTGGTTTTCAAGGGGAATGCTTCCAGCTTTTGTGCATTTAGTATTATGTTGGCTGTGGGTTTGTCATAAACATCTCTCATTATTTTGAGTTATGTTCCATCAATACTTAGTTTACTGAGAGTTTTAAACATGAAGGGATGTTGAATTTTATTGAAGGCCTTTTCTGCATCTATTGAGATAATCATGTGGTTTTGTCATTGGTTCTGTTTATGCGATAAATTATGTTTATTGATTTGCGTATGTTGAACCAGTGTTGTACCCCAGGTATGAAGCTGACTTGATCATGGTGAATAAGATTTTTGATGTGCTCCTCTATTTGGTTTGCCAGTATTTTATTGAGAATTTTTGCATCGATGTTCGTCACGGATATTGGCTTGAAGTTTTCTATTTTTGTTGTATATCTGCCAGGCTTTGGTATCAGGATGATGCTGGCCTCATAAAATGAATTAGGGAGGAGTCCCTCCCTTTCAATTGTTTCGAATAGTTTCATAAGCAAGGATGTTATCTCCTTTTCATACCTCTGATAGAATTCAGCTGTAAATCCATCTGGTCCTGAGCTTTTCTTGGTTGGTAGGCTATTTATTACTGCCTTAATTTCAGAACTTGTTATTGGAGTATTCAGGGAATTGACTTCTTCCTGGTTCAGTCTTGGGAGGGTGTATGTGACCAGGACTTTATTCTTTGTTCTAGATTTTTTAGTTCATTTGCATAGAGGTGTTTATAGTATTCTCTGATGGTTGTTTGTTTTTCTGTGGGGTAAGTGGTGATATCCCTACAATCATTTTTTTATTGTGTCTATTTAATTCTTCTCTCTTTTCTTCTTTATTATTCTAGCTAGGAGTCTATTTCATTAATTTTTTTCAAAAAGCCAGCTCCTGGATTCACTGATTTTTTGAAAGTTTTTTTTGTGTCTCTATCTCCTTCAATTTCACTCTGAGCTTGGTTATTTCTTGCCTTGTGCTAGCTTTGGTGTTTGTTTGCTCTTGGTTCTCCAGTTTTTTTAGCTTTGATGTTAGGTTGTTAACTTGAGATGTTTCTAGCTTTTTTTTTCTCTGAAAAGTTTGTTTGTTTTAATACAATTAAACATTTCATTCACCCCCCCATGGTAATCAAAGCAAATATTTTATCATTATTTTTATCATTATTATTCTTGGTATATCAAACTAAATTCCAGGAATGTAAGAAAGTCTGACTTGGAAATATTACATAGAAAAGGGCTGAATTGCCAATAGACACATGAAAAAATGCTCATCATCACTGGTGATCAGAGAAATCCAAATCAAAACCAAAATAAGATACCATCTCACGTCAATTAGGATGGCGATCATTAAAAAGTCAGGAAACAACAGATGCTGGAGAGGATGTGGAGAAATAGGAACACTTTTACACTGTTGGTGGGAGTGTAAATTAGTTCAACTATCGTGGAAGACAGTGTGGCGATTCCTCAAGGATCTAGAACTAGAAATACCATTTGATCCAGCAATCCCATTACTGGGTATATACCCAAAGGATTATAAATCATGCTACTATAAAGACACATGCACACATATGTTTATTGTGGCACTATTCACAATAGTAAAGACTTGGAACCAACACAAATGTCCATCAATGATAGACTGGATTAAGAAAATATGGCACATATACACCATGGAATACTATGCAGCCATAAAAAAGGATGAGTTCATGTCCTTTGCAGGGACATGGATGAAGCTGGAAACCATAATTCTCAGCAAACTATCACAAAGACAGAAAACCAAACACTGCATGTTCTCACTCATAGGTGGGAATCGAACAATGAGAACACTTGGACACAGGGCGGGGAACATCACACACTGGGGCCTGTCAGCAGGTTGGGGGTTGCAGAGGGATAGCATTAGGAGAAATACCTAATGTAAATGATGAGTTGATGGGTGCAGCAAACCAACATGGCACATGTATACCTATGTATCAAACCTGCACATTGTGCACTTGTACCCTAGAACTTAAAGTATAATAATAAAAAAAAAAGTACAAGTAAATTAAAAAAAAAAAAAGAAAAGGGCTGAATTAACACATTAAATTTTTTAGGCTTTCCTTGTAAGTATACATTGACATCTACTTATCTGATAGCAGCACTGCTGGTTTTGAGTGAGTTTTGTTTTGTTTCCTTCCAGAGGGAATTCAGTATGGCAGTATTATCTTTGGAACAAATTAAGAAGATAGTAACAAATAACAGAAGAAATACTTCTATACATATATTTTCCATGGGCAATAAATAGATAAGTATATAATTATGAAAAAATATGACTCAACTATGCTTTTTAAAATTTCTCAAGGTTTACTGGTTTGTTTTTCTTATTAAAATATAATGCACTATCACTACTATCTGTCCTGGGAAAAACAAACCCTGAGGTTTGAGTTTCCTCCTTCAGCCAATAGAGTGATATCAAGAGTAAACGTGGATTGAGGTCAAACTGTTTGAGCCAAAAGAGAGTTCTGTAGTATATCTGGTTATTTTACTAATATATACATATTCTAGGTTATAATCAAGATACTCATCAAATATTTTCTACCAAAGTTTTGTATCTCAAACAGGTTCTTTGATGATTTATCATGCTGCTATAGGAAATTTGAAGAAATAACAAATTGTGTAACAGAAATAGACAGTATCTACCTTTTTCTAGAATTACCTTGAACCTTAAATTTTAAATCATGTTTATTGCTAGAAAATTAAGTATACTTATTTAAACCAATGAAAAAGCACATTTCTGAAAGGAAGTTAGAGATAATCTCTGTGTTTTGTGAAAAGGCATTAATAAAAATCTGAGAGTAGCTAAGAATTTGGAGGAATTTATGTAAAAGCAATCAGAGTTTTTAACTTATGGGAACCAAATAAAACTATAACCTCTTATTGTGTTTATAGAAGTGAGAAAGAATATTTATTTAACTTTATTACGAGGCAATACATATTTTCCTGTATTTCTAGATACAGTTTGGAAAACTATCCTTAATAGTCTGTTTTATATGCCTTATATTTAAAGTTTGTTTTAGTCATTTTTGAAAGACTATTGCTGCTGCAAATAGTTGTGTGCTTTACATTCTAAGCTTCAGTAAATGTCTTTGTTTAAAAGTATCAGTCTGACCTGAGCATCCACTTGGAGAATGTTTTTTTGTGTGTGGTCTAGGGTGACAAAAGACCACAAAAATGTGTGGTCTAGATTTTTATCAACTATATAATTAACTTTATGATCCAAGACCAGCTATAGGACAATCTATATGTAAAAATAAAGTCTTATTTATGGAAGGAACTATTCTAAGGGAAAAATACAGGGTCAAACTGTATCTTTTATGTCCTCTATATTGCATGTTTCTAGCTTTTTGATGTGGGCATTTAGTATTATAAATTTCTCTCTTAACACAGCTTTAGCTGGTACATTGTCTCTTTGTTCTCAATAGTTTCAAAGAACTTCTTGATTTTTCCTTAATTTCATTGTTTAACCAGGAGTCATTCAGGAGCACATTGTTCAATTTCCATGTAGTTGTGTGGTTTTGAGTGAGTGTCTTAATCTTGAGTTCTAATTTAATTGTGCTATGGTCTGAGAGACTATTTATTATTATTTCAGTTCTATTGCATTTGCTGAGGAGTGATTTAGTTCCAATTATGTGATCAATTTTATAATAAATGCCTGTGGTGCCAAGAAGAATGTATATTCTGTTGTTTTTGGGTGGAGGGTTCTGTAGATACCTATCAGGTCCACTTGAACCAAGGCTGAATTTGAGTCTTGAATATTTTTGTTAATTTTCTGTCTCAATGATCTCTCTAATATTGACAGTGGGGTGTTACAGTGTCCCACTATTATTGTGTGGGAGTCTGAGTCTCTTTTTAGGTTTCTAAGAACTTGTTTTATAAATCTGGGTATTCCTGTATTGTGTGCATATATATTTAGAATAGTTAGCTCTTCTTGTTGAATTGCCCTTATCATATTATCATTATGTAATGCCCTTCTTTGTCTTTATTTTTATCTTTGCTGGCTTAAGGTCTGTTTTGCCAGAAACTAGGATTACAACCCCTGCTTTTTTTCTGTTTTCCATTTGCTTGGTAAATTTTCCTCCACTCCTTTATTTTGAGCCTATGCCTGTCTTTGCATGTGAGACGGGTCTCTTGAATACAGCACACTGGAGGATCTTGACTCTTTATCCAGCATGCCATTCTGTGTCTTTTAATTGGGGTGTTTAGCCCATTTGCATTTAAGGTTAATATTGTTATGTGTGAATTTGATTCTGTCATCGTGATGCTAGCTGATTATTTTGCAGACTTGTTTATGTAGTTGCTTCATAGTGTCATTGGTCTGTGTACTTCAGTGTGTTTTTGTAGTGGCTGGTAATGGTTTTTCCTTTCCATATTTAGTGCTTCCTCCAGGAGCTCTTGCAAGGCAGGCCTGCTGGTGATGAATTCCCTCAGCATTTGCTTGTCTGAAAAAGTTTTATTTCTCCTTCACTTATAAAGGTTAGTTTGGCTGGATATGAAATTCTAGGTTGGAAATTCTTTTCTTTAAGAATGTTGAATATTGACCCCCAACTTCTTCTGGCTTGTAGGGTTTCTGCTGAGAGGTCTGCCGTTAGTCTGCTGGGATTCCCTTTGTAGGTGACCTGGCCTTTCTCTTTGGCTGCCCTTAACATATTTTCCTTCATTTCAACATTGGAGAATCTGATGATTATGTGTCTTGGGGTTGATCTTCTCTGGAGTATCTTACCAGGATTCTCTGGATTTCCTGAATTTGAATGTTGGCCTGTCTTGCTAGGTTGGGAAATTTTTCTTGGATGATATCCTGCAGTGTGTTTTCCGACTTGGTCCCATTCTCCCCATCTCTTTCAGGTACCCCTAATCAGTCACAGGTTTGATCTTTTTACATAATTCCATAGTTCTCAGAGGTTTTGTTCATTCCTTTTCATTCTTTCTTTCCTCTAATCTTGCCTTCCTGCCTTATTTCAGCAAGATAGTCTTCGAGCTCTGATATCCTTTCCCCTCTTGGTCTATTTGACTTTTGATACTTATGTTTGCATTGTGAAGTTCTTGTATTGTGTTTCAGCTCCATCAGATCATTTATGTTCCTCTCTAAACTGGTTATTCTGGTTAATGGCCCCTGTAA
Organism: Homo sapiens; assembly: GCF_000001405.40. Taxonomy (NCBI): domain Eukaryota; kingdom Metazoa; phylum Chordata; class Mammalia; order Primates; family Hominidae; genus Homo; species Homo sapiens. The sequence continues at coordinate 15,199,812 of NC_000017.11, read as the reverse complement.
TGTTTTATCATGGTTCTTAGCTTCTTTGCAATAAGTTAGAACATACTCCTTTAGCTCAGCAAGGTTTTTTATTACTGTCTTCTGAAGCCTACTTCTGTCAGTTCATCCATCTCAGCCTCATACCAGTTCTGTGCCCTTGCTGGAGACATGTTGTAATCATTTGGAGGAGAAGAGGCACTCTGGCTTTTTGAGTTTTCAGTGTTTTTGCATTGATTCTTTTTCATCTTCATGGGTTTATTTATCTTTGACCTTTGAGGCTGCTGACCTTTGGATGGGGTTTTTGTGGGGCATTTTTCATCGATGTTTCTTTCCATTTGTTTTTCTTTTAGCAGACAGGGCCCTCTTCCACGGAGCTGTTGCAGTTTGCTGGGAGTCCACTTCAGACCCTATTTGCCTGGATTCCTCTTGCCCCTGCAGGTATCGCCAGTGGAGGCTGCAGAATAGCAAAGATAGCAACCTGCCCCTTCCTCTCAGAGCTCTGTCTTAGAGGGGTACCAACCTGATGCCCACTGGAATGGTCCTGTATGAGGTGTCTGGAGACCCCTGTTGGGGGATCTCACCCAGTCAGGAGGAATGGGATCAGAGACCTGCTTAAATAAGCAGTTTGGCAGCCCCTTGGCAGAGCAGGTTTGCCTCACTGGGAGGAATCCCCCTTGTCTGGGCTGCCTTGACTCTCTAGATCTGGAAGGCAGAAAAGACTAAGACTACTGATCCATGATACTGCTGCCACCCCTCCTCCTATGGGCTTCTTTCAGGGAGATCAGAGATTTGTCCATAAACCCCTGGCTGGGGATGTTAAAACTCCTGAAGGGAGACCCTTCCTGGTGAGGAAGAATGGGTCGGGGTCCCACTTAAAGAAGCAGTCTGGACATGAACCATCACAGCTGCTGTGCTGTGCTGTGGAGAATTGCTCCTGGTCCAAACTGCCTAGTCTTGCTGGCACTGGCAGCAGGAAAAATGGCCAAATGGAGCCACAGTGATGGTGGCCACCCCTCCCTGCCCCACCAGAACTTGGTCTTCTTAAGCAGTCTCCAGCTTGCTGTGCTGGTCAGGGGGGATTCCAAGCCAGTGAGTTTTAGCTTGTGGAGTTCCTTGGGAGTGGGGCCTGCTGAATGGGGACACTTGGCTCCCTGGTTTCAGCCTCCTTCCCAGGGGTGTGGACAGATCTCCTGTGTCACTGGAGTTCCCAGAGCCAGAATATGCAGACTCCTGTGTCTCAGTGCCTGACTGAGTGGCTGCCCACTCAAGCAACTGCCATGAGTCTGCACAGCTCTGTGCTTGGGACCCAAGTTCCTGGTGGTGTTGGGCTCATGAAGAGACCTCCTGATCCAAAGGTTACAAAGCTCTGTGGGGAAAGCAAGGTTTTCAGGGTGGAGTAGCACAATCCCTCACTACCTGTCTTGGCTGTGGGAGGGAGTTTCTGTTGCCCCTTGCAGCTCCTGGGTAAGCCCTCACTCCACTCCGCTTTTCCTCATTCTCCATGGGTTGCACCAACTGCCTGGTCAGTCCCCATGAGAGAACCTGGGTACCTCAATTGAAGATGCAGAACTCACTTGCTGTTTTCGTTCTTCCCAGTGGGAGCCACAGACCAGAGCTGTTTCTATTCAACCATTTTGGCTGCTTCCCCCACGTAGTAGCTTTTTTTGTGGATTCCATCAGGTTTTCTGTGTAGATGATGATGTCATTTATGAGTAAACACTGTACTTCTTCATTTATAATCTTGATGCCTTTGTTTCTTTTTCAGGCCTTATTGCATTGGCTAGGACCACCACTAACAATGTTAAATAGAAGTGGTGAGAGCATACATCTCTGGCTTGTTCTTGATCATAGTAGAAAGGTATTCAGCCTTCCACCGTTAAGTATGATGTTACTATACATCATTTGCAGATGTCCTGTATCAGGTTGAAGAAATTTTCTTCTATTCATACTTTGCTAGGAGCGTTTTTAATATCAGGTATTAATGGTAAATTTTGTCAAATCTTTTTGACAGCTGTCAAGATGATTATGTGATTTTTCATTTTCAATTCGTTAATATGAAGGATTATATTGTTGACTTACAAATATTAAACCAATCCTGAATTCTTGGGATAAACTTCACTTGGTCATGATGTATTATCCCTTTTATATATTGTTGGCTTTTTTTGCTAAAATTTTATTTAGATACAAGTAGACTTATCACAAGCAATTGGCTTGGTAATTGTGAGGACGGCCAAGCAAGTCTGAAATTCATAGGTCGGGCAGTCAAGAAGAGATAATGAACAGGCTAGCACTTCAGAGACACAGGCCAAAGCAGTTGTTTACAGAGAGTCAAGAAGGGAAGATCCAGTGAGAGAAGAACAATTGTAGATCCAATTGCTCTTTGGAGTCTGTTCAGGGACTTTTATGTGGCTTCCACTGATTCGGTCAGGCCCACCCAGGTAATCTTTTGTACTTAAAGTTGACTTGTTAGGGATGTTAATAATTACATCTGCAAAATTCATTCACAGCAGCACCTAGACTAGTGTTTGGCTGAATTCTAGTTGGGTGGCAGAGCATGGGATGGTTGGGTAAAGGAAGAAAGAGTTCAATCTACAAGCTCAGTGTGTCTGATACTTTTGGGGACAAAGGAGAGAGAACAGTAAAAACAGAAACAATAATAAAGCAAAGGTGGGTTGTGAGAAAATAGAAGAAGAGAAGAGAGAGAAGAGAAGAATAGAAGAAGAGAGAGAAGAGAGGAATAGAAGAAGAGAAGAGAGGAGTTTTAAGTAGTCTTGACTGAATTGTACATTTAATCTCCATTATGATTCTTCTGTCAGTCTAAATAACAGAAATAGACTCTCTAAAATAAAAGATGTTTAAGAATAGAGGATTGCAGTGGCAATACACATGCCATTGTAAACTATGTGTGTATTCAAGGAGGTAACCCGAGGTAAAGGAAGAGAAAAGTTTTTAGAGGAAAAAGTGAGGAGGATTACATGTTTGTCTTAAAATAATTATCCTTGGCTACAAGGATCAATAACAAGGATAATGCCAGTCTGAGGTTGGACAGAGAGCTGCTGGACAGATGTCCTTGCAGAAGTTTTTTTTTTTTTTTTGTATGAAATTGTGATGACCTTTATGTAAGGTGAGGTTTTATAGTCTTTTTCATTAACAGGCAAATAAGCATAAGAACCCTCTCTTTGTGGCCTTCCCTGACTCTATTTGTCAGGGGTTTCTTAACATGAGTGACTTTATTTCAATTCTGACAACTTTCACATTTCAAATAAATATTTAAATGATTTTTCAAAAATTACCTTTGATGGCTGCACATTTCCCTGAGCTTGAACTGCATAGAATCCCAGAATTTATTCAGGGTACAACTGTTCAGTGAGGATGTTGGGCCATGATCTCTAAGGGTCCTTAGGGTCCTCACTGACACTTTAGGAAGAGGCTCTTAATGCTGCCTTGGGTTTTAGAAGCATTCATTCTTTTTTCTTCAGAGAATAAGGAGCTGAACAGAATATGATGGTCTTCTGTTTCCCAGTCCATTGGAACATGGTATTCTTCCTTTCCCTTATGTAAATACCTCTTATGACCAGGTCCTTACCATGCATACAAAACTCCATGACCTGGCCCTTACATACCTCTTATATCTTAGTTCCTACCACCATTGCCCTCGTTCATTCTGTTTTGTACATAATAGTCATCTTGCTGTTCCCCAAAGATACCAAATGTGTTTCTATGCCAGGGCTGCTCCACTTGCTGATTCTTTTCCATGGAATCCTCCCTACTCAGATATTCCCATGCCTTCCTTCCTCTTGCTTTTTGCTTAGCTTTATGCTACTTGATCCTTTTTTTTTTTTTTTAGATGGAGTTTCAATCTTGTCACCTAGGCTGGAGTACAATGGCACGATCTTGGCTCACTGCAACCTCTGCCTCCTGGCTTCAAGCAATTATCCTGGCTCAACCTCCCCAGTAGCTGGGATTACAGGCACCTATCACCACACCCAATTAATTTTTGTATTTTTAGTAGAGGCGGGGTTTCACCGTGTTGGCCAGGCTGGTCTCGAACTCCTGACTTCAGGTGATCCACCCACCTCGGCCTCGCAAAGTGATCGGATTACAGGCGTAAGCCACCATGCCTGGTCTACGTGACACTTCTTAAGAGGGGAGTTCCATGACAAAACCTATTTAAAATTGCATCTCCATCTCTATCCCCTGGTTTATTTGTCATCATAGATAACAATACTGACATTTTATTGAGCATTCTGTATTTATTCATATATTTACTTCTCCTTACTCTCCTTCAACAAAGCGCCAAGGGGAAATTACCTTGTCTTGCTTGTGGCTGTGTTCCCAGTGCACAAAATGATGCTTAATAAGTATTTGTTGAATGAATAAAGAATGAACAAATGATGGGACTTACTGCTCAATCACTTTGGCAGAATCTCAAGGAGCATAACCCAATATAAGACAACATGAGAAATAAAAGAAATGCAGGCATCTAAGCTCTTGAGAGATTTCAGACTAATGGAGTGGGGAGTGTGGGGAAAGGAAAGATAGATGTAGAGTCAGAATCTCTGTGGCATGCTTATAGTTTGACCTGAGTTCAAAATGATGTGGGTGCCTCCCCAACTGAGAAATACTACTGTCATCTACCATTTGTCTATTGCTTTACTGTGTACACACTAGAGTGTTTCTGCACGCTATTTCTTTGATGATGTATGTGAAAATTGATATGAAAAGCTGAACTTACAAAATAGACCAATTAAAGGGTGACTGTTTGCATTACAGAAGAATTCTTTGTGGTATAAAAGGATTAGCTGTGGGGTTTCTTTAAATAGCATCTCCCCTAGTGCATTAAAGTGTTTATTTATAGATCATTAACTACTTGACCAAGATGCTGCAGGGCAGAGTAGCTTAAAGACAACTGGTCAGGAGGCCCTACCAGTGGAAGATCAATTAAACTCAAGACAAAGTGCCTTTGAAATAGTACTTCAAGTCAATGGGATAGAGGATTCAATTACCTAAATTTGTTTCATCTGGGTAGGGAGTGCATGCATTGAGTGAACAGCACACCTGTGTGTTCTCATTCACATAGAACCAACGTGAGTGTGTTCTCCAGTCTATGTGCCTAAACTCTGATATGTCCAGGGTCATAGCTATGTTTGGCCTCCTTTTTGTTGTGCTTTAATTAAGAGGTAAAATTATTAAAGTGGCAGATGTTTCCAGCCCGAGAACCTGGACCCAGTTATATCAAGCAGATGGTCCCAAGCAAGACAACATCCTTTAATGAAGAAGCATTTGCAATTCATGAGAATTCATGATGTCCATTTCTTTCCCTCTCCAATGTTCTGCTTGTCAGGGGTCCCATTGTGTGGCCTGGGAGCATGATGAATTAGGCAAACCCCTTCTGGTTTGAGACATGCTCTTGCACTGATGAAAATTAAAAGTATTATCTCACAGAAGATCAAGAGATTCAGTTCTCTAGAGTGGAGACTTCTGCCCTCCCTCCTATCGGCCTGGTGATAAGGCTGAGAGTCATCATCTGTGTCACCGGCATTTCCCAGTATGTGACTTGGCTCTGAAGACCCAGAGCTGTGAAAGAACTTACTTTCTCCTCCATTTGATTCCTGCGTCATTCACCTTGGGGTCATTTTGATCCTTTGCCAGGATGATGGGCAGGTTGAGACTCAGGAAAGACTATTATTTGCAGGCAAAATATTCTGGCTGGATACCAGCAAGGTTGGATTCCGCTTTTGATGTCCAGTATGACCTAGGGCAAATAACACACACACACACACACACACATGCACGTCTCTCAATCAGTGTCTTCATTTTTATGTATTCATGTATTCAATAAATAGTCACTGAGAGTCTACTCTGGGGAAGTCAACTGAGTAAAAAGGGGGATAATAAAATTTACCCTCCTTATCTTGCAACAGGACAGTGAGAATCAAATTAGATCATTGAAAGGATGCTATTTAAAATAGTCATTAAGTTAATGTAGGAGTCAATAGTGATATAAGGCCAGGACATTATGCCATGGACTATGACCAATGAGAGAAAAACACCTTGGTCATAGACACATGGAATAAAGCCAGAGAACAACAAAAATGATGGGTTTTACATTCATAGATTGGAGTTCATGTTTATCCCTTTTTAAAAGCCTGCATCTGTAAATGACAGCTAACATTTTATAGAAAAAATCTCAGGTGCTATAAATTAAAGTTCTTATGCGAATATCAAGCAGAATGCCCAAAAGAAATTCCAGGGCAGGGGTGGCCTGGAGCCATGATGACTTCATAGGTGCATTGCCTTCTGTTTTCCTCTGTCCTTCTAGAAGCACTTCTAGCACCTTTGCACACCTCCTAGAGCCCACAACCTTCTCCGAACTCTGAGTTCTCAGTCTCCTGGCATTTTCACAGCACCTTTTGGGCAAATGATGGTGATTAAATACTTCTTTCGGGAATGCCCTGGTTAGGAGATGTATCACTCCCTTCTCCACTCCAAAGGCTTCTGTGCCTAATATCTGTTGACTGGGAGCTGAGAAACCATCAGATGAACTCATTCACTCTGAGGCATAAATAAGTAGCATAATTTGGCTTCGGTAGAAGGAGTTCATTGCCTTGTTTCCTTAACTCTCACATGGCTCTACTGTATAATGTGCCATTGACTTGATAAGAACTCCTCAAGAAAAAGGAATTGATTCATCAAATGTATAATCAATCATAGGCATATCCCAATTTAAAAAGTTTTAATATACAAAAACATATGTATTTTTATCAAAGAAAGATAGTACAAAAGATCAAAGATTTTCACGAAACCTAAGGGTGGCAATGTAGCGTTCTGCACTGTGTCGTGTTAACCTGACTTTATTACATTTCATCCCTGTGAGATAAATTAAGGGGGAAGGGAAGAGGAAGCAAGTGATTATGGCAAAAAGATTTTAGACTTCATTTTAGAAACTTTGGGGGTCTTCATTCATAAAACTGTGAAAATAATAGCAACCTTAGAGTGGTTGTGAGAATTAATAACAAAGGATGGCTGTGAAAATTAAATAAGGTAATTGAGATAAAGGGCCCAGTATGTGTCCTGACACATGACATGTGCTCAGTAAATATTAGTTTCATTCAATCCACCCCTTCTTGTTATTTTGTTCATAGTGATTGGCAGCTAGCATAGGAAATATGGAGTAGAACATGTAATTCATATAAATCAGGTGGAATATGAAAGTTATTAAAAATGTTCATCGATGAGGAGATAAGAGAAATGAGAAGAAGGTGGGCTGCAGTTATAAAAAGGTCAGCACAACTTTGCATGCAAGTGACAGAAATCTAGACCAAAGTACCTTAAATGAGGTAGATAATTTATTAGCAATTACATTACAAATGTAAATGGAATATCCAAGAAAGATCTGGCATCAGGCACATATAGTAACAGAGCCGGTAACATCAGTGTCAGGATTCTGTCTCTCTATTCATATCGTGGAAATTGTTGCCTCTGCCTGGCAACTTTCTCAGATAGCTTCCTGCCATAGATCATAGGCAAGATGGCCTCCAGCAGCCACCAGCCCATATGGTCCGTAGAGCCCATGACCCCTGAGAAGGAGGACCATCCTTTCTCATAGCTCCTATAAAGCCAGGTTCTAGGGAAGACGCTCCCCCTGGATCACGTGTTCATCTCCAGACCAATGTGAGTGGGGACTGGACAACTGATTGGTCAGATGTAGGTCTTGTGTTCACTTCTGTGGTAGTGAGCATGACCTGAGCCCCACTAAAACACATGGATGAGGAACAAGGGAGTGGTTTCCTGAGGGAAGTCTGCTGGTCAGACGAATCCTATGTGCACTGCAGTTTATACTTGAGTAAAGATGGTGGCTTGATCCCACACATTTAACTCTTTATGTGTGGATGCACATAAGTCTCAATGTTTAAAAATTATCAAATCTATTTAAAAATAAAGAAAATTTTGGGCCAGACATGGTAGCTTATGTCTGTAATCCCAGCACTTTGGGAGGTCGAGGTGATATGGAAGGGAGACAGAGAAGTGCTACGTAGAAGAGGGCATGGTCCCTGATAAGGGCTCCACTCCCCAGCCTGTGACCACGGACCTAGGTGAGGACAGGCACTCCTGCCTTTGCACCCAAATGTTGCATTTCCCAAGACCACCCTGGCCCACCATGCCCCCATCCTGTGCCTATAAAAACCCCCGAGACCCTAGCAGACATGCACACAAGCCGCTGGACGTCAAGAGGAATGCACCGGTGGGCCCCAGACCGCTGGCTGGCCACCGACTGGCAGAAGCAGAATGATGTGGAGTTTCGCTGGGGCAGTTGGAGGAGAGCCCAGGCCGTTGAGCAGCCTGACTCCAGGGGAAAACCTCCCCACTCTATCCCCCTTCTGCCTTCCCTCATCTGCTGAGAGCTACCTCCACTCAATAAAACTCTGTACTCATTCTCCAAGCCCAGGTGTGATCCAGTTCTTCCAGTACACCAAGGCGAGAACCCGGGATACAGAAAGCTCTCTGTCCTTGCAACAAGGTAGAGGGTCTAATTGAGCTGGTTAACACAAGCCACCTACAGATGGCATAACTAAAAGAGCACATGGTAGCACGTGCCCACTGAGGCTTCGGGAGCTGTAAACATCCACCCCTAGACACTGCCGTGGGGTTGGAGCCCCACAACCTTCCCGTCTGTATGCTCCCCTAGAGGTTTCAGCAGTGGGGCACTGAAGAAGCAAGCCACTCCCTCTGTCTCACACCCTGCGAGGGGGATAAGGGAACTTTTCCCATTTCAGGGGCAGGTGGATCCCTTGAGCCCAGGAGTTCAAGACCAGCCTGGGCAACATAGTGAGACCCTGTCTCTACAAAAAATAAAAATAAAGAAATAAAAATAACGAAGAATGTGTATCCACATTAGTACATGACCTCACACTAGACACTAGACACTTTGAGTTGCATGTGTTCAATATATAAGAAATGTGTTCAATACACAACATTAGGAGAATGTTTAAACTAACATATATTTCCTGTGTGGAAAAGAATAGCTCATTTAAGAAATAAATGCCATTCTGATCTAAAGCATCCTTTGATACCTTTTAATTTAGATCAGAAAGGGACAGTGGAGAGGGTGGGTATTGGGCCCTGTGGCCATGGAGGGATGGGCTGGATGCAAATGCTACCTATACCTCTGGGAAAAGCACCTCATGTTGGAGGTCGCACAGTGGGAAGTGCTCTGTGATGCATACTCCCAGGGTGGTCCTGGCTGGCATAAAGCAGGAGAGCTGCCACAGATATGCCCCAATAAAGAGGCATGGTAGTGAGCCACCAGCTCACTGGCTACATATCTTCCAATTGCCACAACAAATATGAAAGAGGAGCTCTGTGAAGAAAGGACTAAGCTCCCTTATTCTTCCTGCTGCTGGGTCTTGAATCTGACAAAGTGATGCTAGAGTAAATTTAAGCCATTATGTCCTCAGAATGATAAAATATTAAAATGGTAACTATGCAATTTCTGAGAAAAATCTATCTCTACTCCAAATACTAGATCAACCTCCTTTGAAAGGTTGGGAAAAACATATAGATCATAGCCATTGGAAAAGCTATAGCTTCAAGAAAAGAACGGATATGAGGATAAAACAATGCTCTTTCAACTGGTATTGAAAGACTCAAGGTGACATTGCAGCGATAAAATGTGCATTATGAAGAGAAAACAGTGTGAGATTGCATGAGGATGAAACCACCGTCAAATTTCAAAAACGGAGGCAGTAAACAATGTTTTGATTTGTGCTGAAAGTCATCAAAATTAGAACACATAAAAATGATGAGAAAATAGATAAATGTTAAGATGAACTGATCTAGGAAAGTTTATCTATATGTTTTTTCCAAATTAAGGAATTATCCACTTCAGAAGGCTTGGTACAATACAAATTTTATATATAGGCTTCTTGAGCAGATAAGCGGGCCTGGCTGATACCGGAAAACTAGGAGCTGTCCCAGGCTTGGGTGGAATATTAAAGAATTCTATGAATGACACAGAGGAAACTTTGAAGCACTCTTGGACCAGAAGTGGTTGGACTCTAATTCATCAGTATTAGCCAACCCTGATGGCCAGACTGAATTCTGAGATGCAAGCTTGGATTTCAGATACCCCACTGACCAAGTGAGAACCTAGTTGTTGTATTTCCTCAGGGCACTAGATCAATGTATACTAGCTATTTTCCCATGGCTGATCCACAGCAAAACTTTCACCCACGCAATAAACTCCTTTGGCTTCACATTAGTGTCCGGGGCCCTGGGCTACACTGGGTCATAGGTGCGATGCGACCAATCGGGACGTATCTTTAGTCCCATTTCTGTGGCCTTTACCATCAGAACCATTCCTGCAGTCATCTGATTTCTTCCCAGCCCATAGGTAAAAAGATTCAAGAAGAAGTTAAGTTTTTCTTCCTGAGATGTCTCTGTTAACTCAGAATATTCTAAATTAAGTAAAATGATATTAGGAATTTTGTTTTTTTCTTAACGTGAAATTGGATTTTCACATTTTAACTGGATTAAAACAAAAATGAAGTATCAAAATACATTGCACTGTGAAATATAGATTCTAAATGGAAAGATTTGTATCAAGAAAACAATTGTGTATGGTACAGTACCATTAAATAACATTTTGAATTGTGTTAGTAGTTTTCAAATTTATCTTCTTCCTCCTTGCTCCCTTTTTAGATGTCAATGCAAAGTTGTCATCTGTCCTTTTTGGGAGACTGTCATATATTCTGAAATTATATTTTTGTTACTTATAAGTTTCTCTTTTTAAACAAAGTGATAGTGATGGTAGAAGATCACCTTCAAAAAGTTCTATCTTGGCAAAATAAGGCAACTGTGGCAACAAATGTTTCTAATAGATTCAGTACCTCTTCTCTGCCTCTTCTGTTTACCTTCTCATTAAGTATCTGGCAGTCTTTGAGGGACCATGGCCAAGGTGCTTTTTCCTAGGTTCTGGATAATCGGGACTTTTTTTTTTTTTTTTTTTTTTTTTTTTTTTTTTTTTGAGATGGAGTCTTGCTCTTTCGCCCAGACTGGAATGCAGTGGTGCGATCTCGGCTCACTGCAACCTCCACTTCCTGGGTTCAAGTGATTCTTATGCCTTAGCCTCCCAAGTAGCTGGGACTACAGGCCTGTGCCACCACACCTTGCTAATTTTTGTATTTTTAGTAGAGAGGGGTTTCACCATCTTGGCCAGGCTGGTATCGAACTCCTGACCTTGTGATCTGCCTGCCTCGGCCTCCCAAAGTGCTGGGATTACAGGCATAAGCCACTGTGCCCGGCCAATCAGGACTTTAAATCTGGATGAAAGAAAACATTTTCCTTGTGGCAGCTGCTGCTCTTGTTTCTTTCTTATTTCAGACTCCCATGTATGTGTCTGAATTCTTATATGTGTATTTATATAATTATTTTAAATATTATATTTTTTAGTTCTAAAACCTCCATGTGGACCTTTTATTATTGTAGTTTTTTTTTTACTGAAATAATGATTGCTTCATTCATTGTGAGTATATTTTTATTTATTTCCTATAGCATAATTATAATGATGGTTTAACATCTTAATTCAAACTCTCCATTATTTTATTTCTTGAGAATGGGTCACATTTTCATTTTTACAAATTTGTCATATAATTTTTGAAATGTAACCTGGACATTAAAAATGTATTGTGGAAACTCTGGACTCTTTTATATTCTTCTTAAGAGGATTGATTTTTGTTTGTTTTAGTGGGCAATTGATTTAATTAGACTAAAACTGAAAATTATGTTTCTTGGGCAGCAACATGAATTTCAGTTCAGTTATTTTACTCTTATCTAAGCTGCTTGGGGTCTGTCCCACACATGCATAGGGAGGGGATTAGCCAGAAATTTGATCTAAGTATATATTCAGGATTTGGTGCTCCCTCTATGGCTCTGCCCTTTCTTTTTCTTTTTCTTTTTTTTTTTGAGACGGAGTCTTGCTGTGTTGCCCAGGCTGGAGTGCAGTGGTGCGTTCTTGGCTCACTGCAACCTCCACCTTCCCGGGTTCATGCCATTCTCCTGCCTTAGCCTCCTGAGTAGCTGGGATTACAGGTGCCCACCACCACGCCCGGCTAATTTTTTTGTATTTTTAGTAGAGATGGGGTTTCACCATGTTAGCCAGGATGGTCTCGATCTCCTGACCTCGTGATCTGCCTGCATCAGCCTCCCAAAGTGCTGGGATTACAGGCGTGAGCCACCACACCCGGCCTGTCTCTGTCCTTTCTAAGTCTCCCTCCTCACTGTCCACGGCTTGTGGTCACCTCAAACTCTTTCTAATAGTTCTTTGTACCAGAAAAATCAGTAAGTTTTTTCATTAAAGCTTCAGCCACCCCCATATGGTAAAGATTAGGGCTTGGCCTCAGCCTAAAAGTTGTGAAAATGTGAAACACCCAGTGCTGTTCCCATTTATCAAGTGTCAAGCCCCTTCTGGTATATGCCTACTTTTGGTCTTTCTCCAATGCCTTTAAGTAGTTGGAGGAATTTTAAAAAATGCTTGAAATATCCAATTTTAAAAGTGTGTTCAGAGTTTATAGTTGTCATCTGCAAGAGGGCTAGTCCAGTAGGAACTAACCCAGCCATACCAGAAATGGAAACCATTCCTACAATTACATAATGTGCAGAATCAGTGTTTTTAGTTTCCAACAACAAAGCTCATTTTAGCAAATTCAAGCAGGAAATAAATATATTGAACAACATCAATGTATGAGCTTGCTAGAGCTACCATAATAAAATACCACAGAATGGGTGACACAAACACCAGACATTTATTTTCTCACAATGATGGAGGTCAGAAGCACAGGATCAAGGTGTCAGCAGATTCAGTGTTTTCTTTGGCATCTCTTCTTGGCTTGCAGAAGGCTACCTTCTTGCTTTATTCTCACATGGCCTTTTCTCTGTGTGTGGGCATCCCTGGTGTCTCTTTCTCTTTTTACAAGGACACCAGTCAGGTTGGAGTAGGTCCCTATCCTAACAGCCTCATTTTACCTTAATGACTTCTTTAAAGTCCTTGGCACCAAATATAATCACATTCTGAGATACTGGGGTTTAGGGCTTCAGCATGAATTTTGGGAGGTACACAGTTAGCCCATAACAATCAGGTACCTCACCCATTCTCCAAGGGGGCCAGAGAATAAGGCTATGGAGACAGTTACAACTACCAGTTTAAGCCATCTGAGAGTTTCCATGGAGACGCTGTTACTACCACAACTAAGCATAGAGACCTCAACTTGTTACTTAAATCTGGACATTGGATACAACCTTTAAAGCCAATGTAGCCTCTGAAAGTTAGATGTTGTGTTCAGTACCTGCACCAGAAATTGCTCTCAATTGGTGCCTGAGACTTTGCATCATGAAGTCCCAAAGTCTCTTGTAAATAAATCGTATTGGTGAAGCTTAAGTCACGTATCTATGCCCTAGCTACATGGGAGTCTGGGAGAGTGAATTTCTGACTTCTACCTAGGGGAATGCAGATTAAATGATGCAGTTGTCCCCAAATTTAAGAGAGTAGTACATAGTTTCTGGGTGGCCAAGTATAACAAAAAAATATTATGCTTCATGGATCAATTGCATAAGAACAAAACTAGTTTTTCTTTTTATTTACTTACAAAGTTTCTGAGTGTCATGCAAAGTTTTTATTAATCTGGAAGTTCTTCTGAATGGATGAAAACAGTAAAAGAGAATTCTGCAAATAGTTCCATGCTAAAAAATATAAAGCTTTTAAGGAAATGGGTGATTTTTAAAGGAAATATTAGTTACTAAACTTGACTGAGGAAGAAGAAACCTAAATTAAAAAAAAACACCATGAGAAAAATTTTAAACATTTGTCAGAGAACCATCTTATTCCTAAAATACTAGGCTAAGAGGGAATTAGAGATCAGTTCTTTGACCTTCAAGGAATAGAAAATTCTTGCAATAGTTAATGTGCTCCAGAGCATAGATAAAAATAGCAAGCTTTCCAGCTCATTTTGTTAAGTCAGCTTAACCACGTGTGTCAGTCAGCTTCCCAGCAGGCAACAGATGTCACACTCACATTAGGCAATAACGGTATGGGAAGGGTGTGGAAATGCCAGCTGGGTAGTGCAGTCCTATTACCAACCCAAGGCTTGAAGGGGTAGGGGAAAGTTTCCTTCAGAACCTGGAAGGAAGGCCCGACAGCAGCTGCGATATTTGTTCCTGGGACTCAGACAGCTTCTGTTGACCTTGCAAAGAAGGGGATGGGAGAATAAATGCTCCAGTCTCATTCTCCTTCCACCCTGAAATTTTCTTCCTGAGTTTCTCATTGGTCAAAGCCAACCAGAAGCCACAGGTCAAGGGAGTCACCGATGTGGTTACCAAGCTAAAGAGCTCATTGCCCTATGCACTAGAAGCCAGTGCTATGACACTGGGGTTTTGAGACAAGAAAAGCATTTTATTGTAGGTAGACCAACAAGGAGACAGCAGTCCAGCTCAAATCTGTCTTCCTATGCTGGCTTTATGGCAGTACTTTTATTAGCCAAGGTTTAATGGGTGGATTCTGGGATTAGCAGGTGATTGGTGGAAGGAAAGGGGAGGTCTGGTATGTCATTAGGTACGCACAGTTATCCCTTCATGCCTCCTCATGGGTCACATGTGCAAATTCAGGGGGCGTTAATATGAAACATTCAGTGGAAACTTAGGCTGTGAGGTCAGCAAGCTTGTTCTGCACAGACTCCAGTCAGCCATATTGGTTCCGGCCAATTTCAGCCAGTTTTGTTATCTCATAAGCAAGGAGTTTCAACATTTCAGCAAGTTTTTTTTTTTTTTCTTATCTGCTGTCCTGCAAACTCAAGAATTTCTGTTAATCTTCTGTGTCTTTAACTCTTTGGGACACTAGTTTCAATGTGGTTCACGGCAGTCAGCCTCTTAGGGCAGAAAGGTAGGGGGAGGAGGTCTGCAGGAGTAAACCAGAGTCATATGGCACTCCATGAAACCACAATACCTGAATAAAACTGGAAAAGCATAGCACAAAGTACACGCATGGAGAACAATCTAAGCTGTGAATATAGATCCAAAATTATTGAAACAAAATACTAGCCAACAGAAGTCAGAATTTTATTATAATAATATTAGTAAGTAATGATTTTGTATTAAATGGGATGTGTTTCCAATTCCATTTCATTTTCTTTTTAAAACTAATTGTTATAGGTACATAATAGTTATATATATTTACGGGGTACATAAGATGTTTTGATACAGGCATGCAATAAGTAATCATCACATCAAGGAAATTGGGGTATCCATCACCTCAAACCTTTATCTTGGGTTAGGATCATTCCAATTCCACTCTTTAAGGTATTTGAAAATATAGGATAAATTATCGATAACTACAGTAATCCTATTGTGCTACCAAATTCTAGATTTTATTCATTGTGTCTGTGTTTTTGTACCCATTAACCATCCTGACTTTATCTCCTGCTCCCTGCTACCCTTCCCAACCTCTGCTAACAATCTCTGTTTGGTTTTCCTTAGACCCTTATTTTACCTTCTCTCCCTGATGACATGCTTAACTGGTAAGTGTCAAAGTGGATGCCAGGCCTGCTGGATCTCTTTTGGAACTGGCCTCTCCTCAGGGTGTAAGTTTCCTTTGCTTCTCCATGGAGCATTGCACCTGGGAAGGCCCATAGGCTTCAGGCTGGACCGGTGACCAGAGGAGAAAATGCTTGATCCCCAGGGCAAAGAATTAGCAAGTCCATGTGGTTGTACCTCTAGGCTCTGTCATTCAATCCCACTTTTATCAATAATCAAGCTAATATTTATCTCCATTTGACACTTATGTCTTTTTTTTCTTTTCATTTTGAATTTGGGAGGAGAAGAATGAACAGTGTTAATTTCTTGGCTTTAACCAATAGATACCAATTCCACTTACCTCTAATCCCTCTTTCTCCAGTATAAAAGAAAACCAGATTACTCAATAATACTGTAAAAGCACAGCAAGGAAGGCTTTATTCAGGAACATTGCAATAGAAATAGGGACCACAACAGTGGAATTTTGCAGTGGTGGAGAGAAAGTGGGCTCAACTCCAAATACAGCATGGGCAAGTGGGATTTACAGCCAAGGAGTAGAGTCAGTGGGTAGAAAGTTACTAAGAGGAGGTCGGGCGCGGTGGCTCACGCCTGTAATTCCAGCACTTTGGGAGGCCGAGGTGGGCGGATCATGAGGTCAGGAGATCGAGACCATCCTGGCTAACACGGTGAAACCCCGTCTCTACTAAAAATACAAAAAAATTGGCCGGGCGTGGTGGCAGGCGCCTGTGGTCCCAGCTACTCAGGAGGCTGAGGCAGGAGAATGGCGTGGACCTGGGAGGTGGAGCTTGCAGTGAGCTGAGATCGGGCCACTGCACTCCAGAGCAAGACTCCGTCTCAGAAAAAAAAAAAAGAAAGAAAGTTACTAATAGGAACATCAGGGGGAAGGGGGATTCTGGACAAACTAAACTAAGAGCATTTTTGCTCAACACAGACCAAGGTGACCTGATATCACCTAGGTGTTAGTGGAGGATGAGGAATCTGATCAGA
The DNA here is from genome assembly GCF_000001405.40 of Homo sapiens. NCBI lineage: Eukaryota > Metazoa > Chordata > Mammalia > Primates > Hominidae > Homo > Homo sapiens. The sequence goes on along the minus strand of NC_000017.11, from coordinate 15,183,264 downwards.
TATTGAGGGTGATCAGATATTGAGGATGAGGGCTTCTTGTTAAACTGACTTAGCAGAGTTCTTTGCCATGACTGAATCTTACATGGAAGTACACAGATGGCCCTCGAAGAAGGTTCAGGAGCCTGACTAAAGTTTGGCCAAGCCAAAAATCTTTGTCACCAGCTACTGCCACTATCGTCACCCCTAAACAGCCACGTAGCCATTGGGAGGCTCTATAAATATTGCCTCTGGCTAGGGAAAAATCAGCGAGAACAAAAACTTGCTCCAATGATTTTTGAGCTCTGAAGCAGAGCTTTATAAATCTATAACCAAAATTTAAAAAGGTATGGCTATTCTGCAAGAGATAAAAAAGCTTCACTATTTCAGAAACTTGGCTTTAAGTGGAGGAATCAGATATGAAGTTTATACCATCTACCAGAGCATAGGAAGAATTTGGGATGAAATAAGAATCTTTGATAAAGTAAGAAGGATATAAACTTTCTGGTATAAGATAAATAACTTCTGGAACTCTAACTAACAGCATGACAACAATAGCCCAGAATTTCAAGTATTACAGACTTCAAATTTACAGAGTTATCTTAAGTGTTTTTAACACACACACACAGAGACACACACACACACAGACACACACATACACACACAGTAACTATGTAAGGCTATGGATGTGTAAATTACCTTGATTGTGGTAGCCATTTTACAATGTATACGTATTTCATCACGTGCCACACCATAAATATATACAATTTCTATTTGTCAATTATACCTCAATAATATTGGGAGGAAAAGATTCTTTCCCTTGCCCAGAACAAGGGAAGATACCAACTCTAGGCAAAAAAGGAAGAATGAGAGGTTACTTGAGGTTGGAGGTGATGTTAGGAGAATGGAAATTCTTATAGAATCTTCAGAGAACCTGAAGGAGGGTCTGGAGTGGATGGAGTCATTTTCTGGCTTCCTAGGGTATGGCCTTGGAAAGTACAAGCCTCAAAGAGAAGGTGAAAGCCCCCAAACCAAACCAAACCAAAACAAAACTTGTGGATGTTCAGTTCTGTCACCGAACTAACCTGGGGTCCGCTCACCCGGCACAATAAAGCAGAACTTTCACACCAAGGTTCTCTGCAGCGGGAGGAAGACTCTGATTCCTGACTGGTTAAGGAAGTGAAGCTTTGTCTAAAAACTTGGGGTTAGCAGGAAGGAATGTTAAGGTCTGGCCTGGGGATGTGACTTGCTCCAGGCCTCTGAGGAAGGAATTTAGAACAAAGAATGGTCATCAGAATTCAGTCCTCAGCTCTTTATCTCAGGTGGATGTGCCAGGGGAACCTTTGGTCGGGGTCAGGGCTTCTGGAAAACAATTCACGGATATATGTTAAGATGTTATCTTTAGTTTCTATAGGGAATCAAACATACCATCACTCAAGGCTCTCACTTACTTGGCTATTGTTGTAGACCACTGTTACTTTCTTGCTTATCAAGTTGTTCATTTACTTCTTAGGGCTAGTTAGGTACCTGGAATTTCTTTGGAAGGAACTCAAGATTTTCCTTTATGCTTAGGGGGCCCCGTAGGCCCCTAAGAGGGGTCCCTGCTCCATCTTGGAAACTCTAAGCCTCAAACAGAAGCTCTGAATTCAAAAACCAAACAAAAACAAAACTTGTGGCTGTCCAGTGACGCTGGCTGTGTCTGGTGAGTAGTACGTGGGTGTCAGGGTGGCCTTTCAGATTCTTGGGCTCGTTGGAGGAAAGCTGCCCAGAATTTTCAGCTCCACCCTCCGTCAATGGTAGAACGCCAACAGTCTGGAAGAATGAGTGTTTTGTGGAACACTTTAGGATTTGCTGCTGTGCTTGGTTCCTGGATCTCATGGAAGGACTCGAATTTGTGCAAAGGGGCACACCTGGCTATCTGTATGCCTGTGAATGTCGGTTGGGCAAGGTCTGATCAACAGTCTAGAGATATTCTCAGCTGCTTGCACTGTTTCCTTTGTGGGGCTTGGGTGGGTTGCATGGACATCTGCCAGAGGCTAGAGCTTCTTGTTTTTCCCTATAACCTGTCTGTATTTCTCAGAGGCCTGTGCAGTCTCAGGGTGCTTCACAGCGCTGTGATGCAAGAAATACATGTCCTCAGCAGGTCCTAAAGAGCCTGAAACAACCAGATGAAGACAGCAAAGGGGTGGAAAACAAGAATAAGGACACACAGGCCGGACGTGGTGGCTCACGCCTGTAATCCCAGCACTTTGGGAGGCCGAGGTGGGCGGATCACGAGGTCAGGAGATTGAGACCATCCTGGCTAACGGTGAAACCCCGTCTCTACTAAAAAAAAAAAAAAAATAGAAAAAAAATTAGCCGGGCGTGGTGGCGGGCGCCTGTAGTCCCAGCTACTTCGGAGGCTGAGGCAGGAAATGGCATGAACCCGGTAGGTGGAGCTTGCCGTGAGCCGAGATTGCGCCACTGCACTGCAGCCTGGGTGACAGAGCGAGACTCTGTCTCAAAAAAAAAAAAAAAAAAAAAAAAAAAGAATAAGGACACACAAAATACTAAGGCTTTCAAAGCGCGTTCTCACAGTGGCACAGAACTGGAGTTATTTAGAGATGAGAAAAGTGGCATTACCGAGAGATTAAAAATGTACCAGGAAGAAAACCAAGCTGTGAAGTGGCAGAAAGAGTATTTAAACCCAGGTTTTATGCTTCTAGGCTGGCCCCATCCTCCCTCCATCTCTCTGGGCTGCAGTGATGGCTCCAGTCATGAATGTCAATGAACTTTTAATGAGGTCTTAATCAAGTGCTTCATTACTTGGACTCTCGGGGAGCAGAGCAATGGCCCTCGGGAGACAAAAGCCAGCATTCAAGCCAAAAGGGCTTGGGAGACCTTACAGGTTCTGCTCCCTTTCAAGGACATGGCTGTCCGCCTTTTCACCCCTTTACTCCCACTGCCCTGAAGACCTCGACGCAAACAAAGGGAAACCGTCAGATCTACTTTGCATTAGCTCTGGACTGCCCTTGGCCTCAGTGCTAATGAAGTAACTTAACAAATTCCCTCTGAAAAGTTGCATTTCATTTGCATATGTTTAGTTGCTCGCAATGTCCCTACTTCCTGAGGCTGATGTGACCCTTGTAAAACCACAGGAAGCCACGTTTTTCTTCTCTTTCTTCCTTCCCTCTCCTTCCCATCCCAGCTAGCTTGTCTTGCTTGCTTAGGCCAATCTAACAACAAAGTTTAGCCCCTGGCAGATTTTCCACACAACCGAAAGGCAAAGATTCATATGCCTTCATTTAGAGCCAATCACTGAGCTAGAAAATCCCAGCTTGACCTCATTTTTTTTTTTTTTTTTTTTTACTGTATTTTCTCCCTCAAAGACCAGAATGTGGACATGCTCACAAATTGATAATGCAGCCGCTAGATTAAGGGACGTTCTCAATCAGCTCTTGGTTTTCAATCGGTTTACTCAAATAATGTGGACCTGTCATAAGCATTAAGTCTGTATACCGAGATCATACTCGAGCAAAAGTATTACAGAAGTTAGGACAATTATGCAGTCATTCTTATCAGATGCCTGGAACACAGGACTCTGAAAACAGGAAGCTCTAAAAATTCAAATATTGATTCTGAGTTCATAATGCTCAAACAGAATGAATTAGGCAACCTACTATTACACTCCTTGGGGATTTTGCTAGGAATAACGTGCTAAAAACATGATGTCTGTAAGAGAACGGCCATTGTAGGTAACATGAGTGGAATTAAGAACATTCTACTTACCCAGAGGGTAGTGAGAAACAGTTTGTAGTTTTAAAAAATGGCTCCAACGCATTCCCTTTCCTGTTTCATCTCTAGTCACATGAAACACACAGTTCAGCGTCAGCAAGGAAATGACAGAGAGAGATTAGAGCCTTATAAGCCCACTCTAGGTGTATAGATTACAGCCTTGGGAGCCCACTCTAGGTGTATAGATTACAGCCTTACAAGCCCACTCTAGGTGTATAGATTACCGCCTTGTGAGCCCACTCTAGGTGTATTTGTCTCCTCTATATTTCCTTTCTTCTGCCTTCTTCCCCAGCTTGCCTTCTGCCTCAAACCCAGGAGGAGAGGAAGCAAAGGAAAAGTAGAGTGCAGCATATAGCTGCATGGAACTATATGTTAATAAACACTAAGTGGTTGTTTTTTTGGTTTATTTGTTTGGAGATAGGGTCTTACTCTGTCACCCAGGCTGGAGTGCTGTGGCACAATCTCGGCTTACTGCCACCTCTGCTTCCCAGGCTCAAGTGATCCTCTCACCTCAGCCTCCAAAGTAACTGGGACTACAGGCTCGTGCCACCACACCTGGCTAATTTTTTTGTATTTTTGATAGAGACAGAGTTTTGCCATGTTTCCCAGGCTGGTCTTGAACTCCTGAACTCAAGCGATTGGCCCACCTTGGCTTCCCAAAATGCTGGGATTATAGGCATGAGCCACCACACCCGGCCACACTAGGTGTTTTGTTTCTATCATGCCTTTCTGTCTCTTGGTTCTTCTCAGCCACATGATTGTGAATGGGAGAGTTTCAGAGCAGTTCCAGAAATGGGAAGAAGTTAGACACTTAGTGAAGAAAAAGATCTGACAAAAATACTTTGTTTAAATTATATAGTGTAGGGGAGGAAAGTAATTTTCTTTCTACCATGCTAAGGTCATTAGCTCAGGCCCCTATAATAAAAGACAGTTTGCTAAGAGAAAAGCATACACATTATTTAATATAAATTTTATATCACTCAGGTGCCTTCAAAAGTAATTGAAAACTCAAAGAAACAGTTGAACCTGAGCATTTTTTTATAGTGGGTTTGATGAAGAGTGGAAAGTTGTGGACAAAGGGGAGTGAGCTAAGTGTAATAAACAGGCAGGAACTTACCAAGACCTGCTTGTGCAGATTCTCTCTGTTTTCGTGTCTTCAGAGAGAAGGACGCTCCTGTCCTCCAGGTATAGGGAGGGCACCTCTCACATGAGGGTCTTGTGACCTGCTTCTGGGGAGAGTCAGAAAATCCTTTGGAGGTTTTATGACCTACTTCAGGGGAGAAAGGCTGCGTGAGGGTCACAGTGACCTTCCTACTTGTGCAGTTTTCTTGAGTTCCTTTATCTGAAAATATTCAAGATGTCAAGGTGCCATATTTTGCGGGTAGTGTGTCCTGAATTCTCCAAAATAAGAAGATGTAAAATGTATGTCAATAAACTTACCTTATTATTTGATTGAAAGTTAAGATTCATTGGTATGAACATGTGTTGCACTATGCAAATAACTGATGTAACTTTCAACCTGGGGACCAGAACACTGCTGCACTAGATCAGCTTGGCTCAAGAGAGCCAATTGCATGCATCTCTTCCCAACTCTGAGTTCTGTGTCTGCATGTTGGTAATCGGAAATCAGCCATGATATGGGGAGTATTTACACCAAGGAGATCAGTAAATGCTACAAATCAGGGCTTCCCCGCCTCCCTCAAAAGGGCTGAGTTGCTGGTTTTGACAGGCATTATTATTCTTGCTTCTGCCACCAAACCAGTTGTACCAATCTCCCCATTTTTATTTCTTTTACTCCTTTTCTGTGTTCAGGGAGAAGCACAGTGATTTTTCATTTACTGAGTATCCAGTCTGTGCAGAACTGTGCGGGATCCTATGGAGAATTCCAGAAGACACGGACAGTGCTGTCAACCACTGCCAGTCAATTAACTGTAGTCTGAGGCAGAGTTAAATGAGTCTGATAGAGAACTGCCTGTCAAATATTGTGAAGGCTTGATCCCCAAGAAAGGGGTGGCATGTGAGTTGTTCTTTGAAGAACAGTGTTGGATTTCAATTAGCAGACAAACTGGAGTGTGATAGGGAGAGGGAGGAAGGGCATTTGAACAGGGGAACAGCAAGAACAAATGGGTGAGTTTATGAAATGAAAGTGCTGGAGTGTTCCTGGAAGGGTGTAGAGTCATCTGTGGCTAAAATAAAGAGCTTGTAATTCATAAAGGGCAATGGTGAGGGCAGATTTTTCAGAATTTTAGTAGTTTTCACTTTTTATGGTGATTAAATTACCGCTTTCTCATCTATATAGCTGTTTCTTTTTCTTTTTCTTTTTTTTTTTTTTTTTGAGATGGAGTCTTGCTCTTGTCATCTAGGCTGGAGTACAATGGCACAATCTCGGCTCACTGCAACCTCTGCCTCCTGGGTTCAAGGGATTCTCCTGCCTCAGCCTTCTGAGTAGCTGAGACTATAGGCAAATGCCATCACACTGGGCTAATTTTTTTTTTTTTTTTTTTGGTATTTTTAGTAGAGACGGTGTTTCACCATGTTGGTTAGGCTGGTCTTGAACTCCTGACCTCAGGTGATCTACACACCTCGGACTCCCAATATATAGCTATTTCTTAAGTAACAAAGTGTTAATTTTGTGATGAACCTATGTGCCAGTTACCAAGTTTTCCAGCACAGAACACTCCTACAATTCGGTTTAATTTTATGAAACTCATTAGCTCAACATAAGCTATGAAAAAGCAAACAATTAAGCCTTTCATTGCTTATAAACAATGCTTGCAAGAAGAATCTTTTGTGTATTTTATATTTGATGGTATTAAAAAACCATATCCATAATGACTATTTCTACCAGTAAGATTCTGGACCAAAGGGTATGTGCATTTTAAACACAGATTGAAACAGCTGCATTTCCCTCTGGAAGTTGTGCAGGTATACGTGTGAGAGTACTTCTTTTATCACAATCTAATTCACATGGCGTATTAGCAAAATTTTAAAATGCCAATGTGAATGCTGAAAATTGTATGTAGTTGTATTTTCAATTCACTGATTAAGAATGAGTTAGCTCATTTTAAGATCATTCATGGCCACTGTATTTCTTCTTTTCTGTAAGCTGCTGTGTCCCATGCTCATTATTCCATTTGCTTGTTCACCTTGTTATATTGATTTGTATAAATGCTTTGCAAATGAAGGGAATTACCATCTGCCCCTCCTGTGTATTGGTCTTGTTTTTGTTCAGTTTGTTGTTTACTTTTGATTTTGTTTATAATTTCATTTTCCGATAATACGAATATTTAAAGACTTTTCTGTGTTCACATTTATTCATCTTTTTCTTTATGGGTCTGAACTTTGTGATCTGCTAGAAATAACATGAAGATTAGAAATCATTTCTTTCCTGATTTGTTATAGAAAACTGATGGCTTTATTACTTTAAAACTATTTAAATGTCCTTTTAAAAAATTTATAATAGATATTCATTTTCACAACAAGTTTGTGACAGGTTCATTCATTTAATTTGCATGTATTTTAAAACTTAGCTATAGAAACAGAGAGATGGAGAAAACACATCCTTGTCCTCAAAGAGCTCTCATTCTTGTGAGGAGGCATATAGCTAATTATAACTACATATATTGTATAATTATACATTTTCCAGTTATATATAACTACATTATATAATTCATTTATGAGAAAACTAGGGAGATCCCTCTATGTCAATACATTATACATTATACACACACACACATGATAGAATTCATTCATCAAAAAAAAAACACACACACACGATAGAATTCATTCATCATAAAAAGAAAAAAACAATCAAAACTCGGGAGCCCTTTCATGGGGGAGTGTGGGGGAGAAATGGATGATAATCTGTTTTAAAAGAAACATTCTGTCTAAGGAGTTTTTAAGTAGTTTAGGACCTGGGAAGAAGTCCAGGGACTGGAGTCGGTTCAGGAGCAGATGGGCTGCGGGCCTGTGGGGACTTGGGGGTAGGGGCTGAGCTGCCAATTAGGCGATTCCCTGGGGGTCTGGGCTGCCCCTTTTCCTGTTCAGGTGGATTTGAAAACCTCATTTCTTTTTCACAGAAGAAACTGCTCATTGAGGTAGCGAGATTGCTGACAAGTGTGAGGCGAGCAACCTCATGGAATTATAAAGAATCCCAGGAGAGTTATCCTTAAGCGGAGACACAGCTAAGAGATTTTGAACCCAGAAGCACTAGCCAAAAGCTCCAGAGCTGTAGACAAATAGATAACCTTTTCCTCGGTCTGGAAAACTTTAGTATTTCTCAAAGAAGTGGCTACAACATCCAGCAACCCCACAACCTGCATACCTGTAACGCCTTCATCTCACTAGGTGAATGTCCACGGCCCCATTTTAAAGAAGAAACTGGGCTGGGCGCGGTGGTTCACGCCTGTAATCCTAGCACTTTGGGAGGCCCAGGCAGGCGGATCACAAGGTCAGGAGATCGAGACCATCCTGGCTAACATGGTGAAACCCCGTCTCTACTAAAAATACAAAAAAAAAAAAATTAGCCAGGCGTGGTGGCGGGCGCCTGTAGTCGCAGCTACTCAAGAGGCTGAGGCAGGAGAATGGCGTGAACCTGGGAGGTGGAGCTTGCAGTGAGCCGAGATCGCACCACTGCACTCCAGCCGGGGCGAGAGAGCGAGACTCTGTCTCAAAAAAAAAAAAGAAAGAGAGAGAGAGAGAAAGAAATAAAGAAAGGAAGGAAAGAAAGAAAGGAAGGAAAGAAAGAAAGAAGAAACTGAGAGTCAGAGAAATTAGATAACTTACCCAACGTAAAATCTCAGTGAAACCAAGACAACAATTGGCAATTGATGCGCTTCATGATTCCCAGCATCTGGGTTTCTGGGATTTTGCTGTGGATGAGTATCCGGTTTAAATATGAAATCCACATACTCTAAGCTCTGTTCCCTCCCCTTGGTTCTGGGCTGATGTTCTTGGCTTCAGCCCTGTGGGCTTAGAACTGAACTCTTCTTTTTATGGAACATTACCTGTTGATGGTGGAGTTGGTTCTACCGATGGCTAAGATTTTAACATTTCTGTTTTGGAAAGCTCCTTCTCAGGTCTCCCTGTCTCCAGCTCTGCACTCTTCTGGTCCAATGGCTCCAGGCTACTCCTTCCCATCCCTACAACCTTCTCCTGGTCCAGTCCCCCAGGCCCAAGATTATCTGGAGGTAATCTCAAAAGGATCTTGTTCAGACCTCAGAATCTTGAATTCTTTTATTTTTCTTTAAGTAATGAAAAGCCATGACTTGATCTGAACAATTTCAGTGGGCTGCAAGCTGAAGAGAAGGCATGCTTTGGGAAAAAGGCCTTCTTACCCTGCTCCTAAAATGATTCCTTGTCAGTGCTTACAGCCATTCTTAAAGCTCAACCTCATGTGCTCCTTGTATGTTATCTGTGGTTGAAGGGGCCTTGGGTACAACAAGTGAGCGCTTGTTCCCTCAAATCCCAAGGGAAAAGAGGTGTTGGCTGCTGCTAGGAGGTTGCCTGTTTGGGGGAACTATTTGGAACAGAAGACCAAGGCCATACCTAGCTGTCTTCAGGCCCAGTCCCAGGATGGGCAGGCTACTCTGTCACCCACTTCTGGCTCATCCCCTCCTGTGCTGTCAAATCCCAGTGTCAAGGTATTTTGGAAACACTGCCCTTCTTACAAAGTCTCCTTCTTCTCGGTCTACTTACTCGTCTCCCCTCTTGCCCTCTAACTTCTTCTCATCTCTTCTACCTCCCAAATTTGCTTGTCGATCTCTGTCCCTCCTGCTGCTCCTAAGGTCACCCAAAGCTTCCTGGCTCTCATCTGCACTCCCCAGGTTGGCCAACTGCCGAGTGCTCAGAGCCACAGAGCTTCCCCACTGCCTGGGGTAGGGAAGGTGGACACTACGTGTGCCCTGTCTCAGGCCAAGGAGGGGTGGAAGGAATTGACCCCCTGGCTGCCCACCTGGCCTTTCAGTACTCTACATGAGGCCACTCCCCATCCATCTTATTCCTCATCGCTCCATCACAGCCTGCCATTACCTACGACCTGGGTATCTCTCCTTCCTGGACATAAGTTCTGTGAGGGTGGAAACCATGCCCACCCGATTTACTATTGTATCCTCAGCATCTAGCAATATGTCTGGCTCCTAATAGACATAATATGTATTTGCTTGCTGAATGAATGCAGTGAAGCCATGTGTGTGTATATGCACATGTATATGCATATATGTGTACATGTGTATATGTGTACATGTATGCGTGTACTGTGTATGTTTGTGCACATGTGTATATGTATGTAGGTATGCATGTATGTATATGTATGTGTGTATGGGTATGTATGTGTATGGGTGTATATGTATATGTATGTACATGTATGTGTTTTTGTGAGTATATGTGTGTACACATGTGTATATGTGTATGTGTATATGTATGTGTATATATGTGCATATATGCACTGTGTATGTGTATGTGTGTATATGTATGTGTATGTACAGAGAGAAAAGTATTCCATGCAATAGAAAGATGATGCTTACAGGGAAAGAGTTCAAATTGCAATACTGATCACTTGAGAATAAAAAGAAAAGAGACAATCTGTAACTACTTGGTTGGGCTATGAAAAGGTAACACTTATTGGTAGTGTAATTAGTGGTCTACTCTACAGTCATTTAACAACTCATCCCCCTATTCATTGGCAGGACCCACCTCCTACAATAGGGATACCTGTGGAGTACTTTTCCAACTTCTCTTGCAGCTAAGACACAGCATGTGACCAATCCTGGCCAATGGGAACCCAGGATGAGTCTGCTGGAGACTTTTGGGAAAGGTATTCTCTTCTAATAAAAGAGACACAGAGGTGCAAATGTCCCTCTTTTCAACAGGGCCTTGCTGTGTCTACATGATCATGAGGGTCAAGCTAATACCTTGAGTATGGGGGCTGGGGTAGAAAAAGAAAAAGAACTTGGGTCCTTAATGACAGTGTTGAGCTAATTTTGAAAACATACTGCTTCTGGACCTCTTGTTGTTTGAAATAACAAATGGTCTTACTTTTTCAGCCACTCTTGATTCTTCTGGAAGAAGCCGTCCTCAGTTATGAGTTCTTGTATCCATTCACATGAACCACAGGCCATTCCTAATGAGCACTGTATATATCAGTAAATGCAGATGAACTGGTATGATTTGGGGGTGACTTTTAAATCTATTCATAGATGCTCTGCCTATGACATATACTCATATATTGTAATAATTAGTTCACAACTTGAAAGGGGGTGACATTCATGAAAGGTATGTTTTCATCTTCTATATTTCTACAATATCTATAAATTAAATTTCCTGAAATTCTAGATGGTACCAGAGCCACTATAAACAATCACATAGGCCTGTGTATATCAGTGTTACCTCTGAGACTATGAACCAATATGGGTTTTTTTTTAAAAAACATCTTTTTGATCTGTTGTTAATGCAACTGACAATCGGGATTCTGGTTGTGTGATAAAAATCTGGCTCTGGGAAATGGTGAAATGTGTATGAAGGTCATGGGGTCTGGGGAGATTCCACATGTGGAGCTCAGAGACAGGTGTAGGGATGCAGAGATTCCAAAGTAGTTTCTAAAGAGCGTGATTTATAATGAGCAGGTTCTTAGGATGGTTCTCAATGGCCTTTTATGATCCTCATGAAATAAAAGTCATGAATTTTAGAGGGATTTACCTCTTCTACTTCCTCTGTGACCTTCTTGTATCTCAGCAACAATAATGCTCAAGTCAGGCCGATATGGCTCCATTCATGGACATAGAAAAAAACGTGGGTCAAGATCGACTTGCATAAATACCTTCAAGCCAGTTGCAGCCTGCTGCTTGTTGGGGGTTGTTTCATGCCATGTGTGCAGTACCAGGCCTCCGCCACAGGGCGGTGGGAATGGCCACAAAATGTGAGCTGCTGGCTTGGCCTGGCCGGGACTGAGTGGAAACAGATTTATAGGAAATGTAATCTTTTTGCTTTGCACAGCTCACAATCAATCTGATGTCTTATAAATGTGCAATTTCCTATATTCTTGAGCAAGCCTAGTTCTGCTTATTAACATAGAAAAGAGACAGACTATGAAGTGGCCTTAAGAGATGAGAGATTAAGCCTCAAAATGAAAGGCAGGGTGTGGAAACAGGACACAGGCCAGAAGGCCAGGAGCCTGGGTTCTACTTGTCCCTCTGGTGTCATCATCTAAGTCACTTTATAGCTCTGGGCTTCGTGGTTTTCTCAGAAGAGGTGAGGAGAAGGGGTGTGATATTGATCGACTATCAAATTCCCCTCCTATCTGAAGTCCTCTGATTTATGGCAAGGTTATTTACACAGCCTTAATGTAAGGCAAGGATCTGAACCAATATTGTGGTGGTAGGAAAGGAAAAGAAAATTGTAAAAGGTTATTGCTTCAGGATACTTGAGGATAAATAAGTGTCAAAAGTCAAAAAGTCAAATCAAACCAGACCTCCAGGACTCAAGGCCCTTGGGGAGGACAAAGCTTGCAGGAGGCTTACTCTTTTGTGGAATTTACTGGTTTACTCCTGAGAAAACCAGTCAGAGTTAATTTCTCAATTGTGGCATCTAACCACAGCGCATGCTCATTTAATTGTCCTGTAGTAGGGAGAAGCAAGGAAAAAAAAAACCAAAAACACAGATCATGTTTAGTGAGTGAATGTTGTTTTTTCTTTTTTTTGAGACGGAGTCTCGCTGTGTCGCCCAGGCTGGTGTGCAATGGCGCGATCTCGGCTCATTGCAACCTCCGCCTCCTGGGTTCAAGCCATTCTCCTGCCTCAGCCTCTGGAGTAGCTGGGATTACAGGCGTTGCCACCATACCCGGCTAATTTTTTGTATTTTTAGTAGAGATGGGGTTTCACTATGTGTTGGCCAGGCTGGTCTCGAACTCCTGACCTTGTGATCTGCCCGCCTCGGCCTCCCAAAGTGCTGGGATTACAGGCGTGAGCCACTGCACCCGGCCTGAGTGAATGTTGTTGAGTCACAGAACACTAGGGAGAGCTTTTGGCATTATTCATTTCAAAAACACTGTATAGAGAGGTGAGCAGGAGCTGCATTTCATTCATGCCTTCATTCATTCACTTAGTTTTTGAGATGTAGTTTCGTTCTTGTTGTCCGGGCTGGAGTGCAGTGGCGCGATCTCGGCTCACTGCAACCTCCACCTCCCGTGTTCAAACAATTCTCCTGTCTCAGCCTCCTGAGTAGCTGGGATTACAGGCACCCATCACTACGCCTGGCTAATTTTTGGTATTTTTAGTAGAGACAGGGGTTTCCCCATGTTGGCCAGGCTGGTCTCAAACTCCTGACCTCAGGTGATCCGCCCATCTCGGCCTCCCAGAGTGCTGGGATTACAGTCGTGTGCCACCAGGGCCAGCCTCACTTAGTTTTTATTGAGTGAGAGAAAGCATCCCAGGCACCAGGGATGCTGTGGTTACAAAGCTCCTTATGGACTTTATGATCAACTAGTGGAGGCAGACAGTTGAACTAATGAGCAGGCAGATAAATAAATACGGGATTGTACAGGATGTGGTGAGTGATCTCCAGGCTGTTACAGAAGCCAATAAGAGGGTGGTCAGGGAAGTCACCAGAATGTATCATTGAAACTGAAGTTTCCTGAAGCTTTTCTGCTTCCTTATCCAGGTGGTCTTTGTCTTGTTTTGTTAAGTGAGTCATATATGGGTTCCATAAATATATCTTAGACAGCTTCTATGTTTTAGGCAGACTGCTAGGTCCTGGGGCTATAAAGATGATTAAGACTGTGAAGTTGACTGCCAGCATTGAGTCGTAGTCAGTGCTTATGCTACTGCTTACCACCAACTAGCCAGTGACTTTGGGCAAATGAATGAATTTCTTTAAAGCTCAGTGTATGCATCTATATAATGGGAATAATGATAGAATCTAGCTATAGACTACTGTAAGAATTTATATAAATATTTTAAGTTTAATGCATGCAGAGTTACATAAAGAATGAAAATATTAGCAATCATCAATATTGTATAATAAGTGTAAGAAACATCAAGGGCTTAGCACAGTGGTTAGTGCAATAGAAAGCACTGAATGTGGCCCCTGGTTGCCACTGTTAGTCTTTCAAGAACTCATGGTCTATTGTGGGGGACAAATGTGCTTGTACAAATAGATAAATAGTAACAAAAGGATAGAACACCTAGGGATAGATTCGGGACAGCCTTGGAAAGGAAATGACTCTTGAATTGAGTTTAGGAATTTACCAGACTCCCCAATGGAAAAGCAGAGAGAGAGAGAGAAAGAAAAAAAGGAAGTAACGAGTCAGGGGGCAGGAACATTCATTCTTCACGGAGAAAACAGCCAGGGCAAGGCCAGGGGTGCTATGGGAATACCAGCGATTCTCATCTGCATTTTCAGGCATTAAGATAACTCAGCACTAGGGCAGCAAATTGAACAAATGATTTCCATTGACACAGAAGCCAGAGGTGGGCACAGCTGGAGTGTGTGTGTGTAAGTGGACAAACACGGCCCCCTCTGGCTCTCAGGAAAATGAGTTTACTTCTGCGTCGACATGAAGCCACGCAGCTGGTTTGACTGAATTTTTCACTGCGTTAATGATGTTTGGATATCAGAAAGAAACAACCTAAAAGAGACGAATGGGCAGTCTTTTCTCCCTGCGTTATCTCAGGAGCTATCTCTGCAGCGGGCGGCTCAATGGAAGTGCTGTCTGGGAGAGGTCCTGGGTTGAGACTGGGAAGCTCCGTACATTTCGCGTAAAGAGAAGCCAGAAGAACACAGTGGCTAAACTGTGAATAAAGCCAACTGTGGGTATCTGGGTCAGATTAAATCACAAGGTGAGGAAATCTGCTCTCAATACCTCTTTGAAAAATCTGTTATTTCACTTCTACATTGAGTGACTGATACCATTTGATCAACATCATGGTACAGCTGTAGTAAAATATTGAGTCAGCACCTTTCTAAAATTGCTGACTTTTTCTTCCAAATTTCTGCAGAATGAGTTAATTAGAGGTGCTGGAGCACTTTGCTGGCTGGTGACCGCACTCAGTGGCAATGGGGAGACCCTTCTTGTCCAGAGGACTGCCCACAATGCTTGTAAAACATTCAACCCTTGCCTCCCACCCCTTTTTAATTTCCTGTTGGATATCATCAGTGGGTGGGAGAGAAAAGGCATAGTTGAACCTTTCTAGACAAACCTTCATCACCCTGCAATAGATGCGAGTTTCTGAGACAATGAACACAATCCATGTCCTTATTTAATGTGCGTCTTCTTTGGCATTCAGCTGCATAGAAGTGTTTGTAAGTATCATTGATGTTCACGAGCCTCAGCTCTTACTTTGAAGAGCTCAGCATCTTTAACAAGTCATTAATTAATAAATTTCTAATTGCAAAAATGTCACATGTGAATGGTGGAAAGAGTGTAATGTAGGAAAACTCAAAAGAGGAAATAAAAATCCCCAGTCATTCTGTCTTCCAGAAGTAACCGCTGTGAACCTTTTATTATATTTCTTTCCAGCTCATTTGAATACATGTGTTTATAGCTATTGGGGATTATTCCATACAGATGATTTCTAAAACTCACTTTTCATTTAATTTTTCATTACATTTCATCTTGTCTTTAGGTATTCTAGTCCTGCAATGTTTTGTATTTTAAAGCACTCATTCTGTTAGATTATAAAACTAATCTACAATATTCATTGTAATATGCTGGAACAATACTGAGACTCAAAGGCTATTAGTTCTTTTCGAAACAGTTTTTATACCATTTAGGCATTTAAAAGCATGGAAAATATGGAAAACTTTGCAATTCATTCTATGAAGTTAGCAGAGCATAGCTAAGAAACCCTGACAAATGTATCCCATAAAAACAGAAAGCTACAGACGAAAGTCATTTTTAAATAAATACCAAGGCCAAACCTTAAGAAAAATGTTGGCAATAGAATCAGCATGATAAAAGAATACTCTACCTTGAAGAGGTAGGGTTTTTGTTTGTTTGTTTTTTCAGAAACCCAGAAATGGTTCAGTCTTAAAAATAGATTAATAATAATGACTGCTTTAACAGTTTGAAAAAAAAAGACCATAAGACATTCCTCGTATATACTAAAATATTTTTGAACAATTTCTAGAAAAAAATTGATAATTAGCAACCACAATATACTTCCTGACCAAGAAAAGGACATCTTTCTGAAATAAACCACAAACATCGAGGCCAGGTGTGGTGGCTCACCCCTGTAATCCCAGCACTTTGGAAGGCCGAGGCAGGTGGATCACGAGGTCGGGAGATCAAGACCATCCTGGCCAACATGGTGAAACTCCATCTCTACTAAAATACCAAAAAAAAAAAAAGAAAAAAAAAAAAGTTAGCCAGGCGTGGTGGCACGCGCCTGTAGTCCCAGCTACTTGGGAGGCTGAAGCAGGGGGAATTGCTTGTACCTGGGAGGCAGAGGTCGCAGTGAGCCGAGATCATGCCACTGCACTCCAGCCTGGTGACAGAGCAACACTCTGTCTAAATAAATAAATAAATAAATAGCCACAAACATCATTTTCAAAGGCAAGACACTAAAGGCATCGATGCTAATTACAAAACTAGTATGTCAGGTTCCCTCTAGAGAGCTAGTCTTCTAGAAATGCATTGAATTCAATCCTTTTACTGTATACCAGCAACAACCAGTTGCAAGTTAAAATGAAAAAGTTATAATTAACAAAATCAACCAAATATATTAAATATCTAAAACTATGTGAAGAAAACTACAAAAGGTATCTGAGATACACTAAATAGGGCTTTACATAGATAAGTTTAATTCCTACCTATTATCCTATACAGGAAGACTTAATATTGTAAAGATGTCAGCTTTTCTCTAAGTTGATCTATTAATATAAATTCCCATTTTTTTACCATGAAAATAGCTTTTGTTTTTTATCATAAAAGAATATGTTTATTGTTCAGAGCTTCAAACAGTATGTACAATGATAAAGAAGAAATTATAATTAATAAAAAAATTCAAGAAACTAAAGGTTACTTCTGAAAATATTTGTGAAAAATTCTTTTGAAATTAATGTATACATAATTTGGCAGGATAATGAGGTAAGAAAATTTGCACTTAATTCTTGCTCCATGGCCTTTAGCTCAGCTCCAAGAGCTGGGAGTTTCCTTTGAAAATTTACTAATCCCAGGGATCAAAGGGATCCTTCCAGGTCTTGTTTTCCGAAGGCTGGACTCTGGGATGGGAGAAAGCTCTGTGCCCTGGGGTAGGGCAAGGGACATTGCAGTACGGAGGGGAGCCCCCCACTTTGGGATGGAGATAGAGATCCAGATTTGCTGCCATTGCAGGGACTCGACTTTTGCCCATCTCTGTAAAATTCACTGAGGTGAGTTCTCTTTTTTCTGCACTCTGGAATTGTTCACCTATTCATAGGTATTCTTTCTTTCTTTCTCTTTCTTTCTTTTCTTTCTTTCTTTCTTTCTTTCTTTCTTTCTTTCTTTCTTTCTTTCTTTCTTTCTTTCTTTCTTTCTTTTTTCTTTGTCTGTCTGTCTGTCTTTCTTTCTTTCTGTCTGTCTGTCTGTCTTTCTTTTTTTTGAAGCAGAATCTCGTTCTGTCGCCCAGGCTAAAGTGCAGTGGCGCGATCTCGGCTCACTGCAAGCTCCGCCTCCTGGGTTCACGCCATTCTCCTGCCTCAGCCTCCCGAGTAGCTGGGACTACAGGCACCCGCCACCACGCCCGCCTAATTTTTTTTTTGTATTTTTAGTAGAGACGGAGTTTCACCGTGTTAGCCAGGATGGTCTCTATCTCCTGGTATTACCTATTTCTTAAAGATATAGTGAACTGAGCTGTAAAATCATTTGAAGCTGGTTCTTTTTTTTTTCAGCAGTCGCTCAATGATGACCTCTCCAATGTGTTCTCTGGTACAAATTCTGTTCCAGTTTTTTCACTCTTCTTGGGTTCATTTAATAATATTTTATTTTAGTAGGAAAATCTATTTTCTGTAGCGCTTCAATGTTATTACAGGTTGTCCGTTGTCATCTATTTCTTAATAAATTCTTCAAAGTGGAATTATTGTGTCAGTTTCAGTGTTAAATGTGGTCACATGGCACAGCAGAAAGTCTGTGCGCATTTTTAATCCCACTAACACAGGGAGCATATTTTTTTTTTTTTTTTTTTTTGAGATAAGGTCTCACTAAGTTGCCCAGGCTCAAACTCCTGGGTTCAAGAGATCCTCTCACTTCAGCCTCCCCACTCTCTGGGACTGCAGGTGCAGGTGTGTGCCACTGCACCCCACTGGGAACATCCTTTTGACCACAATATTTGTATCTTTCCTGACATAATAAGCAAAGAAACTAGAATACCTTGATTTTCTTTGCATTTCTTTGATTACCAATGAATTAAATTAGAATTCTGGGTTGAATAGAATCTTTTTCCAAACAGCTAACCACGTTTTAAAATAACATTTCTGAAACATGTATTCTTTCTATGGAGAGCTGAAAATTTTCGTGTATCACTTACTCAATTTTTTCATCTTGTGCCATTCTGGATTTTCTATTCTCATTCTTTACCTGTCTGTCCAATCCTGTACTGAGACTACATTGATTTTAATTATTTTAAGTACATGTGGCTTTCTGGTGGAATATGTCCCTTTTGCTATTATTCCTTAAATATATTTTTAAGTTCTCATCTATTTCTCCTACATATTTCTTCTTCCGGTGAATTTAAGAATTTTAGTGATGATCCTTGCTTCCTCCCACTCTCTTGAAAAACTCCCTGACAATAACAACAAAAAACCTCTTGGATTTTAATCAGTAGTGGATTAACTTTTGGAAGTTTAAAAATTGAAATATTTGCATAATTACCTTCATATAGATAGCTATGGTATGCTTATACATATTTTGATTTTTTTTTTTTTGAGATGGAGTCTCGCTTCTTCACCCAAGCTGGAGTGCAATGGCACAATCTTGGCTCACTGCAACCTCCGCCTCCTGGGTTCAAGCAATTCTCCTGCCTCAGCCTCCCAAGTAGCTGGGATTACAGGCATGTGCCAGCATGCCCTGCTAATTTTTGTATTTTTAGTAGAGACGGGGTTTCACCATGTTGGCCAGGCTAGTCTCCAACTCCTGACCTCAAGTGATCCACCCACCTCAGCCTCCCAAAGTGCTGGGATTACAGGTGTGAGCCACCATGCCCAGCCGCATATTTTGACTTTGTGTTACTTAACCAAATGTTGTGCTACAAGCTTTTATAATCCTGCCATATTGGCATCTAGGCAGGTTACCTAGTTTTTATATTTTGTGCTTTTTGCTAGATTTTTTCTCAGAGTCATGCTAGCTTCCTACAATGGGATTTCCCCCACCCTGCTCCACCACGATTTATAGAGCAGAGATGTAATCTGTTTTTCAAAGTTTGTTCAATCCATCTGATCCAGTATATTTTAAGAGTTATATTGAACAACTTTTTTTCAGGTACTTGCATATATATTTGTTTATTCAGGTTTTCTACCACTGAAAAGAATGAAGCTGTATGTTTAAACTTTTGTAGTAATCAGGTTTTCAAGTAGTGTATATGTGTGCTTACTATTTTGTATATGTGTACACATACATGCATATAGTATACTCATAAGCTTATTCTTCTTCCTATATTGTTATAGCTCCTTTATTTTTCTAAATGTTATATATGTGTCTTTTCTTTCCTTTTCTCTTTAGCTTTTATTTTAGGTTCAGGGGTACATGTGGATGTTTATTATATAGGTAAATTTGTGTAATGGGAGTTTGTTATACAGACTATTTCATCACCCTAGGTACCTAGGTACGTAGTAACCAATAGTTTTTTTTTTTCTGCTCCTCTCCCTCTTCCCACCCTCAATCCTCAAGTAGACCCTGTGTCTGTTGTTCCCTTCTTTGCATTTGTGAATTCTCATCATTTAGCTCCCATTTATAAGTGAGAACATGTGGTATTTGTTTCTCTATTCCTGTGTTAGTTTGCTAAGGATAATTGTCTCCAGCTCCATCCATCTTCCTGCAAAAGACATGATCTCATTCTTTTTAATGGCTACATAGTATTCCATGGTGCATATGTACCAAATTTTCTTTATCCAGTCAGTCACTGATGGGTGTTCAGGTTGATTCCAGGTCTTTGCTATTGTGAATAGCATTTCAGTGAACATTCACGTGCATGTGTGTTTATGGTAGAATGATTTCTATTCCTCTGGGTATATACCCAGTATTGGGATTGTTGGGTCGAATGGTATTTCCATTTTTAGCTCTTTGAGGGATTGCCATACTGCTTTCCACAATGGTTGAGCTAATTTACACTCCCACCAACAGTATATAAGTGTTCCTTTTCTCCACAACCTCGCCAGCATCTGTTATTTTTTGACTTTTTAATAATAGCCGTTTTGACTGGTGTGAGATGGTATCTCATTGTGGTTTTGATTTGCATTTCTTTAATGATCAGTGATATCAAGCTTTTTTTTTCATATGTTTGTTGGCTACGTGTATGTCTTCACTTGAAAGGTAGATGTTCGTGTCCTTTGCCCACTTTTTAATGGGTTTTTTTTTCTTGAAATTTGTTTAAATTCCTTATATATGCTAGTTATTAGACCTTTGTTATATATTTGTCTTTTCTTTCTCTATTTTATTCTATTTAGTATTTTTTCTACTTAATTATTATTATTAAAGAACTATTGTTGGAAAATCTTGTGGGCCAATAGATACAGATCTGGCTCTTTCTTTTTAATGCCTGAATAGTATTCCCCAGTACAACTGAATCACGCTTGATTTAAGCAGTCCCCTAATTAATAACACTCAGGTTGTTTCCAAGATGTTTGTAAAAGATGATGCTGTAATTAATGACACTGTAACTCTAATCTCATTGATGCTTTTATTTTTATAGATTAGATCTCTCAGTGTGAGATTGTGGGGACAAACATCTATATATTCTAACATATAATGGGTATTGCCAGAATATTTTGCAAGGATGTTGTACTAATTTACACTCATACCAACAATGTACAACAATGCCCATCGAAATTTTCTCCAGCACTAGATCCCATGACTCTTTTAATTTATTCCAGTTTTGAGGGGGGAAAATGGGAACATATTGTTGCTTTATTTGTGTTTTCTTGATCAGTAGTAAGGTGAGAATCTTTTAATATACCTATTGGTCATTTGTATTTTTCTGTTCTGTAGCTTGCTTGTTATAGACTTTGCACATTTTTCTGTTACCTTGTCTTCTCCTTTCTGATCTATAGGCCCTTTTTTGATTTTGGGAGAGTCAACATTTGTCTGTCATTTGAATTGTCAGTGTTTTACTAGTTCTGTTAGTTTGATTGAAGATGCACTGTCTATTTCCAATGTCTAAGAACAGATTCTATTTTTTCCTGTGAGTGACTTTTATATGTAGAAACTAGACTCACAAGCCTGAGTACAAAAAACACAGCAGGCTTCTATGCCATCTTTCTTATTCCTAGTCATAATGGAGCGGAAAGGAGAGGATCCCTAACTGTACACGGAGTAAAGTGTTACAACTTCTCACCATGCTAACAGTGGAAAGGGCCTTGAATGTGATTCTCAGAGTCTGTATATTCCAAAGAATCTATTTATTCCCCCTTATTAATTATTCCAGCAATTCTCAGCTGGTACATAAGTCATCAGCAAGAACTTGGTGTGTGTTAGGTTGTCCCTCTCAGCTCTTGAGATGGGCTCTGGGACCCTGACTTTTGTTAGCTTTTCTAATTGTAAGTTGCATGGGATTCTTCGGAGACTGCTGGGCCTTCAGAGGCAGGACTGCCCAGGCCCAGTTCACCCACTGGTTCTTTGAAATGATCTGGTAAAGGGTAACCCCTGTCTTAAGTTTCAAACACAACATGTATACATAAGTACAAACTGTTGCTAATCAAGGTATACAACAGGGGTCCCCGATCCCCGGGCTGCGGACTGGTACTGGTCTGTGACCTGTTAGGTACTGAGCTGCACAGTGCGAGGTGAGTGGTGGACAAGTGAGCATTACTGCCTGAGCTCCGCCTAGTGTCACATCAGTGGTGCCACTAGATTCTCATAGGAGTGCGAACCCCATTGTGAACTGTGCATGCAAGGGATCTTGGTTGTATGCTTCTTATAAGAATCTAATGCCTGATGATTTGTCACTGTCTCCCATCACCCCCAGATGGGACCACCTAGTTGTAGGAAAACAAGCTCAGGCCTCCCACTGATTCTACATTATGATGAGTTATATAATTATGTTGTTATATATTACAATGTAATAATAATAGAAATAAAGTGCATAATAAATGTAATGTGCTCGAATCATCCCCAAACTATCCCCCTACTGGCCGCAAGTTCATGGAAGAATTATCTTCCATGAAACCAGTCCCTGGGGCCAAGAAGGTTGGGGACTGCTGGTATACAAGCCTGCTATATATATATATATGTAAGTCTTACAAGTTTCAACTAATTTAAGAAACAATTCAAATTGTTTCCAAACAATTAAATGTGATGAAGGAGAGAAAGTCTCATTGCAATATGGGCTATAAAGGAAGGGCCTAGGCTCACAAGGGGATTTTTTCTGGAAACCTTTGCCATTATACCCATTGACATTTGCCTTTCGACTTTGCAACTTTTTGTCATATAAATAGTTAATAATTTTATGTGGCAGAAAGTGTCTTTATGGATTCTTGACTTCTGTAGGCTTGCTTGGAAAGATCGCTAGAGCTAAATTCTTCTGAGACTTCTTCTAGTGCTTTTATTTTTACATTTACATATTTAATTCATATGCAATTAATTGCTGCATATGGGCTGAGTCTGGCTTTGTTTTTGTCTAGAATGGAGAGCAAATCGTGCCAGCACCATTTATTAAATATTATAATGTCTGAAGACCTACTAAAAATCCAAAGAGAGATTTATTTAAATATGCAATTATTTCTTATTATAATTGCATTTTGGAAATTGCAAATTTCCAGATGAAAAATGGAAATTTGGACATTTGCAAATGGAAATTTTATTGTACTCCTTTCAAACTGGACAAATTAAATAGCAAAATATAAGTAGATTTATCTAGTGTTTGAACAACCCAAGCTATAAAGTAATATACAATTAAAATTAGGTTATTCAGTGCACACATGCTTGCAGAAACACACTGATAGAGACAACATGTCTTTCTATGACAAAAAAAGGTTATTTTTTTTTCTTATGCTTATGGAACACTTATAAAAGTTCAATGATGTACTTGACCGAAAGAAAACTTTAATGATTTACCAAAAGTGCAAAGTTTATAGACCGCATTCTTTTATCATAATTCAATAAAACTAGAAATGAACAATGAAACCAAAATGGACCAAAAGCGATTTTTGCATAAATTAAAAACACACTCTCACAAATAACCCCTAAACCAGATCATACCTGAAAAAACAAGTTTTTTTTCTTTTTTTTTTGGAGATGGAGTCTCACTCTGTCGCCCAGGCTGGAGTGCAGTGGCGCGATCTCTGCTCACTGCAAGCTCCGCCTCCCGGGTTCACGCTATTCTCCTGCCTCAGCCTCCCGAGTAGCTGGGACTACAGGCGCCCGCCACCAGCCCGGCTAATTTTTTTTTTGTATTTTTAGTAGAGACGGGGTTTCACCGTGTTAGCCAGGATGGTCTCGATCTCCTGACCTCGTGATCCACCCGCCTCGGCTTCCCAAAGTGCTGGGATTACAGGCGTGAGCCACCGCGCCCGGCCAACAGGTTTTCTCAAAAAGAATAAAAATAAAATATTTCATTAGCAAAACCTGTGGGTCATGACTAAAATACATAGAAAATTGTATAGTTTTACATGACATTATGTTTAAGTTTAAATAAAGACACCGAGCTAATGAAGAAAGTATATAATCTTACAAATTAAAAAAAAAAATCCAAAATAAAACAAAGGAAAGCAAGAGGTGGGTATTAGGGAGGATAAACAGCTTATATTGATTCACTAGAAAATGAAGGAAGAGTTGAAGAGATAAATACAACCAAAAGTTGTTACTTCAAAGGGCTAATAAAATAGTTTTTTCTCTGCTGATTCTGGTGAAATAAAAAGCAAACAAGCAACACCATGCCATGTTAGTAACAAGAAGGGAGGTATAAATATGGAAGAGATTTAAAGAAATATTAGAGACTATTATGTGCAACGATGTGGCAATATATTTTAAGATCTTGAGGGCACAGAAGGGCTCCTATTAAAATATTCACTTCTGAAATGGATCCAGGAAGAGTTAAGAAACCAGGACAGACACAGAAAGGACTAAAATGATAATTACAGAGCTGGTATTTTAAAAAAGGAAATAGACTCAAATGGTTTTACAGCTGAGTTCAATATAATACAATGGATAATGCCTATATTTATTTGAATGATTCCAGACTGTAGAAAGGACAGAAGGCTCCACATTGATGTGTGTATGTATGTGTGTGCATTTATACATGTTATACATTTTATATATATAACATAATGAAGGGTAGGAGTGAATGCCTGTTCTATTTTATGATGGCCTGTGCTTTATTTTTTTTGAAATGAAGTAACATTTTCTTAAACATCTTTGAGAATATAAAGTTCTTCAAAAAGTTTTCTCTGTGTGAGTTAGTTGCACTGAGGCTACTTTGAAGAAAGTAATTTGCTTCGATTCCTCATATGGGTCTTCATTTACACCATTCACTCTTAGAGATGTAGGTCTTTGCCTACACAATCCTGAGATTTTGTTCATAGATTCCCTAAGCATTTATGTGAATCTTTGTGAAATCTTTGAGGACAGACCAACAGGAAAGGAAATTTTATATCGAAATCTCCTTTGCTAGGTTAGATCCTGTGGTCCCCTGTGGGCTAAGAGAGACCTTCTGTTTGAAGGAGTCTGCCCGGGGTGGGGAGTTTCACCTTCCTGCTGACTGGCCTTCCAGAATACCTGCTTTGGAAGCCTGAGGCTGGCGGGCTGCGTTCTTTCTCCAACACATCCTGATGGGGTCTCCTCTGCACTGAGTGCTGCTCCCCAACCCCTGACACCTCTGTTCACTCCTCCTGGGGTTGCAGTCAAGTCTCTTGCTCTTCCCAGGTGCATAAACATATTTGCTGCAAATGACATTACATTTGTTTTTATTAAAATGTGTAAAATCTCAATTCTAGGTGATGATATATAACAAAGAAATGAACAGTCTACCAGGAAGTCCTGTCAGTCAAAGCTCTCAAATGTATCTTTGGAAGAGCCCTCCTTACACCCCCTCTGTTGCCTCCACAATAGCCCCAGCCCCATCATCTCTGTCCTGGATCCACCAAGTACCCCAACTTCTTACCATGATTCTACTTCTCTTCCCTTATAATCCCCTTCCTACCCAGCATCTAAAATTGTCTTGGCTGGGTGCACTGCCTCACACCTGTAATCCCAGGACTTCGGGAGGCTGAGGTGGGTGGATCACGAGGTCAGGAGTTCAAGATCAGCCTGGACGAGATGGTGAAACCTCGTCTCTGCTAAAAATACAAAAATTAGTCAGACATGCTGGTGGATGCCTGTAATCCCAGCTACTTGGGAGGCTGAGGCAGAGAATTGCTTGAATCTGGGAGGCGGGGGTTGCAGTGAGTCAAGATCACGCCACTGCACTCCAGCCTGGGCAACAGAGCGAGACTCTGTCTCAAAAAAAAAATATCTTTTAAAAATACAAATCAGTTCATACTCTTCCTGAGTTTTAAATGCTTCATTGACTTTTAAGTGTGTTAAAAATAAAATCCCAGCTCCTTACCAAGGTCTGCAAATCTCCACACTAGCTTGTTTGGACACAACTCTCCAACCTTATCTTGCACCACTCTCTCCCTTGCTGAACTCTCTCCATTCCCAGAACATCCCAAATTTTATTTCATCTCAGGATCTTCTCTTGGTCTGGAACACTCTTCCTTCTGTGCAGCTAGCTCATTCTCACTATTCAGCTCTCTCTATTATAGCAGCCTATTTCCTTTCTTAGGCTTCAGAACCAAAAATTATGCTTTTGTTTTCATGACTGTCTTGCCCATTGTGAGAGGCAGATTTCTAAGAATGACTGTCAGTGGACCTTCACCAGTGTATGCTCCCCTTCCCTTTGAGTGTGGGTGAAAGCTGGGAATATGCTTAGATATCATTCCCATGATTATATTATAGGGCAAAAAAAGAGATGATCCAGGTGGGTCTTACAGAATCACAGGAGCCCTTTAAAAGCAGAGGATTTTCTCCAGCTGGTCGAGAAGAGGAAGTTAGAGGAAGTCAAAGCATGAGAGGAACGGATGTGTCATTGCTGGTTTGAAGAGGGAGGAACTATGGGATGAGGAATGCGAGTAGCCTGAAGGAGCTGAGAGAGGCCCCGACAGACAGACAACATGCGACTGGGGAACTGAGTCCTACAACTACCAGGAGCTAAATTCTGCCAACCACCTGAATGAACTTGGAAGCAGATTCTTCCCCCAAGAGCCTCCTGGTAGGAGCAGTGCTTGGCAAACACCTTAATTTTGGTCTTAAGCAGGGACTCCAGCTCATCTTTTGACCTTGGGGACTGCATGCTATAAATGAGTGTTGTTTTAACACTCGAATAATTTGTTGTACAATGACAGAAAACCAATATACCCAGGTTGAATATAAACTCTGTGAGGCCAGGGATCTTATCTGTCTTGGTGATTACTATATCATTAGTTCCTAGGACAGCCTAGCAGACATCAGACACTGAAAACATATTGATGAATTGGACTCACAAGTGATTGGCTGATGGACAGCAAGTATTGGGTGGAAAGCCAAATAATAAAATGAAGGTCCTCCCGCGCCTGGGTAGCTGACCCCTTCCCCTGCTTATGGCAGTTAACTGTTAGACCATTGATACAATCTGTTACGCATGCATCTGTTACAAGATTACATTCACCTTCAGGCAGTCTTAGTTTTTCAGCCTTAACTCTCATAATTAACTCTCATAACTTTTGGGAATCAGTTGGATCCATTTTATTATGGTATGTTTGTTGTAATAGAGAGGACATTCAATGTCTTTGTTTTACTTCACTGTTCTACTCCTTAGCTGGCTTGCCTTGGACAAGTTATACAAGCTTTTGGAACCTCAGTTTTTTCATCTGAAAATTAGAGCTTATGGGAGTCCATAAGACAGATAGAATTAATATTTTTTTAAAAATGGCATTGACATTACAGCATAAAAGCATTATAAGTTTCATTGTTTCCTCTCAAGTACTCATTATTCTTCAAACTACCATGTTGTGAGCTCTATGATAGAAATCATCTGGAAATAAAATATGCCATTTTACCACAAGAGGGTGTATTTGACCTTTGTAGGCAACAAAGCTTACTATTTAAAGCTTCACTTCATAGACATGGACTTTTCAGAGGGTTTAATATGCATGAGATCAATTCCAAATGTATCATCAAATTATTTAGGAAAGTTATTCATGTGTCTGTGTTGTGTGTGTGTGTGTGTGTGTGTGTGTGTGTGTGTGTGTGTCCAGGAAGTGTATATATCCCTCCCATGTGTTTTCTGATGACTATGGAATGGGAACCGTATTTTGACAACATTTTCTCCATCAAACAGTAAATCTTTGGCATTAAACCAAGAGATTGTCCCACGAAGAGGACAAGGGTTTTCATTTGGAATTCATTACAAAAAATCTCAACTCAAAACTATTGCTAAAAAAAAAAACACGTCTTGCCTTTGGAACAAGTTGAATGACTCACAGGTGGAAAATCCAAGTCAGAGCCTCGAGTCCAAGGACATCTTCCTTTCTAAATTTCTTCTTTTGATAATTCAGATTTTTACTTTCTACTTCTCAAACCAACTTCTTCCTATTGTCCTTTTCTCTACACCAGGGAAATCCCATTTTACATTCTGTATTCCAAGCGATTAAGCCTGTTTTTTTTTTTCCATCTAATAACAGGCTTCCTGGCTCATGCCGTCAAGTCATGATAGATGTCGAGCCTTATCCAGTTATTGTCTTCCTCTTCATTTCCCCAGAGCCAGAACAGAAGCTCCAGGGAAGTCAGAGTTTGAACTTAAATCTTTCTTGGTCACCTACTGGTTGAGTTACCTTGGGAAAGTTATTCAAAGCTTCTTTGTTTCAGTTTTTTTTTTCATCTAAAAGTTGGAGGCTGTATTAATTAACTGCTCACAAGCTTGCTGTGAAGTTTAATGAAATGATATTAGTGTGGTAATAAACTTTTTGAGAAATACAGTTATGTTTTGTTTTCTGTTGGTTTTCTCCTCCCCCACATCCATTCTACCAAAGTAAACAGGTCTTCTATGTTTCTTTGCTTTGAAAAAGAATTTCAATTATAGCAGGAGTTGCCTGTAAACCACTTCCCTTCCCAGCTTCTGCTTTACTAAATCCTGAGCTTATTGATGAAAGTCCATTAAGGAATCCTTTTTGAGGGATACCAGGAGAGAGGGAAAGTGGGAGGGAGGGAGAGATTATCAGTTTGTTTTTACAATAAAAAGAGAGGACCGAAGCCAGAGTGGGGTAAGAGCACATACCCACAGAGTTTCTTCTAAAGTCTCGACAGTGGGAAGTAATGGGAGTTCTTTTCAGGATGCTCAGGTAAGCTGGACTCTGGGTTCTGAGGCTTTCAGCCGAGATGCAGATTCCTGCACTAAACCTACAGATAGTATTGCAGCAGTGAGCCTCTAATCTCAACACATCACTATAGACTCATTATGATTTCAGCAGGGTTACAACTAACTGGAGACTAGAAGCCCTTCCTATCATTGCTAGATATTGCACAAACCTTCTTGATTCTGTTGCAATTCTTAGACCAGGGAAGGAACCTGAAATAACTGAATTTTCTTGCAGCCTACTTAGCAGGTTCAAAGTTATATTTTATTGGACTTAAAGAAAATATAGTAATAGGTATTTCCCATATGTCTGAGTTTGTGCATTGAGAGTTACTCCCGATACATTTGTAAAACTCTTAGGATCCAACACTTGGTTAATAGTAAATCTACCATTAAAAAATAATAATTTACTTTGAATTCTTGGACAAGTTGCTTAACCTTCTCTTCTGACGGTATGATTCCTGCTCTCCCCTCATGATAGAATGTGACTGTGTGATCTATATATCCCCACAAGCTCTAACATGTTCTCAAATAACAAATATTATTCGGTGCCTACTCCATGCCAGGGACTGTGGCAAGAGACTGGAGAAATCATGGTGAACAAAAATAATCATAGTCTCTGCCAACATGAATTTTATAGGTTAGAGGGAAGGCAAGATGCTAGTAAAGTAATCCTATATGCAACATAACTTACAATTGTAACGCGAGCTATGAATGAGAGGTATGTGTAAATCTGAAGCAGGTTGTGTCGAAATAGTTTAAGCCAGATTGTTCTGAGGAGTTCTGCTAGGACATTCGATGGCATGGGTCTGCAGGAAAAGGCAGAACAAACATTAAGAAAATTCTACGTTTCTGGTTTGATTGGCTGGATGATGGTGGTACCATTCCCCAAGTAGGGAATGATGCAAGAAAACTTGTTTTGATTGGAAGATCCTTGATATGGTTTGGTTGTTTGTCCCCTCCAAATCTCATGTTGAAATGTAAGCCCTGATGTTGGAAATGGGGCCTAGTGGGTAGCAGGAGGTGTTTGGGTCATGGGATCAGATCCCTCATGAATAGCTTCGTGCCTTCCCCATGGTAATGAGTGTATTTTTGTTCTATTAGTTCATGCAAGAGCTAATTGTTTTAAAAGAAGATGGCCTCTCTCTTGCACCCTCTCTCACGATGTGATCCTCTCTCGCCATGTGACACACTGGCTCCCCTTTGTCTTCTGCCATGAGTAAAAGCTTCCTGAGGCCTCACCAGAAGCAGATGTTGGTGCCATGCTTCTTGTACACTCTGCAGAATTGTGAGCAAAATAAACCTCTCTTTATAAATTATCCATCAGGTATTCCTTTATAGCAATGCAAACGGGACTAACACAATCATCATGCTGAATATTGTTCATTTGTCCCTTTAGTTCCATTCCCTTTCCACCCTGATCTGAGCCCTAGAAGGCTGACCTCTATGCCTCAACAAGCTTCCATATTTTCTAGTGTCTGGCTTGGTTTTGCCAATGGTCAGGAGGTCACGGGGCAGAGAGGGTGATATCAGAGTATTTATTTCACCAGCTTACTGTTCGTTGTTGGTTTATTTTAACCATGTCCACACCTTGGCAAAAAGTCCTTTTATTAACATTTTTTTGTCAAATTCTTATTTTCAATAGGAGGTGCAATTTCTTCCTGCCAAGATGTTGACTGACACAGCAATGAGTTCGCTTTTGCTTATATTGAGCCTCAGGAGATTTTGAGATGTCCATGAGGGTAGATCCAGCAGGTAAATGAAAATAATGGACTGGAACTCGGAGGACAGGTCTAGGCTAAAGATGTAAATGTGTTAGTCATCTACTAACAGGTGATAATAGAAGCCAGAGGCATGGCTGATGGTGCTTTGGAATAGAGGATACAGTGAGTAAAGAAGACCTAGAACCAGTCTTGAAGAAATCCAACAAATATTGGTTGAATAAAGGAGCATGATCCTGCAATGGAGCCAGAGAAGAACCAGGGAACCAGAGGGATATCCAGGAAGTGAAAACAGCATTTCAAGAAGAAAGAAGAAAGAAGTGATTAACATTATCAAATACCAATGAGAAATTAAGTAAAATTGAGGATTAAAAAAAGTTTATTGCTTATAGTGACAAATAGTTTTTTGATGACCTTAGGAAGGGCTGTTTTAGGAAGTGGTGGGGACAGAAGCCATTGAGAATGGCTTGAAAAATTAGGAGCTGGAGATAGAAAGTAGGCAACATTATGAGAAGTTGGAATAGAAAGAAGAGGAGAACAAAAGGGTGATGGCTGGAGAGAAGATAAGTGAGTGAATGATGATTTTTTTTTAAATGGGGGAGTTGAGTTGATAATAAATAGAGCACACCAATTTGAGAGATGATTTCAATAAAAATCATCTTTATAATTTCCTCCAAAATCTCTGTTATGTGATGGCAACATAGCAGAGTGAATAAGATTGGTTTCTCCTTAAAGGTTGATCAGTATTTGGAGACAAACAGCTCACAGAGCTTAAATAAGTGCTTTACTTACTATTAGCAGTTTATTATAAAGGATACCACTCAGGAATAACCAAATAGATGGAAGGCAAGGAGATGTAAGGTATGAGGGGAGGGGTGCAGAGTTTCCCTGCCCTCTCTGAGCACACCATCCTCCCAGCACCTTGATGTGTTCACCAACCTGAAAGCTCTCCAAACCCCACCATTTAGGAATTTTATGACATAATTAAATAATTGGCCATTGATGATTAACTCAGTTTCCAGCCCCTCTTCCCTCCCGGATGGTTAAGGGGTAGGACTCAAAGTTCCAACATTCTAATAATGTCTTGGCCTTCCTGGCCACCAGCCCTGTCTTGGAGCTAGTAGGGACCCCAAGCCAACAATCATCTAATTTGCTTACAAAGGAACAAAATACATTCATCACTCTGGAAAGTCTGTGGGTTTGGGGAGCTGAGTGTCAGGAACTGGGGACAGAAACCAAATATTTATTTTGTATTATCACCAGCTGTCATTCACAAGAGAGTCTGAGAAGGGTAGGAGGGCTTGACCCGCAGGGTAGCAGTCTTGAAGGTGGGTTTTTACTTTTTGGGGGATATACAAGTCTTGAAAATGTACAGAGAAGAGAGATGATCATGTCGATGAGAGGAAATCTACTTAAGAAAGTTGCCCATGACACAGGCCACTTGCTTCTCAGAGACCAGAAAGATAAAGATGATTTAAGGAAGGAAGAGTGATGAAGCTACAAAAAGGCTCTGAAATGGAGAGGGAAGAGGGAAGTTGAAAACTTAAGTGTGATGGCTTCAGCCTTTTAGAGAGGGAGGTGATGTCCCCAGGAAGCATGAGACCCCAGCAGGGACCCCTGGTTTCTTTGTGTTCCATCCATTCTTCTTGGAATCGGGGGGAAATAATGTTCCTTATTCTTGCCAACCAACCGATATGGCTGCTTTCATTGCTGTTTCTGCATCTTTGAGACTCAGTTCCCTAAGTCTAGGTGAAAAAGGATGTTCACTCTCTGCAATCCCAGCCTAAGAGGCTTGCTTGGCTGGAAAGCTTGATTTTCCTGAGCCAGACTATCCCAGTTTTGCAGCAGTGATTTCTCAGACGAATACTCCCAAGCGAAAACCAATACAAGCATCCACCTGTGGATAAAAATTCTCAGCATAAACCAGAGGCCAAAAAAACACACTGGTGAGGCCAATCCACAAAGTCAAACCCTTCCTGTCTCTGCCTAAGGACTGTTGCTAAAGAGAAACACTCTCATCCTCAGTTCTGGCCAAGAGTGGAAAACATGTGTCTCAACTCCAAGCAGAAGTAGCATTCTTATCTTGCAGAGGTTCACAGGCAGAGTGGGAGGCAGTGGCATTGCTGGTTGGTCAAGGTCCCCCAGGTTAGTGCACAGGCCAGATGGGCCACTTCTGTAGAGAAAGTCTGGGATTTTTTGTTCTACAATTTCCTGTGAAAAGTACTTACTGTATTTTTACTTTGTATTTTAAAATAATAGCTTTATAACAACATAATTTGATGTTTTGATATACATAGTGATAAAAGAAAACCTTCAGCTGAATTAAATTTAAAGGAATTTAATTAAGCATTGAACTATTCACCAATGGGGCAGCCTTCTGAGCCAAAGTATACTCAGAGAGTCCATCGCAGCCACATGGTGGAAGATTTATGGACAGAAAATGGAAAGTAATGTACAGGAAATGGAAGCGAGGTACAGAAACAGCCGGATTGGTTACAGCTTGGTGTTTGCCTTATTTGCACATGGTTTGAACAGTTGGCTACATTTCATTGGCCAAAACTCGATGATTGGCACAAGTGTAGGCTACAGTCTTATTACACCTCCAATTATTATAGCTCACTATGTACAGAGAAACCTTTAGGCTGAACTTAAAATATGTAAGGAGGCACCTTTAGGCTAAACCTGATTAAACAATTCCCCACTTTTGGTCATCTTCTTAATTTTGAGAGACTGACCAAAACTTTAGTCACTGATGTCATTATCACTATTGTAAATATACTTATTTGGTCTTGAAACCCACTGGGAAATAGCAGAACAGTGGGTTTGTAAGGTGGGGACAAGGACTTCAGTTCATTTATTTTATTTCGTTTTTTGTAAGGGTCAGTGTAGAGGGGACCTCTTTATGCTGAGACGTCCTGTTTACAGGAGAAAAAAAAAACCTGGTCTGTTCTAGGATGTATGTTTTCTTAAAGTCTTAGTTTGATGTGACATTTAGCACCAGCAGCTCCATTTTGGTTTGGTCTGATCTGTTGGGGCCTAATGCATGTGCTCAGTCCTGAACAATGGCCTCCCATAATTTTGTTTTAAAAGTCTCCCCTTAGGTGAGAGTGTGACCAAAACTTAGGGCCTTAGCACCACTCTCAATTACCATCATTTTGGGTTTCTGGTCTCAGCATGTCATTCATAGGTTATGGTGCCTTCATGGCCACACATTTCTTTCAGTTCTTGTCATTCCAGTTGAAGAGAGACCATTTGACATGACAGAGATGGCTGCATGCAAACATTTAAAACTTTTGAGAGAATACAGTGCACCAGGGAGACACTATTATGACTGTTGGGAGGATAACACCAAGAGTTTGGAGTATGCTCCTTACCCAGGGTCTTTATAAATGAAACCACCTAAAATTAAATAGATCAAAAAAGGAGCTAAAGAGTTTACTCACTCAACTAAGCAGTCTCTTTGTTAATCCCCTACAACTGAATCTCTATAATACCCTATGTGATGTATTTCTTCATAGGCCACAAGTGCCAGCAGCTGTACAGATACTTCTGTTTAGCCAGTAAGTAATCTAAAGCAATTCTATTATTTAACATAACTTTCACAAGAGAATTTAAAGTCTTGTGTAACCACAGCCTTTACAGTAGAATCTGCTATAGAGCCTATCATGAGGAATGCATTTCTAATCACTGTCTCTTTTACTCCAAGCCATGGAAATAGGACCTAACAAATGATGCCCTTTTAGAAGAGTGAAGGCCTCCTGGCAATGTTCTCTTTAACCTATGACGTGGATTAAGAGGAGTGACCAATGCTTTGTTTCTGACTGATTGTGAGGCAATGTATATACCATTAAAATTTCTCACCTACATTGGGCCTTCATCTTTCATCTATCAAGGCAGAAGTTTATCCATGTATAAGTCTGTCTGCAAAATCCTTCAGAAATAAGTATACCTCATAAGTGCACACAACAGACTCCCCCTCCCTTTCACTTCTATTGTTCACAGAGGCATAAGCAAGGGAAAATTATTCAAAGATAAGAGTCTCATGATAGTAGAGAAGTCTTGATCTGTGATCTTGGGAAAAGCTGTTCACATCAAGGATGCTATCTCCTTCCAGGGAGAAACTTCTTTGGTTGGCTTTACCTTTAGGGTTCCAATGGGTGTACAGTTCCAAGAGTGTGGAGGGAAACTTCTCAGGTGTGAGATTATGAAATCAAGGTTCAAGGTCCTAAAGTTTTGTTGCAGTGTGTATGGCAAGGCCAGTCTTTCTCTGACATTCTCAGAAGATCCAGTCTTCAGGTTCTAGATTGTGAAGGGGTTGATTGTCCTGTCAGTGAACCATAAAAAGCTTTCTTTACCTGGTGAAAATACACTGTGCCATATATAATAATCTACTGTTATAACATCAGCTCTCTTGCATGGGAAAGCTTTTATACAACCAGAAAACATGCATTGAAAATGACAATTGAGTGAAATCCCTCTATAAATATTTAAACGGTTCATCAGGTAGCCAAATGTGCTTGAAGCTTTGATTGTCTTCCCAGGAATATGGGATCGACAAACCAAACATTGGTCATAAACTATTTTTGCAATTTAAAGTCACTACATCTATATATATTTAATTTGGATCATTTTATCCTTTCCATGATGAGTCATGGAATGCAGAACTTTTAATAAGAAAAGCTTTAAGGACTCAGGAAGGCCAAGGCTGCCCTCCTGGTTCTCCATGAGTCCCTGCTTAATACTGGACTTATGCCCTCTTGAATACCAGTGGTTTCTCCAATTCAGTTGCATAGAACTGATAACTGATGGGTTTTCATAGGTAATTTGACATAGACCATAGAGTTGATTCAAATTGTATATCTAAACAATTTCAGTATTGGCTGATTTAGCATGAAAATCTGGCAAAGTGTTTTCTTGGTATTCAATTAATTTTTATTCTACCTGGGTTAACAGTTTTATAAACCAGTCAGTCTTTTCATTAAAGTTCCAGGAATTCTTGGTCCAAATGATACAATTCTAAAGTTACTAGAAACCTGTGTTCAAGAATACTTTTCAGGGTCCTTTCCATCCTTTCAGGAACCTCCTAAAAGACACCATATGCTAGGATTTTGCATGCTTGTAAAGTTTTCGGAAACTGCATCAGCATTAAGCAATTAACTGCGGAAATGACTTTAAGTAGTTATAAAGACACAATTGACATGGAAATTTGGTTATTTCTGTGGTCTACAATAACTTAGCATAATAACCATAATTATGATTGATAACATATACTCAGACATATTAGAATTTTAGAAATCCCATACAATTTTGGAACATATATTAATATCATTCACTAAAATATAACCTAGAGAAGGTTAAACATTATTCTTTATTTTGACAATGCTTCCCATGTAACTTCACATGTCAAATAATCCTGTTGACCTCTCTTTTGGATGTTTCAGGGGCCCTGTGTAGCATCCCAAAGTTAGAGGTCAGAAAAGACAATTTTGAAGCTGAAATTTGATTTGGGGAAGCTTATCAAATATGTTAAAGGTTTAGAATACTTGATATTATGAAATAGAATTCCAAGTCACCGTAAGTCATTTATTTAGCCAAAATGATGACTCAAAAAAATTTAAAAAGGCAAAAACATTCACCCATTGATAGAAAGAAGACTTAGCTTTCCAAACGATCTGTCTCTTGTCTTCCCCTTCTTTTTTCTGTATTTTATTCAAAAGGCAAACAAAACTCTTTCATTATCCTTTAACATACATAAAAATCTGTTCAATAGAGAAAGCCGAGTCACTCCACTTTAGCGAGGCCAAACAGCCAATATATCTGGTTTTTAACCTTTACCAAAAGTAACGTTACAGTTGAAACCAACAAGCCTTAACTAATGTTATGACTTAACCACAGTGTACAAGGTGTTTTCAAAGAGGTGGTTAGCAGTTTTTATAAGATCTAGAATCTTTAAAGGTAGCTGAGAGAAAGGAAGATTCAAGAAGAGAAGCTGGAAGTTGTTCATGGAGGGGCCAAGAATCAACAAACGGTAAAGGTCACAGAGATAGCAACCAGTAAATACTGATTCCCTAATCCAGGAGTGAACCTGGGTTGCCGCTGTGAAAAAGCAAAGCCTTAGCCACTAAGCTACAGTGCTGGGCAATCTCCATTGCTCTTCCCAGAAGAAGTCCAGAGCAGCTAATGTTGAGCTTGCAAAGGCACCTGCAATGCCTTTGACATGAACCCAAAATTCCCATGCCCTGGATGGTGGAGAGCAAGAGAAAGTACCACCACTTGGTTACAAGGTCAAGCTCCCAAGGACATAAAACAAGACAAGGTGGAAACCTCATCCAGTTGTTGTTGTTGTTTCAGGGACCTGCAGGAAGGTTTCTTACTGACCAGCTTGCTGGGATGTCTTGAACAGTGAACTTATGGGGTCCCAAGCCCGTGTTCTATCCTAAGGCACCCCTCTTCATGACAGAAGGATACAAAAAGACAAATTCATAGCACAAAGTACGCTAGATTTGCTACAGCTTAAGACTAGCTTCATGAATCCTTTTTCTCATTAATTAAAACTTTGCGAGAGGTGGTGATTTTTACCATTCCCGCAACCGGTTTTCACAGAGAGAAACAGAAAGAAAAGCATTGCCTGCAGCAGGGTGGGGAAGGTGAAGAGCTCAAGGAGGCCAGAGAAAGACTCACCCATTGCAGCAATACTGAATCAAAAGTTCAGGCAGCCACTTGTCAGTCACAAAGGGATCTTTTCCAGCAGTCCCATCAGCTCTCAAGTTTCCCCCTTTGGGGAAAGAAAGTTCCCCATGTTCCATGGTTCTGTACATGCCTAATCCTGTCACCTATAGCTGTCAGCAAAGACTGCAAGGCAGATTTAAATTTTTTAATCAATTAATCACTTAAGCTTTTTATTTGCCTTTTGTAAAGTCTTCAAATAAAAATACTGAAATCTTTTTAGAAGCCTCTGCATATCAATAGGCATCCCTAGATGAGGCTAATTAGGAAGGCTTCATTTTCAAATACACTTCAGTGCAATGTTGTTCATTTGGAATGTTCCACTATAAATTATCTTTAGTAAGATTTTGCTATTTCGATAAGATTTTGCTGCTTCCGGGGCCTAATACTTATGGATATATAACACAGAAGGAACTCAGTTCTTCAGAAATTAAGGATCCCATTTTTATCTAAATATTGGTTTTCCTTTCAGGTTTTCTTAATTAACTTAGCCAATGATGTTTTTTTTAAATATTTGAGTGCAAAATAAAAATGAAACAACGGGGTAGAACACAAAAATTCCTGTGAATTTCCAACAGCCAAATTTTATACCCTCTGCAATACTGCCATTTACTACTGGTTTCTTTCTGACCCAGATGTAAGAGGCCTCTAACTGGATCCAAGCCAGTTAATTACCAGATCAAATCCAATCTTGGACCCAGTCCAGTTTCTGTCGTGACTTCCAAATCCACTTTGGATCAGGAATTTGCTCAAAGGAACTTGGAGAGCTTAAAACACAAATCTGTGCAGCTTTGGAAACAGAGAGAACTCACCAGGATCCCTGGCTGCTCCAAGAGATCAACGGACACAATTGGGTTCAGTGGGTACCTTGCTCGGTCACTCAGCATTCCTCGGGGGTCGTTAGAAGCTCTTCTTTGGATCCCATCCTCATCCTCATCTGATAAAAGAAAAACATCAGCTGAATTAAATTTAAAGGCGTTTAACTGAGCAATGAACGATTCACACATTAGGGCAGCCTTCAGAGTCAGAGTATGCTCCAGCACGGCCATGCGGTGGAAGAAGATTTATGGACAGAAAAAGGAAAGTGACGTACAGAAAATGGAAGTGAGGTAGAGAAACAGTTGGATTGGTTATAGCCCAGTGTTTGCCTTATTCGAACACGGTTATAACAGTTGGCTACATTTGATGGGCCAAAACTTGGTGATTGGCACAAGTGCAGGCTACAGTCTGTTTATACGTCCACTTGTTATAGTTCACCATGTACAGAAAAACCTTTAGGCCAAACTTAAAATATGTAAGGAGGCAGTTTTAGGCTAAACTTGATTTAAGCATAATGAAATGATTACTACAGTCAAGCTAATTCACATACTCATCACCTCACATGGTTACTCTGTGTGTGTGGGGGAGGGGGCGTGGGGGTGAGAACACTTAAGATCTACTCTTTTAGCACACTTCTTTCTTTCTTTCTTTCTTTTTTTTTTTTTTTTGAGACGGAGTCCGCTCTGTCACCCAGGCTGGAGTGCAGTGGCATGATTTTGGCTCACTGCAAGCTCCGCCTCCCAGGTTGACGCCATTCTCCTGCCTCAGTCTCCCGAGTAGCTGGGACTACAGGCGCCCGCCACAACGCCCAGCTAATTTTTTGTATTTTTAGTTGAGACGGGGTTTCACCGTGTTAGCCAGGATGGTCTCGATCTCCTGACCTCGTGATCCACCTGCCTCGGCCTCCCAAAGTGCTGGGATTGCAGGCGTGAGCCACCGCGCCCGGCCAGCATATTTCAAGTATACAATGCAGTAGTATTAACTATCGTCACCATGCTGTACATAAGATCTCCAAGAACTTATTCATCTTCTGTGAGTGCAACTCTACCGATTCCATTCCCTACTCCCCACCTCTGCCCAGGGACTCACCATCCTACTCTCTGAAAAAGATATACCGTACTGTAGAAAATAGTCATTCATCCAGGTTCAATTTGCTGTAAGG
This sequence comes from Homo sapiens, assembly GCF_000001405.40. NCBI lineage: Eukaryota > Metazoa > Chordata > Mammalia > Primates > Hominidae > Homo > Homo sapiens. The sequence goes on along the minus strand of NC_000017.11, from coordinate 15,144,535 downwards.
CTAGGGCTATCAAAATGTCCCTCTTTGTGGTTCTTTTCTAGAATTGTTATTTTACCTCAATTCTAATTACCACATTTATCAAGGGTCTACTTTTCTTTACTTACAGGATAGATAAGATTTAAGAGCACCTTCCCCAACTGCCCACTCCCTACCATAAGGCTCAAGAAACAGGTTCCATTTTGTACTATATTATCTATTGTAAAGAAAGATTTAGGCCAGGCGTGGTGGCTCATGTCTGTAATCCCAGCACTTCGGGAGGCCAAGCCAGGCAGATCATGAGGTCAGGAGATCGAGACTATCCTGGCTAACATGGTGGAACCCTGTCTCTACTAAAAGTACAAAAAATTAGCCGGGCATGGTTGTGGGCGCCTATAGTCCCAGCTATTCGGGAGGCTGAGGTGGGAGAATCGCTTGAACCCACGAGGCAGAGGTGGCAGTCGGCCGAGATCGCACCACTGCACTCCAGCCTGGGCGACAGAGCGAGACTCTGTCTCAAAAAGAAAAAAAAAAAAAAAAAGATTTAAAAATGCAGGTGGAGATTTCTAATCGTTTGTTGTAGATCTTACCGAAGAATTTGGTTGTCTTTACAATTACGAAGTAACAATAGATGTGAATTTTGTTAACTTCCTTTTCTACCTTCTACCGTAATCCCACCTCCACCCACCATGATTCCCTCCACCCATGATTATTCTAAAATTTTGGCCACAGAGGGTTTTGATCTCCTTTACCCCATAAACCTCTGTCTCCAGGTCAGCCCTCTTTGGACAGCCTTTCTTCAGGGTCCTTGTGTCGACCACGTGGGAGCGCTGTTTACGTCCTAGCCTGTGTGTGGTGCAGCCAGGTTCCTTCCCCACTGTAGATTTCATCAGCACTTGGAACTCTGAAGATCTCAAAGGTCTTTAGCTCTGAACTCTCTTTCTTTGCCTATAATCTCTTTATCTTCAACGTCTTCCTTGTTCTTACTCTGTTAAATCTTTTCCTTTCCCCCTCTGGTTCTTTGGCCTCCTCTTTCATCCTTTGAAGTCACCTTCCTTCATTTTCCACTTCCTTTCTCTGCTTGTAGTAAGCCATTTCAATAACCCCTTACATTACACCTAATAGCTTGAATCTTCCTCCATTTCTGTATCACTAATCTCCATTCCAAACCTGCTCTTGTTCTTTGGTCTTAGACATGACTGAAAAAAATTTAACCACACGTGTGTGCACACATGTGTGCTAATCTACCACATTACAAATCTTCTGTTTAATTCAACAAGCATTTATAGAGGACTACCGCATGCAAAGCACCAAAATGGGCTTCCAAGGGATAACTTCAAGTTCCAGTAAGGGCAAAACATTGTAGTAAAAGTAAAAGAAGGGTTTCAAAAGAAGTAAAACTCTGGAAACTCAAAGGAAGAAAAATTTACACCTGCCTTCTGAGTTTTGCCCTTTATCTTCTGTGTTGCTGTGACTTTGTTTTCCTTTTGCTTTGTTATTATCTACCTCAACTATAAATCCTTGAGGATGGTGATTTCTTGTTTTTTTTTTTTTTTTTTTTGAGACGGAGTCTCTCGCTCTGTCGCTCAGGCTGGAGTGCAGTGGCGCGATCTCGGCTCACTGCAAGCTCCGCCTCCCAGGTTCACGCCATTCTCCTGCCTCAGCCTCCCGAGTAGCTGGGACCACAGGCACCCGCCACCACGCCCGGCAAATTTTTTTGTATTTTTAGTAGAGACGGGGTTTCACTGTGTTAGCCAGGATAGTCTCGATCTCCTGACCTCGTGATCCGCCCGCCTTGGCCTCCCAAAGTGCTGGGATTACAGGCATGAGCCACTGCACCCGGCTGAGGATGGTGATTTCTGCTCTAAGCAACCCACTAGCAACATATACGCAATTCCCAAACACCTCTAGCAAGTCTTTGATTGAGTGTGACCTTGATCATGAATTCTTCACGCATTAATCCTTTACTTATTGGACTTAGTTTGCATGTTGCATAGAAAATTGCACTTGGTGAGCTGCATCTTGGATCATAAAAGTGCAAATATGACTTTTTATTTTTTCCTAGTTTCCACAGTCCAAGGATAGGTGGATGAGGAGCATCCTGCTTTCTCCTGGCTCTGGGGGAATAAAGAAGGGTGAGTGCTACAGGAATCTTAAATATGGGTGACATAGGAACCTAATAAACGTTAATTTTCCAAGTAGGGGTGTTGACAGGAGGAGGATAATGGGGGCCCAGACCAAATCTCCATAACTGGTCGCATGTTCTAATTTTAGTTTGCTTACATTGGATATTTATGGGTGTGTCTTTAGAGACTGAAAAGTACTCTTTTTCCTAGCTATGGGATTTATACCTTGTTGGGAAAATGTATACAAACTTGCCTCCATGGCGAGCTAAATCCTGAGAGTGAACTGGACATTATTTGTAGCTGGAAGAAAGATGAGGTAGTTTACAAAATGTTCAGAGATCTGAGGGAGGAAATTTACTATCAACTGTTTAAAATTTCTCTGTTAACTTTAGCATGATGGCTTTGCTGATGAGAGTTTAGAAATCTATGGCATTAACACAAACTATGTGTTCTGTGACTGTGTTTTGCCATTGAACTGGCTTAAAATGGCATCTGACTAGTAGCTTTTTATGGATCTCTTTTAGTTTCCCATTAAAGCAGTTTTGAACACAGAGCAAGACTAAAGCTCTTCCTATGAACAATCCAAAGCCAGAACATGGAGCAAGGCAGATGGGGCTGGTGGGAGAACAACCAGGTTTTCCTTCCTGGTGAATTCAGGCTGTATGTCATGATGAATAATATTCCCACTGAAATACAGGTAGGGAGGTATTTTGTATCTCACCCCAGGCTCTGAGTCTGGGGAGGAATCTATTTACCATACAGTTTTTGCCTGTTGTAATTCTTAAAGAAATAACTTCAGAAAATTAAAAAACAAAAAGAAAAGAAGGAACGGCTGGAGGGCTTGGCCATGGTGGGTGAAAGACTGTGGGGTAGTGCATGCTGGATTGTGGATTCTAAGCACTTGAACACTTTGAGACATCAGAGTATCCAGCAGCAGAGATGAGAGACAAATACCACCTCACTACATCAGAATGGTATTAGGTGGGTACCTGCTGTACTGGACTAGGAGCTGAGCATATGAGCCTGCACTCCAGCTATGGATTGGAGAAAGGATTCAGCTGACTCTGAAGTAGGCAATGAATAGGGCCAAGACCAGTAAAATGTATTTGTGTCTTTTATAAACCTAGTCTCTAAAAAAACCAAAACCAAACCAAAATACAACTCTACTCTTACTCAAATATGCATAAAGAGAAAATAGGAATTCAATGTAGGGAGCAAAAAAAAATTACTGAGAGAGTCTACCTAGGCTCATGATTTGAAATACCGTCTAGATGCTGATGATTCCCAAATGAGTATCTCCAATCCAGCCCTTTCTCCAAAACTCCAGGCTTATATATGCAAATGCTGATTAAGCATCTCCACTTAACTATTAAATTGGTGCAAAAATAATTGTGCTTTTTGCCATTAAAATTAATGACAAAAACTGCAGTTACTTTCATGTCAACCTAATAATGGATATCTCAAACTCATCACATCTAAAACTGAACTCCTGGTGTCCCCCTTCCCTGAAAGCTACTCTACCCATAGCCTTCCACATGTCAGTTGATGGAAGGTTCATTCTTTCAGTCATTCAGAACCCAAGTCTCAGGGTCAAGCCATCTCCTCTCTCCGATGTGACATTAAATCCATTAGGAAAATCCTGTTGTCTCCACCCTCAAAGCATATTCAGAAACTCTACTGCTCCCACCCTGACATCATCATCTCCATGTCTCGTTTTGATGATTACAATGGTCTCTTGCCCATTAATGACAGTAGCCAGAATTATCATTTAAAAGTGAAAGTTAGAACACCATTCCTCAGCTCAAAACCATTCAATGGCTCTCCTGGATATTTACAGTGAAAAAGCCCAAATCTTTCATAAGCTTAAGGAGATCCACCCTATTGACCACCTATTGGCAATCATCCCTTCTCTAGCATTATCTCTCTGACCTTATCTTCTACTTTTCACTTCCCTTTGGTGATCCCAGATTTCCTTCTGTAATTTTTTCATATAAAGACAATAGGAAGACATTCTCTAAAAGACAAGTTGTCACTGACATGTCCTCATGTGTCTTTCTTAAAGATGGTTATTTAAAATAGACTCCAAACATCTGAGAGAAGCAAAAAGAAGCTGTAAGATGGTATACACTCTGATAAAAAAAGAATGAGTGGATGTGATAAACATATAGCCAATAAACATGAAATCAAGTTTGAATAAGTTGCTTAATATGGTTTCCAAACTAAATACAAATGTAAAGACTGGTCTTGAAGAACAATATATTTAAGATAAAACAAAATTTAATTATAATAACATTGGTCTGAAATCCCAGACTTTACTAACTAAATACAGGAAGTAAGAAGAGGAAGTGAGCAATAGGTAAGTGTGGAATTTGAAAAAGTGTTAAACTGCATATTTGGAATAGGAAAGGCTTAAAAATGCCATTTTTATGCTTGATTTTACAGTTAAGGAAAAAGAGGTCAAACATAATTTTTCCAAGTATAAAGCTAACTGCCATTAGAATTAAAAACAGAATATAATGAAAATATGTAGCCAAAGACAGAAAACAAAGAAAATAAAACCAATTAATGTGTTTATAGATAGAAATCATTTAATAATAGAAATGAAAATGAGTAATAATAATAGTTATCATACATTTTATATTTACTATGTGCCAGGACCTGGGCTTAGAAATTTATAAGCATTATCTCTCAACCTTATAAGTACTATTATTATTATACTTTTATTAATGAGAAATTTGAGGCTTGATGATATTCTATTATAGATAAAAATTTAATATATGATAAAGGTGACATTTTGAAACATTAAATAAAATATGAATCCTTAAGTAAATGTTCATGGGAAAATTCATTAAGCATTTACAAAAAAACAAACTTCACAACAGATAACAAAACAAATCCTAAATGAATTTGGATTAAATGACACACACAAACTAAAAGAAAATATGAGTGAGAGTATCAGTGAGATTTTTTTTTATCTGTAAGTCATCAGCTACCTGAGTCACAGTGTCTTAACACATGAAGGCTTTGCATATATCCTATCACAAGCATTCTGGAGGAAGGCGATTGCAGGTTGATTCAGAGGTCTAACAATGTCACCAAGGCTCTTATATTCTTTGATTGTGCCGTCCTCATCTGTTTGACTTTTTGTCCTCAGGTACACCTTCTCATGGAAGCAATATGACTATCACAGCTCCAAGCATTCTGTTTAAATGGGACTTACTCCCCCAAACAAGAAGGAAGGAGGTAACAAGGACAGTAGGAGGCCACTCCTTGGTAGATCTCTCTTTTTATAACCAAGGAAAAATCTTTCCCAGAAACCCCCCAGAATAGTCTGCTTTCTCTCATTGGCCAGGGCTGAGTCACATGACCACTTCAGCTGCAAAGGAAGCTGGGGAAGTGAAAATCTAGCATTTTTACCTTCTGAATTGAGAGAGAATTTATAGGGACTGAGTGACAGAGAAATAATTAGAAAATTCCCTACCACAGTGATTTTTTTTTTTAAATGGAAAGGGAAAATCCTGCTAAGCATACAATAAGAAACGTAAACATAGCCCTGACTCCAAAAATATTACACACTCTGCTGTCTTTAAGTTAAAAAATATATAAAGAGGGAAACATTTTATCAAAAAAGAAAGAGCAAAAACTCATAAGGAAACATACAAATTAAATGATAAATTGGTAAAAGGTATTAGAAGCAACTAACATCAAATGAGTCTGAATATATTGAGATACTCTTAGGATTTTAATCTCTTTGCATTTCTTTCCCTCATTTACTTGTAAATGACTTGTCCATTAACCAATCATATATATCAACATCACCTTCAATGGCATTGGAGTTGTTATAGTGGGAATGTAAAGAGAAATACCAAATGTTCATTCTTAACTTTCAAACTGGGCATCAAAGGGGAAAGCCCAAGAGAAACAAAGTGTAAGTTTAAGTTGTAACAATAGACCAGAAAAATACTCTGGAAGGAACCAGGCTACCTGTCATGCTAGAAGAAAGGGATCCAATGTGGACAGGGGGTGGGACAAGGGGTATGAGACTTGGGCTTCATGGAAATTGGAGTGGCTGGGACCAGAGTGCCCAGCTGGGGTTAGTATGGCTGGAAGGGCATACTCTCCAGTATCTCCGGGCAGTGCCTGGGAGCCCTGTGGAAGGTGAGCCATCTCTCCCAGACCATTCCTCACCCTTCCAATGAGTATAGCACAGTACGATGTTCCTGTTGAGGAGTCAAGATCCTGTTAGTCTTGCTGCCACGCAGTGAGGGTCTTCCTTCAACAGACGCCTGAACATCTACAGTGCATTGTTCAGCACAGATGCCAGCCTGGGCTTCTCAGCTTTGTCATGCCCATCCAAATTTCCCTACATGCCCAATTTTCCTCTTACTGCCCGTTTTCAACCATCCAGGATGTTCGTTAAATCCCCCAAAACAGACAGTAGAAGTCCTTAGCACCCAGCTGAACAATGAAGGTTTACAAAGCAAAACCACAGCACCTGAATTTGGGTGGAAATGGACAGTGGTGAAAGTAGCGAAATATTCCCCAAACAGCTGAAATATTATGTGAAACCTTGTCCATGTCATAAGAAAAGTCAATTTCCTGAAAATGTTTGGTTATCCAGTTTCAAATGATGTAGTTATTTCTTAACCTTTTGAAACCCATGCCCATATTTGGTAAGTATGTGATAGTTTCCAACCACACTTCCCAGGTTCTGAGAAATCCTTGCATCTTAAAATCAATTAGAGGCAGATGATAGTCTTCAGAGTGGTACTAAAGAAAATATTTGGCTGAGTTTGTAAGACAAAGTCAATATGCATTTTTCAGCTATAAATCATTTTCAGATTATAAATTTACACCTACTCTCAGGAGTAAATCGACTCCAGGGTACACTCACACACGTGTGTGCACACACACACACATTTACACATATGCATACACACAGTCAAGATAGAAGCTGAGACCAGAACATTCTTATTTTAACACCATATTAAGTATAATTCATTGTTAATTGCATTTTATGTAGGACCAGTGATGAGACAAGACTAAATGACCAGTTACTTGTACTTTAATTCTTAAAACTGAAACTCCTAGACAAGTAGGAGTTTTAGTTTGAATAGGAAAGTAAAATCTTGCTGTTTGGAAACTCAGTGGATAGTGCAAAAGGAAAGTCCATATGATGAATACTCCTGAAAATATACTCCTGAAAATACCCTGACCTACAGTGGGTACCATAGACTCACATTGTCAGAAGAGGCAATGCCAGGAAGCCAGAAGAAACAAGCGTGTCATCCCATAACCTCTCATTGTCTCATATCTTGCAGATGTAGCAGGATGGGCTCAAAACTTCCAGAGGAAAAGGGTAATGAGAAAACTTGGTTAGCAGAATGGGTTGAGCAATTGTCCTACTTACAGCAAAGCTCTGGGTGGGCTAAGGCACCCCTGGCATTATTTAGGGAAAGCAATAAGGTAAAATTCATAGTTTCCCACACAGGCTATTCTTTCTCTGCTAAGGGAATTCCTATATGGCTCAAAGGTGAGAAAATCTCATGTCATTTGCAGACTGTTAGAGCTGAAAAATACTTGGTGGCCATCTAGCCCAAATCCATCATTGTGTGGCTGCAGGTGATGAAACCAGTGCCCAGAGAGGTCACGTGAGCTGCCCAAGTCCACAAGACAAGAAAAGAGGAAGGATTCCAGATAATAAGTGCCCAGCTTCACTCCTTTTTGATATTTTTACCAGTGCTGAGGCATCTGCCTCTCCACCGAAGTCTGTCTAGTAGGGTTGGTCCAGTTTTCTCAAAATTGATTGTCTTCTCAGTTGAAGACAATCAATAAGGTGGCTTACCAAGACTTATCAGACAGGGCAAGTCTGGTGGAAAATATTGCTTCCTCTTTTCCTTGCGGGGAACGGAATTTTTCACAGGGCAAGTGGATTCTGTTGACCTTTTTGTTCCTTTGCCTTTGAAGACAAGAAGTGACTTTAAATAACTTGCAGTCTTGAAAACGGTATTAGAGCATTCTGTCTGCAGAGAGCTAGAGTTCTTTAGGCCTAAGACTTCTCTTAGGCATACAGCATGGTCCTTACCATCCTGCAAAGTAGGAGAGTGAAAGGAAGTCTGCATGGTCCACTGCTAGGTGGGTAAGACTGCTGAATTCTGGGATTTAGTTAGCAGGCCCACTGAGCTCTCCAACCAAAAAAATGTGCTTCAATGTGGCATTTATTAATAATAACTGTGATATTTTTGGTACTTGTGTTTACTCTTCGTTCTACTCAACTTGTTTAGTACTAAGCTGGGAAAAGTGGATCCATATTTAGAGGACACCAAGACTAGGACAGCCCACTGTTTTAGTGACACCATTTTGATTGCACGTTGAATTTAATTAATGGAAATGTGTATTCTCATTGGGACATTTTACTGCAAAGAGGTCATTAAAGGTCATTAAAGAATCATTAGGTCATTAAAGAATGTGGAAAAAAGTGATGTAATACAGAGCAATGGAAACTATGCTTCTTGTTTTCCCTCAGCCAGGGCAGCTGGTGTCTAAAGGCCATCGGTGTCGTCTACGTACTTTCTGTCGTTCCACCATAGAAGGAGTGGCAGTGTGGCCACTGTTTCTCTCAAATGACTGTTTTCTGTTGCTGTGGTTTGCTCTGTCCAGAAATCCTGGCCTCACTGTAACAAAACATTCGTTTTGGTTGAGCCAGGGCCTGGGACTCAGGTGCTGTTGGTGGGTGGAGACAGCCCTCACCTCTTCCTCATCTTCTTCATTTTTCTTTAGCCCTTAGATGGCAGTGAGACCTGGGGAAGCCCCTGCCCATTCATTATTTAGCTCCATCAGTTTAAGTGTAGGCAGCAGGACGTCTTCCCATAAACGGAGCTAAAACCAGGATTATGATCCCTACCATACTTAGGTTATAAAAATATACCAGATTGATCTAGGGTGGTGTTGTACTAGGCCAGACTGTGTGCAGGAACAACAGTCCTAGTGAACAATTCATAGAGATAGGATAGGACGTCAGGCTTAGCAACACAGACCGTGTTTCTGGGGGCAGGGTTTGGCCCCAGCATGGGGACCATGTAGTTCTCAGCTGGTTAGTGAAAATCCCAGAGTCCTGGATACACTTCTGGCTACACTACAAGAAGATTTGATGCAAAACCAGCAACAGTGCTTGAGGTGTACGTAGGGGCTACAAGGGTAGAAGCCTCAGGCAGCAGCTTGTAAGTGATCATTCAATCATTCATTCTTTTACTTATTCATTCATTCATTCAGCTACTCATTTCACAAATACTTATCGAGGACTAGTACCATCTTCATAGGCTCAGAATCTGTGGACAAGCGTAAGAGATCCATTCGTTCATAGAATTTACAGTCTAATGGGAGAACTTGGACAACAGACAAGGAAACATGTACAAAATACCTAATTGCAGGGTGAGAGAGGGATTTTTAATGCCATCACCCCTAGGGGACATTTATACTGTTTGGAGAGGGAAATTCCTGATGGTACAAGGGTGGGGCCTCAGAGCATTTAATTTGGTCTAAATATAGAGCCTCTAGCACCCAGGGGCTTGGGGAGTTCCCCATCTGTGGTTCCTTTAGCATTGCACTTGTGTTTTCTTCATTCTGATCATTTTCTGAAAAGCCATTTATTTAGTTATGTATTATTTATTTATTATTTTTAAAAACTTCCCCCCCACACTTTTTCCTTTTGCTTTAACTCCCCCACCCCAGCCCTGCTCTATTTATACTTTCTGGGTGTCAGTTTTGCACTTAAGTCTTTGAAAATTCAGGGTTGAGCCTCAGTTCTGACATCTAGGTGATAAGAAGTGCCCAGCTTCGCTCCTTTTTGTTACTTTTTATCAGTACTGAAGCATCTGCCTCTCCATTGAAGTCTGTCTAGTCGGGTTGGTCCAATTTACTCAAAAGTGGGCTCCACCTAGGGGTCTTCAGGCTTGCTGCATGCTATAGTCTCATGTCTGCTCTCTTCCCTTGCCTTCCTGGAAGTTCTCTGGGATGCTTGCAGTGAGAAAAATGTCTGAGAGCAGAGGGACACCACATCCCCCATTCTGTCCAAAGACTCACCAACCAACTTCCTTTTCTCCTGTAACAACCACAGTGCCTTATGAGAGACAGAACGTACTGGTGTTCCATTGCGGGCCATGAAAGTGTTTTGTGTGGACATATTATTATACCTCCTGGTGTTTGAAAAGGCAGGGCAGATAATGTTCAAAGGAAAACTTTAGACAAATTAAACTTAACAGAGTTTAATTGAGCAAAGAACAATTTGTGAACTAAGCAGCTCTCAGAACCAGAAGAGGTTCAGATCGCTCCATCCAGCAGGCAGCATTTATGGACAGAAAAGGAAGTGAGATGCATAAACAGCTGGATTGGTTACAGCTGGATTTGCCTTATTTGGGTGGGGTTTGATCAGCGCTGCCTGTGATTGGTGAAGCTCAGCTGCTGTGATTGGCTGAGACTCAGCTGGTTGTTACAAAAAAATATACTCCTAGTTATGCTTTCAGTTTGTTTAAGTACTAAGTTAGGTTGCAGTTCGTTAAGTAGGAACATGGGTATAGATGCCGCCTGAGGTCAAACTTAGTTTAATTTAATACTAAGCAAGTGCTCAGCATGGCAGGTTTCTAAGCAGCCTCCTGAGGCCTGTTGTCCAGCACCAGCCAGCTGCCTGGCCCTGTGGGTCTTGAGTTTGCTGGAAGGGTACGGGGCGGGGGGCGGGGAAGCAGGGGAAGCGGGGTGGGGGGCCAGGGGTGTGGGGGTGTGGTGGGGCGGGGTGTGCTTGTTTGCAAGCAGGCAAGTGTCTGATTGCTCATCCACTGTGAGGCGGGAGAATAGGGTCTGGAGGCAGGGAACCTAAGGCCGATTCGATTTGCAGTGACTTCCTAGAACGGAATCAAAAGGAAAACCCCACCTTTTTACACCCAAGTAACAAAAGCATCAGAGGCTACTTCCTTTCCAATGCCCTCCCCGACTTCTACTGCATTGCAGATGAAAAATGGTAAGTACTTCTGATGGATCCCCTCCCACAACCAGTCTTCATTTGCATAGGGTGTAACTTTGTAGCTTCGCTTCGGCCTCTGATTGGTCCCTCCCTGCAACCAATCAGACTGGTTCAGGTCTTCATTTACATATAGTGTAACCAAGTAACCAATGGGAAACTCTAGAGGGTATTTAAACCCCAGAAAATTCTGTAACCAGTGCTCTTGAGCCACTTGCCCAAGCTCGCTCCTACTCTGTGGAGTGTACTTTCATTTCATTAAATCTGTGCTTTCGTTGCTTCATCTTTCATTGCTTTGTTTGTGCATTTTGTCCGTTTCTTTGTTCCAAACACCAAGAACCTGGATACTCATAGTCAGGATCCTCCACTGGTAAAATTGTGTTGTGCAGCCCATTCACTTTGCTGAGAGCTGTGAGACATCCCTAAAGTCCCATGGTAGACAGCAATCAAGTAGAATGGGAATTGAGTCCTCCTACTTTCCCTCTACCTCTTTTCTATAATCCCCACTGATTCTTGACACTGATAATAAGGAATACCTCACACAAGGCATAGGTGAGATAGGAATACTGTGTGGTCACAGGGGAAATAGAGAATACCAGGCAGCAGTTTCACTGACTAACATAGAAGCCAGCTGTAGGAGCAAGGGTTGGGAAAGGGACCATAACACCCTGACAAACAGGATGTGGGTGAAATTGGTCTGACCCAAGTTTTACCCCAGACTCAATTATACGCTCTTTATTATACTAAACCACACACCCACCAGTGCCATGACCATTCCAGGTATACCCATGCTGGGTCTAAAACTGGGTAGCACCCCAATTCCAAGAAATTCCCATCTCTTCTCAGAAATCCTTATGATTATTTTGCACCTCAATTAGAGAAACTGATGCAGGACAGGCAAGCCTCAAAGTTGGGGCTTAATCCATAAGGGTTCTTGGCTTTTCCCAGAAAAGAATTCAAGTTGATTTTAAACAGCAATCTTTTATTGAACCCGAGCTACTCCATATGGAGCAGGGCTAACTCACAGGCAGTGCACCCAGAGTTAGCACCTACGGACTGTGGCAACTGCATTTATATTCACCTAAGCCCACTTTCAATTACATGCAAATTAAGGGGTGGGTCAATTCAAATTGAGGAGCAAGTTGTTTAGAACTTTATGGGAAAGGGGCAGTAACTTCTGGGTTGTTGCCATGGAAAGGGGGTGGTGACTGCCAGATGGCTGCCGTGACATTTGTAAACTGTTATAGCACTAGTGTGTGTCTTACACCAATGAGCAATGAGGGCAGCCAGGGATCAGTTTTGTAGCCACCTGCTGGTTCTTGTTAGTTTCCTCACTTTATCCTGTCCAGAACAGGTCCTGTTTTGGTCAGCAAGGTTGTGACCAGTAAACAAGTCCTGCTGGACCTCAAAACCAATAAAGCCAAAGACCCCAAACTCTGTTGAGTGTGACTCACTCTTTGGAGTACATGACACTCCCACCGGTGAGTGTGTACTTTCACTTTGCAATAAAAGCCTCTTTATTTTTGCTTTGATTCATCCTTGAATTTCTTCCTGTGCCAGTGCCAAGAACCTGGGCAAGAAGCTGGGGTGAAGTGTCACCAGCGTTCGGAGACCCATCAGGCCCACCAGCATCATAGGGACCTCTGTTGAGCCCTGTGTTCAGTGCACTGGAGGCCTGGTGGTTGTCCCTGCATCGTGTGGCCTTGGTTAAGTTCTTTGTTAAAAGACTCCTCTTCCGCAGCTGAGTGACCCTGGTTTCATGGCCCCCTTCCCATTACAGCTGCCATCACGGTTCATGGGTGATCCACCGACTGTGAGGGCTCAGTCACCATAATGATCTGCTAAGCCAAATCCGTCATTCTATGGCTGTAGACAGAGAAACAGATGCCAAGAATAGGCAACTCAAACTCACAGAGCAAGTCAGTAACAGAAGATGCACTAGGCACTGTTTTAAACCCAAGAAACAAGACATAGGATCTCTCTCTCTTCTTTTTTTTTTTTTTTTTTTTTTTTTTTTTTTTTAGTAATTCCAGCATTGGTTTTATTCTTAGACCTTTGATGGTCACTGGAAATGGGAGCAAACAGGGGTTACCTGGACGTGGGTAATTCTCAAAACAACTCATTCAGAAAACCTTGTTCAGTACACTGCTGGCACTCACTTTCATTACCTGGCTGCTGTCTTTAGGAAGATGTACTGCAGGAAGAAACGTGCTGAGCACCAAAATTTGTCATGAAACGCATGCTTTATTGTCTCATCTTTCTATGCCAGGTAACCCCCAAATGGATGCCATGAAATGAACACTGCCTCTTCCTCCTTCCTATGTGGGTGGTGTTGGAACATTGAGGGAGGAGAACCCTGTGAGCTGCTGGGGGTGTGACCTTTCAATCTGGCCTTTACACCCTGCCTTTCTGACTCCCTATGTTTAACCCCTCCGGTCACAATTTCCTAATCCATAAAATGTGTGGGTCAGGCTCCTCCCACTGCTACAACTTTCTAAGTGGTGGTATTGCACTGTGCCAAATAAATGGAATAAATCAACATTCGCTCTTAAGACACGAGACCTCTACTCTCTGTGGTTCCTTACAGGAGAAGTTTAAATGTTCATGTTAAGAACAAAGTCCAAAGAGGAGCTAAATGCTAGCTTCTTATAAATGGCCCTGCAACACCGGGAGCAGAATTTAAGGCAAGAGTGTGGAGCCATGTTTACTTCTCCACAGCCAGTTGTTTTAACAAGCTTCAGGTCTGAGTAGAGAAAAGGCAAAGCCCAAATTTGGCTACATTTCTTTGGCAGACATTATGAGGTAAACAGTCTTCTAATTTATAGCAGCCCATTACTCAACACCTTGAGTTCATTGTAACAAAGTGCTGGGATGGAAATACAATGCCCTGCCCTCTCTCCCTCTACCCCTACTCACTTCCTCCATCTGCTTATAATATTCGCTTCTAAGCACATAAAACCCATTAATGTCTCTAGGAGTTGGCTTGTTTTTTAATCAAGATAAATATGGACAACTTCAGAACAATTAAAAAGGTACTGGGTAAAAATGACTTCAGTATATAAAATTCATTAATAGTGTATTATAGGCAGAGCCAATCTGTACAGCTATCATATTCTTCAATGACCCACTCTATAAATGCTGGCTTTAGTGTTTTTCTAATGTTGTTAATTTATCTATGGCTGTCACTCAGGGGCTGTTAACTTTGAACAAATGAGTGGTATTAATCACTAAGGGCCATTGGATGCCAAAGCCTGGTGTTAAATCAGCCCAGGAGTGGCACGTGTAAGCATCTTCAAAGTAAATTTTAAAAACTGCTCTAGCAATTGAAGTTTGTCATTGCAATGGGATTTGATGCTTTGGGTGTTGTAAACATGAGGGAACCCGGAACAGGCTGGAGAGGTCAATGTTGACGTGAGCCAGGACTGGAAAAGGGGCAGAGCTGAGAACATTGTCTCATGCCTGGTACTTGCTGTCTATGGGATACTCACTATTGACAGTCGACTCAATATGATGTGATGATGGATTCTGCAGTGAAAATTCCCATGAAGAATGGAGGAAGCTCAGAGGTGTGGCAGGCCAGGCAGGTGATAGGAATAGGTGTATTAGAGCAGGTGTGCCTCTGAGTGCCAGGGAGGCTGGTGGATTGTGGAGCTCTGACTATCTCGTAGCCTAAGGGGCACAGCCATACTCACACCCAGCAGGCTGTTACCACGGAGTGTGAGCTCGATGGTACAAGTGGGAGCCTGAAATCCATTATTTCTGTATGAAAGTTCTCAATTTTGGAAAAGCTGGCTGGCTTCAATCTGAGAAAAAAGAACACCATGTGGGCTTTATGAAACTTGTTTGGGGACAATAACTGGTCCAACTTGTGACCTCCAACATCTCTTGCTTAGGGTCCCGGAAGAGTAGATGTTGACTCAGGAGGACATTTTTTTCTGACTGCTTACTGAGAGATGTTGTAAAGAGGGGGATAACGGGCTGTCTTAGCTGTCTTATGTGGGATACATATTTTCTAAGAGCCAGTTCAGATGAATGAGTGAGTGCAAAATTTGATTCTCTAATTCCCAGGTTTAGAAACTCAATATTACCAATTTACTCAAGAGCTAGTGTAGCCAAACTCCACCCACACACGTATACACACTCTTCCACACACACACCAATATGATATTTGCTGCTGTAGTTCTAGGATCCTTTTCCCTCCACTGTGATTGCAATTTGTATAATTACAACTGAGTCAACATCGGTATCTATTAAATAACTACGCTTGGGTGAACCAAATTCAGGTAAGCATGTGAACAAATATAACTCATTGTCGAGTTCATTATAAAAAATTATGAGACAATATAAGGCTAGAAATACACAGAATTATATATTCAAAATATTATATATCTCTATGTATATCTGCAGCTTTGTATTGTCTCTTTGGAAGTGATTTATGCAAATGTGAATATATTATATACGTATGTATATTATCTAGAGATCTATTTGTAGATTTAAAATATATATGTATTTATAGCCTTATATTATCTTATTGGAATTTATGAAAATAGGAATATACTACACACATATTTACATTTTGAATTTGCACAAAGAATTTCAGAAAGAAAATACCTGTTTAAGTGTGTAGGTGTGTGTGGAAGCAGAAATGGGGTAGATGATCAGGGAGGAAGCAAGACTTTTTGTTATATATTTTAAAAATCATTTTGACTTATGAGATTTTTTAATAGTATTACCTACTCAAAAAGAATAAAATTTTCATTTTAAATAACCTAAATGTAGCAGTGAACCAAATTCAGTGAGAAGTAGGCAGTGGTTCTCAGCCCTGGCTGTACGTTAGAATCACCTGTGGAGTTTAAATCCTTATGCCTGGTGCCTTCACTACATCCCACACTAATGAAATCAAAATCTTCAGAGCGAGGACCAGGCATCGATGTTTTTTACAGTCCCTCACGTGATTCCAATGTGCCCTCAAAGTTGGGAACCACTGAATAAGACCAAATGTTAAAAAATGTTAGATACTTAAAAAAAAATTCTTACCCATAACAGTTTAATCAAACCCTGGTTTTTCTTAGCAATACTAAGTACAAAACATATTGAAACTCTTGTTGCAGGCAGAAGCCATTTATGGAAAATAGCAGTGCTCATACTTGGGAGTTCAGAGGAGCTTAGCTTCAACAACCCACGAAGTCATCAGCCTTTGATTCCCTCCTTTTACTAGTTGATGACAAAATCTGATGCCAAATTCTAAGTCATCTTCTACTCCTTTGAACATAGGTTTGAACATGGGGGAAGCTGGCTTGCTAGTTCAAGCTACTTCATGCTTCTCATAGCTAGGTCATTGGAGAGCTATGTGCACCATTTATTCCCCTTATTAATAATGTTCAACTTTTAATGAACCTAAAGATAATCTGAAGAAACAGTTATAAATGCACATTCCCTGTTGAACCTTCGGGATTCTGACTCAGTAGTTCTGGCTTGCAGATCAGGAATATAATTTTTTTTTTTTTTTTTTTTTTTTGAGATAGAGTCT
The DNA here is from genome assembly GCF_000001405.40 of Homo sapiens. Classification (NCBI taxonomy): domain Eukaryota; kingdom Metazoa; phylum Chordata; class Mammalia; order Primates; family Hominidae; genus Homo; species Homo sapiens. The sequence goes on along the minus strand of NC_000017.11, from coordinate 15,127,890 downwards.
TGCTCTGTTGCCCAGGCTGGAGTGCAGTGGCGCGATCTCGGCTCACCGCAACTCTGCCTCCCGGGTCCACGCAAATCTCCTGCCTCAGCCTCCTGAGTAGCTGGGATTACAGGCACGTGCCACCACGCCCGGCTAATTTTAGTATTTTTAGTAGAGACGGGTTTTCACCATGTTGACCAGGCTAGTGATCTGCTCACCTCGGCCTCCCAAAGTGCTGGGATTACAGATGTCAGCCACTGCGCCTGGCCAGGAATATGAATTTTTCTTTTTTTTTTTTTTTTGAGATGGAGTCTCGCTCTGTCGCCAGGCTGGAGTGCAGTGGCGCGACCTCGGCTCACTGCAACCTCTGCCTCCCGGGTTCATGCAATTCTCCTGCCTCAGCCTCCCTAGCAGCTGGGACTAGAAGCGAGCGCCACCATGCCCAGCTAATTTTTGTACTTTTAGTAGAGACGGGGTTTCACCATGTTGGCCAGAATGGTCTCCATCTCTTGACCTCGTGATCCGCCCGCCTCCGCCTCCCAAAGTGCTGGGATTACAGGCGTGAGCCACTGCGCCCGGCCAGGAATATGAATTTTTAAGTTCCTTCAGGTGAGTCTGATACAGGTGGTCCAAGGATCAAATCCAACTATCAGAAGGCAGTGGTGTGCTGGAACTTGTTCATACTGGCTTCTGAGAGTCAATTCTCACACATGCAGGAATTTTGTGAGCCAGTGGTTATCCTATGGGTAGCTTTAAATTAGCTACCCATGTGTTAGAGGAAGTATTTACACCATGGAAATTAGTAAAGGCTAAGACTCAGGGTGTGTGTTTGTTTGTTTCTGGAGAGCAGTATTACCAACATATTAGTAGCACTAAATCATATTATTTTGGTTTTGGGCTTAATTGCTTTTAGTTTTAGCTTTTTGGGGTAGCTTTTTATTTTGAAATAGTTATGAATCCACAGGAAGTCACAAAAATATTAGAGTCCGATGATCCCTTCACCCAGATTTCCTCAATGGTGACATCTCTTATGGCTGTTAATACAATATCAAAACCAGGAAGTTAACATTGGTACAGTATTGTCAATTAGATTAAAAATCTTATTCAATTTTCACTAGTTTTTGCCTGGGCTCGAGTGTGTGTAGAACTGTTTCATCCCCACAAAGGGATTACCTTATGCTATCTGTTTATAGCCACACCCACCTCTCTACCTCTGTCCCTGCCTTTGTCCCTTGGTAAAGGAACACACACATCTGCTCTCTACAATTTTATCCTTTTGGTAATGTTATATACATGGAATCATATAGAATATAATTTTGGATACATTTTCCCCTAAGCATGATGTCCTTAAGATCCAACCCAGTTGTGTATATAAATAGTTCCTTTCTTGGCTGAGTAGTATTCTCTTATACAAATATACTGGAGTTGATTTTGTCATTCACCTAGTGAGGGACATTTAGGTTATTTCTAGTTTTTGTCTACTATGAATAAAGCTATGGTGAATATTTGTGTACAAGTTCTTGTGTGAACATAACTTTCCATATCTCTGAGATAAATGCCCAGAAGTATGAGTGCTGGGTTGTATGTTAAGTGCATATTTACTTTGATAAGAAACTGTCAAACTGTTTTCCATAATGGCCGTACCATTTTTGCATTCTCGCCATCAGTGTGTGAGAGATAGTTTTTCCCTGTCCTCACCAGCATTGGGTGTAATCACTGTTTTTTTTTTTTTTTTTACTTTAGCTCTTCTAATAGATGTGTGCTGGTATGGTGTGTTAGGCCATTCTTGTGTTCCTATAAAGAAATACCTGAGAGTGAGTAATTTATAGAGAAAAGAGGTTTACTTGGCTCATAGTTCTGAAGGCTGTGCAAGAAGCATGGGGCCGGCATTTGCTTGGCTTCAGGAGACTCCTCAGGGAGCTTTGACTCCTGGTGGAAGGTAAAGGGGAGAAGGTGCGTCATGTTGCCAGGGCAGGAGCAAGAGAGAGAGTGGGGTTGGGAGGTGCCACACACTTAAACAACAAGATCTCCTGAGAATTCACTCAGCACCAAGCTATGACAGATATGTCCCCATGACCCAAAGCCTCCCACCAGGCCCCAACTCCAACACTGGGGATTACATTTCCACGTGAGATTTGGCAGGAACATATATTGAAGCTATATCATACAATATCACGGTTTTTTTTTTAGGCGGAGTCTTGCTCTGTCTCCCAGGCTGGAGTGCAGTGGCGCGATCTCGGCTCACTGCAAGCTCCGCCTCCCGGGTTCGCGCCATTCTCCTGCATCAGCCTCGCGAGTAGCTGAGACTACAGGCGCCCACCACCACGCCCGGCTAATTTTTTGTATTTTTAGTAGAGACGGGGTTTCATCGTGTTAGCCAGGATGGTCTCGATCTCCTGACCTCGTGATCCGCCCGCCTCGGCCTCCCAAAGTGCTGGGATTACAGGCCTGAGCCACCGCGCCCGGCCAATATCACGGTTTTAATTTGCATTTCCTTACTGGTTTTTATGGTTGAACATCATTTTATGTGCTTATTTGCTTTCTATATCTCCTCTTTGGTGAATATCTATTCATATTTTTTGCCTATTTTCTAACTGGATTTCTTTTTACCGTTGAGTTTTAAGGATTCTTTATATATTCTAGATACTAGTTTTTTTTGTTTTAATGTTGGATACACTGTTTCAAGTATTTTCCCCCACATTGCAGCCTGTCTTTCATCCTCTTAACAGGATCTTTCATAGAGTAAAAGTTTTAAATTTTGATGAAGTCCAATTCACCCAATTTTTCTTGTATGAATTGTGCTTCTGGTGTCATGTCTAAGAACTCTTTGCCTTAGGTTTAGTTTTATTATATCTTCTGTCATTTAGAAAATTGCTGTAAAAATCAGACATATTCACTTACTACATTTGTTGTAAAAAGCTCTGCCGATAGATGGCCTGTTTTATTACTCAAGATCTCCTGTATGACATTCCAGGAGAAGGATGACTTTTAGAACAGTGTTTCTCAAACTTCAATGTGCATATGAATCATATTCTTAAAATGCAGATTTATATTCAATAGGTCTGGAGTTGGCTTCAGATTTTTCATATCTAACTAGCTTTCCCTGGATGCTAAAGCTGATAGTCCAAGGACCACATTTTGAGCAACCAAGTTTTAGAGTTCAGTACTCCTCTGTCTGATATATCTGATCACAGGAACTAAAAAACAAATCGTGTCTTTACTTCCCCCAGGAAAAAGAAGACCTAGATTCGAAGCCATCACTATAATACATGGATTGACTTATGCTTGGCATTTTTGTGTTCTTATTTACCTTGGTTCTAGTTCTCTACTTTTATTTCTAAATTTTATTTCCATAAATGTATTCTTGTAAATTTCCTCAAATCTTTTCTAGAGCAAGGTACACTCTAAAAAAAATAAACCATCAAGTTTGAAAGGGAGGTTTTCTTTGTCCTGTGGACTCAGCGTACATGCTGGGATGGTATGTTTCCATTCAGGAAGTGGTTTCTTCCACGTGTGTTTTTGATTATGTTTCTGTCAATGTCTTTTTAAGTCATTTTGTACATCTGTGAATGTTCTGCTTCATCAAACTAGGTGATAAGTTTTCTGGGACAGGGACTGTGTCTTTAATTTCTTTTACAATCTCTTACTGATCCCAGAACACTAGTTGGCACATGGGTAGTGCTGGTGGTGGTGGACAGTGGGGAAACAGGGTTGAATACGGCTCTCTAGGAAACACATGATGTTGACAAGGCAGCACATGTTCCTATGAGCTTGCAGGACTTGACTCTGACCAGCTGTGCTCTACAGTTGCCTCAAAGCTGCTTGCTTGGAATGATTAGAATTGCTAGCTCAAAAGACTAGTCCTCAAGGGCTCTGTGGGCACAAGAGCAGGCGATTACATTCGAAGCCCTTTGAGGGGAAATCTTTAACACCCAGGAGGTTTTCAGGACAGACATTCATCTTTGAGACTCTTCCACCCATAGAGGCAGGAATTGTGGGGTTAGTGTAGCCAGAAGGAAATGAGTGAATGATGTGTTTCTGGATTGCAGGGAACTTGACACCACAGCCAACACAGTGGCCAGATGCCTCAAGGAGACAGGGATATGGCATCCTATAGCCATGGATTCCTAGGGGATGAGGTCAATCTGTGTTGGAGCTGCCATCCCAGAGGTCAGCATGCTGGCTTCCAACTCTGCTGAGCCTGCATCCCGGTATGCATGAGCTGGCCAGGAAGAGGCTTGTCCCACCCTTAAACTAAGTGCAAAATTTTCTCGGGATTTACACTCCTTATCTTGTCTTCCCCTCTTTCCATTCTCATTGCCCTGCCTTCTGGACCAATGCATTTGTTCTCTTACTGGTCCCTTCATCTCCAATGTCACATCATCCCAACACATTCTCCAAACTGCTGGCGGGTGATGGACCCAAAGGACAAGTCTGGCCCTGTCAAATGCTTTAAGTTCTTTAGAGATCCTATGATGAGATCTACACTCCTTAGCTTGACTTACAAGGCCTTTTGGCATTAGGCTCAGCCCTTATGCCTACCTTCCTCTCTTTCTGTCTCATCTTTCTCATACACCCTTTTCTCCAGACCTACTGAGCTGATCATCCGAAGATGTACTAAGCTTTTTCCTCTTCATCCTCCCATAGGTCCTGTCCTTGGTCTAGAATGTCCTTTCCTCCTTGATTTCCTAGGTGACTCGTTATTATTTTTAACTGTAAACCTAAAATAGATGTCACCAGTTAGCCCAGATGAGGGGCACACTGTGCTTCCTCAGCATCCTACGTCAGCCTGGATCTTGGCACCAATCCCACTGTTTTATAGTCTGAGAACTTCTTGGTCTGCACGAGTGACCAGAGTCTATTATTATGCCTTATGCATGCAATCTAACTATGCACAGGGTTTGTATCCTGGGATGTCTCAAACAATAGTAAAATAAATCATTGCCATCTGAGTTGCTGGCTGAGTATGCAATGTCTGAGTTTGCAATGATTCAAGTGAGCCACTACAAAGAAGGGATGCTACAAAGAAATGAAGGACAAGGCTTGAGGATCGTCTTCTTTACTTCCATGGATGTGAATAGGGATTAGATAGAAAACCAAACAAAACAGAACACAGGCAGCCTCTCCAGCAAGGTCTTCTCTGAAAGTACTTGTCGCTCAGTTTATCAAGAAAAAAGTGCTGCTTTTGTATCTCAGATATCTGACATCTGAGTTGGCTTGGTCTTGGATTCCTAGAGGGTGGCTACACTGAGGGACAGAGATATTACTGCAAAATTCTTCTTTCTAGAACAACCGTGGTGATGGTTACCATTAGGTCCTCTACAGCCTTACTCCTTACAATAATACTCATTCCATCACTTTAGGAATGACAGCAGAGGGGTGTTATGAATTTCAAGGATGGGCTGAGGCTAACAGGAAAGGTGAGACCAGCGGTGAGCTGAGGATCTGTTTTGTTTTGATGGTTTGTTTTCCGGATTGATCAAACTCAGGCTTCAAAACAGCTGTGCTCAAGAGGCTGAATCAAAATATCAACCATGGCTCTTGTCATCCCTTCTCTCCAGATGATCCAGTTGCATGCTGATGTACAGAACCAGCACTGCAGTGCAGAGCGGATCTCCCAAACTGTAGCACCATAGTGATGTGAGAAACTGGGGCTTTCAAGCAGGAAGGAAGGGATGACTGTCCGATGTGCCCTACCTTCGGTGCTGTCCTTCCTCCAGAGAAATGAGGAGTCCTACTCATTGAATGGGTGTTTCTCTAAGCACGTCACTGGGGTTTTAGGCAGGAAAAGTTTCAAGTCTATTATTAATAATGATAAGATTTGCATGTATCGCTCCTTGGCAAAGTGACAGATGTAGACCAGAACTTTAAATTACCTACAGAGGTTTGAGACTGTGCCAATCAGTTAGGTTTCTGGAAAAACTGGCTTTGAAAGCCTACAGGGTCATGCTTCAAACATTAATGTTTTACATGTTTTCTCCTCTCCCCTTTCACCATATTCTAATCAACCAGTTCGAATGGCCAAGACAAAACGTGGACTTTGATTTCTGTCAGTCAAGTAGTGCATTCCTTTTTTCTTTTTTTTTTTTTAAAGGGGGAAAACTTCTAATTATTTAGCCATATATGTACTCTCTGTCTTCCATAGTCATCTGTTTCCCTCTAGCTCCTTAGACAGGCTCCTTACAGCCCAATGTTAATGGGATCAAGGTTGCTGGCTCACTCCCCAGTTAGCTCACATGGATGAAAACTGTTTTGTGACCACTGCCTGAGCTCTTAATCCTGGTCAAGAGCTTTGTGACCTAATCCCAGAAAGAAACTCAGCCCTGCACCCTTAATTGTGCAATGCACATATGCTTCAAGTTCACTACGGCAGAAAAAATGCATGATTTCCTCATAATCTATGTCTTCTACTTGCAAAACTCAAAGAACAATTTTTGCTAGTTATGTGCATGAAGTTCAGTGTGGCAGGAATGTCTAATTCCGTTGATTTGGGAAACTGAGGGTAACAGACACTGCATAAGAACAGTCACATGAAAATGTAAAAACTGGATGGTTTAAAAAGTCTTACCCAGTCATACTGTACAATAATACCCATTCCATCACTTTAGGGATGACAGCTGAGGGGTGTTTTGAACTTCAAGGACAGGCTAATAGGAAAGGTGAGACCAGCGGTGAGCTGAGGATCTGTTTTGATGATTTGTTTTCCGGACTGATCAAACTCAGGCTTCAAAACAGCTGTGGTCAAGAGGCTGTATCAAAATGTCAACCATGGCCCTTGTCATTCCTTCTCTCCAGATGATCCAGTTGCATGCTGATGTAGAGAACCAGCACTGCAGTGCAGAGCAGAGCTTCCCAAACTGTAGCACCGTGGACATTACCTGTAATCTCAACCAAATGCAGATTCTGATTCAGGAGGTCTGGGCGGGGTGGTGAGAGGCTGCATTTCTGGCAAGTTCCCAGTGATCCCCATCCTTCTGGTTCAGGGATCACACTTTGAGGAGTAAGGCTGTAGAGGATCTGATGGTAATAATCAAAAGCCTTATAATGGAAAAGAAGGGCCAAACTTTAGACATAGCAAAGTATACTGGCTTAACTTGCCTACTAGTTACTATAACTCCAAGTAGCTAACTGCAATTGTTCTCAATGTCTGGGAACTCAGCGTTGGAGCATTACACATTGCCTTAGGACGTATACGTCCCCAGGAAATATGCTCAATGATCTAAGTCATTGTTTTCTAAACACTATATGTGTAATGATAACCACAGAGGACCTTTGGTTGAGAAAGGCTTGAGAAATGCTGAATTCTATCAGTGCTTCTGGAGACCCACTATGCATGTTGGCAGTAATAAAGGTTTTGGGTAGTCTTGCAGTGAGAACAAACTTGTTTAACTTTGATTAGGCCATTGTTTCTCAAACTTATTTGACTACACAACTTTTTTTTTCTGAAAATAATATTATCTTCCAAAGCAACAGATTTCAGTAGACTGTGGAAATTGTGGACTTGCCTGGGTTTGCCTAAGAACATTTTATCCGGGTCCAGGCAGAGTTCCTACTCTTCACAGACCCTGCCTTGGTCCTCCCTGCCTTCGTCTATTTGCTTATGTGCTTTCTTCCCCCATGAATAAATCTGTTAAATTTCTTGATGTTGCATGTTGGATTAACTTTGTTGTAACATATGTTGGCTGTGCATAAAGATTAGCCAGGCCCTTTGAAAGGTTGCTGAATCATTCATCCAGCAGCATCCTGGTAGGGGATTAATTGTGTGCAGCTGAGGCACTGCCGGCTTCACACGCCTTTATTACAGCAAGGAAGCTGCTGAGAGGCACTTAAAAGTTCTTAGAACCAGGAAGAGCCCCTAAGTAGGAGGCTTTAGGCAGCATATTATAACTAAAAGGAGGAATCAGTCTAGGGCAATTAGAAAGGCTATTCTTAATCTATTTTTCATTAGAAAGGCAATATTAATACAGAATTAATGGGCCTCTGCTTAAAATAGTTGTAATCAGTGGAATGAGAGAATGGATTATCAGAAAACAATCAGAAGTCAATTAAGTGTATTAAAATACACTCAAACCTGGGCTGCTGCTTTTTTTTTCTTTGCTTTATATTGATATTTATGTTAAAGGAAATGGGATATTTTACTTTGTTCTGAAAGCATAATACATATTTCTATTCCTTCCATAAATCTGTGTTCCCAAGAGTTTTTATTTTATTACTTATTTGTTATTTTTAGAGACAGGGTCTCACTAGGTTGCCCAGACTGGTGTCAAACTCTGGCCTCAAGTGATTCTCCTGCCTCAGCCTCCTGAGTAGCTGGGATTACAGGTGTGTGCCACCATGCCCAGCCCAGAGTTTTTATTAACTTCCGGAGTGCAAACCTCTGTAATGACTTTACCAATGTGAGAAAATGCATAGGAGCCCCTTGTGGCTGTGATTAAGAAGGAGGGTAGAGTGTGTTCTTGCTCCACTCTTCCAATACTGACAGCAACATAAGACATTGTCTTACAGTCTTCCTCCTTTTTCTCTATCTTTCCAAACCTTACCCGTTCCTCAAAGACCCCATCCAGTCCTGACCCTTACAGGAAGGTATCCGGGACAAGTCCTGGCTCTCCCTGCAGTGATCTCTAGTCAAATGTCTTGCAACACGCAGGAGAACAATTTCAAAATATGTCAGATTTGTTCACCTTTCCTTCCTTCATTGACTGGAAGTTTTTCAAGGGAGAGAGCTTATCTTTCTTATCTTTAAATTGCACAGATAAAACCGTGGAAACTTTCTTTCAATTCCCCTGCCAATAGTTTTGGATATTTATTTTAACACATGTGGGATCATGGTATATATATTGTTCTTCAATTTGCATCCTTACTTTGCAAGACATCATAAAGATACATCCATGTAATAGATGGATTCTTTCTTTTAAACCACTACATAAATTCCATTGTATGGGTATCTCAGTTATTATTTAAAAAAATACCTTTTCTACTGAATAGCATTTAAGCTGTTATGAATTCTGTCTTTGGCTTCTTTTGTGCTCCCTACAGAGGTAGTTCTGTTCATGGTACTGCCACATGTTGGCTGGCTGCTTCCCATAAAGTTTTGGTCCAGCTCTGTGTTCTACTAAAACAAACCATGAAGCTGGTTAATAACAGTAACTGGTTAACAATGAGTTAACCCATCGAGTGGCCTTTGGAGGACTAGACTGGTTAAATGATGATGACCGTGATGATGATGATGATGATTCCTTGAGCACTATCTCCTCCTCTATGTCTTTGGCGTTAGGAAGAGTGGATAAAAAAGACACATCTCCACCTGGAGAGGAAGCGAGAAGCAAGGTGAGGGACTGCAGTTTGTTGGGTTCTCCTGTGGTCTCACATACAGAGTTATAGAATATCTCCCTGGGTTACATCTTAGAAGAGTAGAAGGTGGTCAGTTCCTTTTGGCACAACCAGGCATGAGCATAATTCATGAGAACAGGGGCAAAGAGTTCACAAATTCAAAAGAGAAGAGGCAACATAGCCCTGGAATTCTGGTTCTGCCAGAGCAAGGGCTACCAGTGGGTATGAGTGGCCTGGGAGGTCCTGCCACTGCAGGGTGCACAGCCTGGTCCTCGCTGCTGTCTCTGTGCTATTGTGTAGCAGCTACCAAGCTCATCCAAAAGATGACTGGAACAAGATGAAACCTTTTCTGTAAAACAGTAAACGCCATGTGTGGGTTAGAGAGGCACTCACACTGCCTCTCTAATGAACCAGGGAAGAGAAGGCAGAGGAAGTAGGGAGGGGCTCGATGGATGAACGGCCAACAATAGAGTGCAGACATGGCTGCTCTATCATCCCTGAGGTATGACAGAGGCCGACTGTGCTTGGTGGGGCCAATGTCAGCAAAAATTTAACACATGTCACTTTGTGTGCTAAGGTGTTAAGGAGGGCTGGACTAGAAGGAAATTATGCCAAGGTGTCCTTTAAATAGTTTGCCTTGTTGATAGTTTATGTCTTCCTCCAGCAAAGTATTAATGTGCAGTGATGTGCCTTACTATGCAGATTTCAAAAGTTCAGTGGTGTCCCAAACAATAGATTTTCTCAAAATAGGAAACTTCAGAATTTTGAAGTGGCCAGTGGCAATGACTTTGTGGGCTGGCACTGCCTAAAGCACCAATTCAAAAAAAATCACCTAGATTGCACACACACACACACACACACACACACACACCCCAGCCCATGACTCGTTGCTGTGGATGATTTTTAAACAAACTCTTATAATAACCTCCAAGTGCTGCCAAGCTGGTGTCCTTCCTGTTGGCATTAAATACCCCCAAAGTTACTTCCTATCATCCTCAACTTTCTTCCTATTTACTGTTAACTTCTCAATGAACAGCCTAGGGTTAAACAGAAATACAATGAATATACTTTAAATAATGGGATTTTCATGTAAATGCTTCTGGGATAATGGCCCCCAGTATGCCCCTGGGAACAAATTAAACTGCAAAGGTTTGCATCAGTGATTTGGATTTCCTGCTGAATTTGCTTTGAAAGAGCAAATACGTGTGGAATGAAACTGCTTTGTAGATTTTTCTCTTTATACAAGTCCTCCCTCTGCCTTAATCACCTGGATTGACTCCTTGAAAACACAAATGGATGTAGTTCACTGAAGAGCATTTCCGAAACATGTGCCTTTTCCTGTGATGATGTATAATTAATTACCTCTGGGCAAGACAAACAAGTCAAGGTAGCTTTTAAAGACTCCACCAGTCTTTCTTCTTCTTTTCCTGTCTTGTTCTTGTCAGAAGAATCAGCTGCTCACCTCTGATTTTCTCTGTTCCAGGTCTAATGGGACCATGTACGCTCATAAGAGGCTCCTTCAAAACACTGTTCTCTCCCCTGAGTGCCAAGGCCAAGTCCACAGGACAGAAAACACATGGATGAAAAAAATACAATGATCTGAATCAGCACACACAAAAATCTCTGCAACTCCCAACCTCTTTCAATTTCCTTCCTGCTTCTTCCAGCTTTTCCTCATCACCAAGCCTTTCATGCCACAACCCTTTAGTTGTCCTGCACCTACCTGGCCATGACACCTTCTGCCAGGAAACAGCCACTCTTGCATATGTGCATTTCAGTGGAGATTCTCAAGGTGCACCTGCAGGTGAAATCATCTTTCTTACTGAGCCAAGAAAAGTTTTATTCTCCAATAAAGGGACTAAAAGCATTAATGAGTAGATTGGGAAGTATTAGAGGAAGGAATGATGGCAGCTTCACTTTGTTTACTCATAAATAACTGCCTGGCATTGGCATTCTAGACATAAGTATATTTCTATAATTAGTGGCTGTGAGTTGAATTGTGTTCTCCAGGAAGATGTTGGATTTTTCTCGGCCCCTTTGCCGGGCATGCAGCAAGGGCCACCCCACCTATTTGGCCTGCTGGGATGCATCTGGCTTGTGCTCTGGCCTGCAGCTCCCATGGCTGCCACAACTGTGTGCTCAGCCCCCGCGTTTGGTGGGTCTTGTCCCATATCCAAGAAGAATGAGGTCACACTGAAAATTGAAGGGTTATGAGAGCAGAGAATTTTATTGAGTGAGGAAACAGCTCTCAGCAGAGAGGGGATGGGAAGGTCGAGTTGTCTCTCAGTGTGGCTGAGTCCAGGGTTTTTATGGGCTCAGAATAGGGAGGGCATGCTGATTGGTTCATGAGTATGCAAAGAAAGGCTAAAGCAAAAACACCACTCAAAGGTGAGCACAGCAGTGTAGAAAAACGGACTAGGAAAGGGTAGGTATATATAAAATAGGTGAAGGAGAATAAGAGGAAAGTGCAACAAATGGAAAGACAGGTTCTCAATCCAGTCCATGGATTTGACTTGCAGCTTGGCTTTCAGGCTTTAAACTGTCTTTGGCTTGGAGGTGGGGTTTCACCAGGGACACTCCCCTATCTGCCTAGCCATTTGTCTGCTTTGCACCGCTGTCAAAGTGTTAACCCAAGTATCTGTGGATGTGACCTTTTTTGGAAATAGGATCTTTGCAGATGATCAAATTAAGATGAGGTCATTAGAATTTAACCATCACATTGTATACATAAAACATTGTGTTATGGGTTAGGCATGGTGGCTCATGCCTGTAATCCCAGCACTTTGGGAGACCGAGGTGGGCAGATCACCTGAGGTTTGGAGTTCAAGACCAACCTGACCAACATAGAGAAACCCCATCTCTACTAAAAATGCAAAATTAGCTGGGCATGGTGGTACATGGCTGTAATCCCAGCTACTTGGGAGGCTGACGCAGGAGAATTGCTTGAACCTGGGAGGTGGAGGTTGCCGTGAGCCAAGATCACACCATGCACTCCAGCCTGGGCAATAAGAGGGAAACTCTGTCTCAAAAAGAAAACAAAACAAAACAACAACAACAAAAAACAACCAAACCAGAAAAAATTGTGTTGTGCACTGTAAATATACATTTTTTGTTTGTCAATTATACCTCCATAAAAAGAAAGATGAGGTCATTAGGGTGGGACCTAATTCAATATGACAGGTGTTCTGATGAAAGGTGAAATTTGGACACAGAGACAGACAAGTACACAAGAAGAACACCACGTGAAGACAGAGGTGGAGGCTTGGGGGTTGTGCATACAATCTAAGGGGCACCCAAATCACTAGTGAACCACCGGGAGCTGGGAGAGAGGCGTGGGGCAGCTTCCCCCTCATGGCCTCAGAAGGAACCAACCTTGCTGACACCTTGATCTTGAACCTTCAGCCTCCAGAACTGTGAGGCATTAAATTTCTGTCGTTCTAAGTTGCCCAGGTTGTAGCTTATAACATCCCTAATAATACAATAAATTTTTCAGGAAGGGGCAAAATATTGACCTTTGTAGAGTGGATTCGTTTTGTTAGGCCATAACAAAATACCATAGACTCAGTGGCTGAAACGACAGAAATTTATTCTCTCATAGTTCTGGCAAAGTGCAAGATCAAGATGTGGACATATTTGGTTTCTCCTGAGACTATGAGCCTCTCTCCTTGGCTTGGGAATGGCCACCCTCTTGCTCTCTCCTCACACCGTTGAGCCCTAGCGTCTGTTCCCCTAAGGACACCAGTCATATTGGATCAGGGCCTCACTACAACAGCCTCACTTAATCACCTCTTTTAAGACCTTCTCTCCAAATACAACTACATTCTAAGGAAGTGGGTTGGGATTTCATTATATAAATTTTGGGGGGATGCAAGTCAGCCTGTAACAGAGAGGAAAGGAGTGGGGCTATGGCACGTGAAGCACCTAGGTATGGAGAGTCAGGGCATTTGAGAAGAGAGGACACAGAACATCTATCTGAACAAGTGATCAGATAATTCCCAAGGCCCAATGCTTCAGGCCTGAAACATAATGTGCACTAAGACAACATCAGGAACTCAGGTTGCCTCTCCTATTGCAGCCTCACATTACCGAGTAGCCACACACCTGGACTCTGCCAGACTTCAGGTTGTCTCTGGATCTGGCACTGCAGAGGTGGACTGGCCATGCTTGAGGCCCCAGGACAACCTGCTCTCATGGCACCAGGCTGAGAAAAGTGGCTCCAAGCCCTGGACTTCCTGCTAAACAATCTTCCTATGGTCGCTCCAACTGGTCAAGGTTGTCGCCTGGTGCACAGAGTGTCCTATTGGGTCTGGTGCCAGCTCTGTTTAATTCTCCTTGTGTAAGGCAGGCTAAAGACTCAAATGAGGGGAAAGAAGCAAGATGGGGAAAGGGAGGGAGAGCCAGAAAGTGAGGAGGGCTAGGAAAGGAGCTATTGCTCCACAAGAACCAGCCTTGCACACACCAAGTCAGATGCTGAGGCATAGATAGGGGTTATCTGTGCTTACCTCTTCTTGACAACTTCAGAGAACAAAATTGAGCACATTATTTAAAAATTGCTAGGCTTCCTGAAATTGAGATGGATGTTAAAGGGGGGTTCGGGGGGTCAGAGAACTGTCTGAGAATTGCTGTCCTAGGTGAACAAAATTAAATATTGGTTGGTAGGCCAGACGTGAAGGAAGCTGTGCAAACAGACCAGCCTCTACCTCCCCAGCCTCCTCATCTCTTCCCTGTGTCTCTGTTTGATTTGGGACTTATAATAGGATAATGGAATCTAAAAGCATTTTTCTTTCCTGGTAAGATCTAAACAGTAGCCACCATAATATATTAGGCCAGAGTACATATGCTGTGTTAAGATAAAGGGGAAATGATGTATTTTTAAAGAGCTCTTATTTAGTTCTAACTTAAAAGCAACCGTGTAAATTTCTTTCAAGTAATGTTTCCTTAATTATTCATTTTCCTTGGCACTAGTTAAAGAGTCCAGTAATGACTTCTGTCTCTTTATATTTAGTCTATTATTGTTTGAAAAAGGCCAGAGGAAGGCCAGAGCAGTGCAAAAATGATATTTGCCTTTTTTTTTTTATTACCAACAGCCAATGTAAAGGGTAATATAATCACCGGCAGCTGAGAGACAATGACATTTTTATAGACCTTCTGGCAATGCTGCAGTGTGAAAGAGCCTGACAGGTATTTGGCTTTCCAGCTTGTTCTTTCAACTGTATTTCTCATCAGACTGACTGCTGGGCGAGCAGGCTCGAGGCAGCCCTGCGTTTCCCTCAACACAGCATTTTAAGAGCTTGAACAGCAGCTGTCTGTTTAAATCTGGCGATTTTATAGATGGGAACCAAGGACACATGCCTGCAGGGCCCCCATTCGTGCAGTCCCCTGGGGCCCTCACTGTGGCCCCGCGGAACCTCCAGTTGGATTCTCAAATTCCTTACAAACTTCAAAGTCTGGGAGAACATGACTGTCGCACTGAGACACACATGGCTCATTATAATTTAGAATTTTCTCTTTGATTGTGGTCTTCCTGCGAGATCATCGGAACGCTGATTCATGCATAAGAATCCACTGTTGTTCCCTCTTTCCTAAGGAGGACTTAGCATGAGGCTGCTTTCTCTGCACCCCATGATCTGGGTAAGCTCCTGAGTATCTTCCCAGGATTTTCCTAGGCTGTGCACTTTGAGACCCAGATGAACAGCCTCGGTGCTTAGACCTCTTCAGCCAGGGTGGAAAAACAAGCATCAGATTTCTACCTCCATTGAAATGATGCAGCTCAGATGCAGGACAACTGAGAGAGGCATGCGTTTTCTTTTTGCTCCTTTTAGCTGTGTGAAGTAGAAGGGTGCTCTCTCAAACTTCTAAGGGGATCTAACTTTTTTCCGCGGCTCCTGGAGCGGGTATAGATAAAGTATTGGGCAGATGGTCATGGATGTCTTGCTTTGAACTTGCGATCATGGAACATGAAGGACTAAAAGCTAATGGGCACAGTCAGGAGGTGAAAAGATACATTAATAAACAAATAAGTTAAAGTTAAGAATACAGGGTTTCATAAGGACTGCCTGTGTATTGCAGATTTTTTTTCCCCATTTCATTCTCTGTGTTTTTTTTTTTTTTTTTTCTTTTTGAGACAGAGTCTTTCTCTGTCACCCAGGCTGGAGTGCAGTGGCGTGATCTTGGCTCACTGCAACCTCCGCCTCCCGGGTTCAAGCAATTCTCCTGCCTCAGCCTACCAAGTAGCAGGGATTTCAGGCAGCCGCCACCACTCCTGGCTAATTTTTGTATTTTTAGTAGAGACGGGGTTTCACCATATTGGCCAGGCTGGTCTCGAACTCCTGACCTTGTGATCCGCCCACCTCAGCCTCCCAAAGTGCAGGGATTACAGGCATGAGCCACCAAGCCCGGCCTCCTATGTCTTTCTTTAACCATTGGCTGGATCCTGTGGGCATTGAGGCTGTTGTGCCTTTGGTGAACTAAAAACCTTTTGACTTTATGTGAGGAGTGAGAAAACTTTCCTCTTTATCCTGTCCTAAGCATTCGGGAAGGATTTCCTTCCCACTCCCCTCCTGCTACAGTGATGGCTCCTCTTGAAGCTGGACGGTAAAATCAGCTGAATGGAAGCTAAACTCCAGTGGGCTTGGCCAGTCTCTAGGTTAATCCTAGGTAGTGAAGACACCTTTGTTAGTATAGTCGGCTAAGATTTCTATTTACTCTTGTCCTGTGGGATTATTGAGAATTGAATTTCCAAAGCACATACGGGACCCAGAGACTCTTAAATCAGGAAAAAGCTACATGGCTCAAAACTAATTCCCTTAGTACAGAGATAAAAACAAACAAACAAAAACAAAAAAATAAAACAGGCCTGAAGAGGTTAAGTGACTTGCACAAGGAGCTGGGGGCAATTAGGAGGCAGAACCAGCTAGAACTAGGAGCCTGGTCCTTCTCAGACCTTTCTGCATGCTTCCCAACGTCCCGCCCCACCTCCTTCCTTAAGCTAAAGGGTCTGTATAGGACTTCATTGTTATCCCCTCCCCCTCCTTTGCACTGTCTTTGATGTTTAACTTGATTTTGGAGGGGGCAAAGAAGTTAGAAGTGATAAAGAAATTTAATTATACTTTTTTTTTATTTTTTGGAGACCGAGTCTGGCTCTGTCACCCAGGCTGGAGTGCAGTGGCGCAATCTCGGCTCATTGCGAGCTCTGCCTCCCGGGTTCACGCCATTCTCCTGCCTCAGCCTCCCATGTAGCTGGGACTACAGGCGCCCGCCACCATGCCCGGCTAATTTTTTTGTATTTTTAGTATAGACGGGGTTTCACCATGGTAGCCAGAATGGTCTCGATCTCCTGACCTCGTGATCTGCCTGCCTCGGCCTCCCAAAGTGCTGGGATTACAGGTGTGAGCCACCGCGCTCGGGCCAAAAGTAGGAGGTTCCAAAGATGCTTAATTCTTTCAACTCCAATAGCAAGTCAAACCTGGCCCAGTGTTTGCTTTTAAACTGCCAGCAAAAATATGACCGATGGAATTACTTGTCTCTGTCTTGAGATAGTTCCCAGGTGCAGAATAAGTTTTTAACTGTCCAAGAGGCACTTTGCAGTGTCATCTTTGCCTATTTCCGGTTCACAGTTTCCCCAGCTTCCTGTGAACCGAACATGTACATGTTTAGAAAGCGGTGTCTTCCTGTGTGTGAGTAAATATATCCATATAAAATTCAAGCTCTATTGTTACTGTGCAATTGGAGACACCCCAAATATTTGCTTTCTATGAATTCAGCTTTATTGGTGGTATTAAGCAAAAATAAAAATAATTTCCATATGCTCCTAGAAGGAATATAGAACATTTCTAAGCTGGTTAGTCTGTTTGCCTCAACCTCCATATCCATTTTCTGCCTTCTCTGCTGGCCTCTTTGCTCCAGGAGACCAACCCCTAAGGGTTATAGCCGTGAGGCTGTCTCGTAGACTGGTTTCCAATTGCCTTCTGCCATTGGGAAATGCCCTTAGGAGATTAGAGGGCAAGAGGAGAGAGAGGTACCATCTTTCTCCTTGCTCTTTGCTGCAGTGGGCTCTGTTTCTGGTCTGTACACCTCAGTGAACACCGTTCCTGCTGGGCCTCCCTGACATCCTCCTCGGCTCCAACTCTCACTGGGCTCCAGTAACACCAAGTTGCCTCAGGCCTGGGTATGGCTACCCGATAAAATATAGGACATCCAGTTAAATTTAAATTTCAGTTAAGCAACTAGTAATATTTTTAGTATA
This sequence comes from Homo sapiens, assembly GCF_000001405.40. Lineage (NCBI taxonomy): Eukaryota > Metazoa > Chordata > Mammalia > Primates > Hominidae > Homo > Homo sapiens. Next base: position 15,110,336 of record NC_000017.11, on the reverse strand, counting down.
AGTAAATATAAGTGCAATATTTGGGACATACTTGTACTAAAAAATTATTTGCTGTTTATCTGAAATTCAAATTTAACTGGTGTTCTGCATTTTTATTTGCATCTGGTGACCCTAGGCCAGGGGATTGCAATGGCCTCCCATGTTGCTAGTCTCTGGGCGCCTCACCATCCTTCACTGTTTCCCTTAAATGTGCCCACAGTTCTGTGTGTCATCCCTCCCCTTAAGAGAATTACAATCTGAGTTAGATGCTGTTTCCTTCTGGGGTGATGACTGACATGCTGCCAGTACATAACAGGCCAAGGGAAGCACTGGGAAGGGGTTACACTTGGGGCTACAGCTCCCAAGACACACAAAAACTTCCAGGCATCCTCTGATTGAGCCTGTAAACCTTTTGGAATCAGGATGAGGTTGAGGAGGTGGGATTAGGCTGAGGGGGTGGGGATTAGGCTGAGGGGTACTAGGTTGGGCAGAGGGGGTGGGGATTAAGCTGAGGGGTGGGGATTAGGCTGAGCGGGAGGGGAATGGGGTGAGGGTGGGGATTAGGCTGAGGGTGGGGAGATTAGGCTGAGGGGGCGGGGATTAGGCTGAGGGGTGGGGATTGGGCAGAGAGGAAGCGCAAGGTGCAGGTGTAACAGCACTCAGCTAAATTTAGGGATTGAATTGCTTCACCTCTTCCTTTTTGCCAGTCTTAGCCTTACAGCCCCACTGTATTATAAAGCAGTCATAAGAACAAAAGCTTGGTATTTTACTCATTCTTTCAACAAATATGTATAAAACCTTGCTGCAAGCCTGGTTATGGCTAAGACACTCTTCAGCCATCTAATCTGTTTCTATTTTTATATTAGTAACCTTTGATAGGTTTTCAGACAGTCCCAGATGACTGAGTGTTGGGACCCTTTGTCCTGGGTCAGGGGGATTGCAGCCTAATGTTTCAGTGCTGTGTCTCCTCCCTCACCCAGTAGGTAGTTTTAGAGCTACTAGATTCTGACAGCTTGTGTCAAGTCCCGTTTATTGCTCAGAAATCAAGAGGAAAATCCACTCTGCCAACTCCCTTGGGATTGTTCTCAGTCGAGGGTGGTAATGGTTCCTCTTTAAAATGATGCTGGAAAAAGTGGGCTTTATTCCAAATGCAGAAAATTGTGTAGGTCAGCAAAACCTGAGAGAAGAGGCAAGGAACAATATACCCATGTCAGAGGGGCTCTCTGGACCCTAACTTTTTCAACACCCCATTCTAATGTGTGTTGAGGTTTTAAGAAAATTAGTGCATCTTTTAGCCACTAAATTCATCAAACTATGGGCCTTTCCAAGAGAGAGATGCTATTTCCAAGATGTTCGTATTCTCAGGACTCAGCACAGTGCAGGCATAATGTGTGCTCCTGAATTAATCTAACGGCCTTATCACCAAGGAACTAGGCCATTGTGTGTATTAGTGGAGTCTCAGCTAGCTGACTTCTGCCTTGTAAGTGCCAAATTTTAACTTGAACCTTATTTTTACTTTTAAATCAATTTCATTGAAGTAATTGGCATGCAATAAGACACACCTCCATTAGTATAGAGTTTGGAGAATTGACAAATATATACATCTGTGCAACCACTTCCCAATCATTATATAAATCATCTCCATCAACCCCAAAATTCCTTTGTGGCCCTTTGGAGTTAACTCTCTCCACTTGACCATTTTTGATGGGAATTTGTCTAAAACACACCCCCACCACTTCATTCCCTGAGAATACCCAATGCAAGTGCCTTTACTATTGACTCTCCGAAGCCTTCATTATGAATATCGGTTTCTGTGGTATCTTAGAAGTGGGTGAAGGAATTAGGCTATTTTGCTTCTAGTAAACTTGCACTGTTTTGGCCGGGCACGGTGTCTCACGCCTGTAATCCCAGCACTTTGGGAGGCTGAGGCGGGTGGATTACGAGGTCAGGAGATCAAGACCATCCTGGCTAACACGGTGAAACCCCGTCTCTACTAAAAATACACACACACACACACACACACACACACACACACAAAATTAGCTGGGCATGGTGGCGGGCGCCTGTAGTCCCAGCTACTCGGGAGGCTGAGGCAGGAGAATGGCGTGAACCCGGGAGGCAGAGCTTGCAGTGAGCCGAGATAGCGCCATTGCACTCCAGCCTGGGCGACAGAGCGAGACTCCGCCTCAAAAAAAAAAACCCAAAAAACAAAAAACAAAAAACTTGCTCTGTTTTGCTTGGGAGGTTCTTGTTGGCTGTTGTAAAATTGTTAATCTTTTCTCTTACACATACCTGTCACTTTTATTGTACGTGTAGTCTTTTTAAAAATCAGTGTTCCTGCTTCTGACCCAACAGCATCCCTGACCCATTTTCTTTCTTTCCTTTTTTTTTTTTTTTTGAGACGGAGTTTCACTCTTGTTGCCTGGGCTGGAGTGCAATGGTGCAATCTCGGCTCACTGCAACCTCTGCCTCCCAGGTTCAAGCAATTCTCTTGCCTCAGCCTCCCGAGTACCTGGGATTACAGGCATGCACCACCATGCCTGGCTAATTTTTTGTATTTTTAGTAGAGATGGGGTTTCACCATGTTGGTCAGGCTGGTCTTGAACTCCTGACCTCGTGATCCACCCACCTCAGCCTCCCAGAGCCCTGGGATTACAGGTGTGAGCCCCCGTGCCCGACCCCCGACCCATTTTCTTATTCGCCTCTTGTAATCTACTATATGGGTCAAAACACCAGATAATCAATCTTATTAAGAATTAAAAAAATAAGTAGGGCACTCAAGAATAAATGGGTCCAGATTCAGTGCATGGACTTGGTGGCATGTGTTTGCTCAAAAGTCTTTTATCCTCCTGGCTCTGGGCTTTGGCTATGTGAAGCCTGGCCATCCTCAGTGCTCAGCTTTTCTTTGACTCAGCAGAGGAAACACAAGTCTGTCTCTTTGATTGCCTCGGGGTGCCATTTTCCACACCCACTTCTCCAGGCCAAATGAGAGTGATTTCACCCGTGCCACAGTTAGAGTTTTCAACTGCAGAACGCAGAAGCTTTCTGTTAAATTCTAGCAGTGTTTTCTTTGAGAGTTTTAGAACAACTGTTTTATAGCAACTATTCCAGTTCCACCACCTGAACTCTTTTATATACAGTAATTTTTAAAATCTCCTATGGTGTCTCTTTAAGAGCCTCTCCAGTTGGCAGCCTTTTCTCTTTGGCTTCTTACCTAGCTCTGTCCTTCTTTGTCCTGCTCTGCAGCATCACTGAGAACTGTTGTGTACGTGCGGACTGTGGGGCTCTTGGCCACACTGAATGGGCCCACAAGGGAACCCCTGGGACACCCTACATTCATTTGGAAATGGCCAAGAGGACTTAGAAAGAAAATAATTGATCCCGCCGTTTCCAAAGGATGGGGGTAAATGCGGTTGTGAATTCTTATGGCTTGGTGAGTTTTGGGTATCCTTCTTTCATGAAATAACATTCAACAGTGGTGTGCAGGCTGCAAAAGGCAGATGAACTTCAGCAACTCTTCCTCAACATGCTGTAAAGGGATAACTCTGGGTCCTAAACACTGAAGCCTGTGCGGGCCTACCTAGCCGAGGCATTCATGATGAAGGGTGACTCATCACTTCCTTGACTCTTAGGCTGTGAAGAATGAAGGTGGGTGGCTGGGCAAGTCACGGTGATCATGGCATTTTGCACTGATTGTGGAGCCTGTTGCTATACAGTGGAGGGGCATTTGTAGGTGGTTTTGAAAAGTAGAAGTCCAGAGAGTGAGTAAAGAGGGAAAAATCAACAGAACTGGGAAAGATGACACATATAAAACCTGAATTTAGTTTAAAAAAACTTTTAAAGTTACTTCTAACAGATAAATTGATCTTGTTTTAGATCATTTTATATAGAAGGTAAATAGTACAATTTTAATCTGAAATGCAAGATAAAGATGAATTGTTTTCCAACAGTTTGTATAATTTTCATGCAAAAAATGAAGGATACAGTAACTCCTTTGTAATGGATAATTTCTGGATGGTTTCTCATTTATGGACTGAATGTATACTCTTCCTCCTGCTCCCACGCAAACTCATATGTTGAAATCCTAACCCTCAATATAATGGTATTGTGATGTGGGGCCTTTGGGAGGTGATTAGGTCATGACAGTGGAGCCCTCATAAACGGGATTAGTGCCCTCATAAAAGAGATCCTGGAGAGATCCCTCTCTCGCCCTCTTTCCACCAAGTGAGGATATAAGAAGTCAGCCATCTGGAAACTAGGGAGAGAACCCTCATGGAACCTGACCATGCCTGTACCTTAGACTGACCTTAGACTTCCAGCCCCCAGAATTGTGAGATATAAGTTTCTACTGTTTATAATCCACCCATCTGTTTTACTTTGTAATAGCAGCTTGAACTGAGATAGGTTCCATTTGCACATGATCTACCTGGGTCACCTATGGCTCGTCCTGCTTTGCTGTTCCTCCAACATTCACCGAGACCTGACTTTATATTCTGTACATATTTGCTGACTTATGTAACATCTGTTTCCCTCACTAGTGTGTAACACCCATGAAAGGAGGTGTTTTATGTGTTCATTTATGCATTCTTAGTGCCTAGGATATGCCTGGCACATATTTGTTAAATGACTGAGTGAACACCAGTGGCAATTTCTTTAAAAAAAATTGATAGCATTGAAAAAATATGGTGGCAAAAGTAATACATTTTCACAGAAGATATTCAGAAAATATAGAAACAGAAAGAAAAAATAAAAATTAACCCCAATTTCACAATGCAGACACAACAACATAAACATTTTGATGTTTATCCTTCCAGGAGTTTTTCAAAGCATTCGTTGGCCTATCTAGCAGGGACTGAGTGAGATGGTACATTGTATATTTATCAAAAGATGCTTCCAGTTTCACCTTGGCCTGGGCAACTGCAGACAGTCTTCTTGGATGATGCTTGTGACTCTTCCCGCAACACCTGAGTGGCCCCTCATGGTTGGGTACATGGGTCCCAAAGCTGAGCCTGAAGTCGATGCTGGGAACTGAGTCACCAAGGGCATGGATGCTTCCATCAAGGCAGACAAGATTTAAAAACCTAGTTTCAGTGGCACTAATGAGACCAATAGCAAACCCAACCTGGGACGTCTTAGGAGACTGGTCACAATTTCCATTTCTCTCTCTGCTCGGCGTTTTTGCACAATCATGAAGAGTTTGGAGAGCAGGAGGAGGCCTCAAAAAGGACATCCTGAGCTTCTTGATAGTGTGTCCGTTGAAGGCCTCATCACTTAATTATAAAGAAAAGTTTTGTTATTAATTTGTCTCCTAAGATTAAATGGATCATATTTATCATTAGGTGCTTTTTAAAAAATAAAATTTACTCCTATTTATTTTGATTCATTTTTTATCATTTCTAAACACTTCCGAAAATGATAAGCTTCCCTGGATGAATACTTGCTTCTCTGACCTGTATAAATTTGCAAAAGGATGAAAAGCAAATAGGAGGAAAGACTTCAAGGCCTGGTGTCTTAAGTTTGTCCCCCCATGAGGAGATAAGGATTCAAGTGCAAGGGGTTCATTTTGGAGGGGGATCTGGGAAGCACCAGGAGGGGTGGAGGAAGTGAGAATGGGCAGGAAAGGGGAGAAAGCCAATTCAGGTGTGCCCACAGCAGGCTATGTCAGAGAGCACTGGTGCTCCCTCCCATCGGGACTTCTGCCAGGGCATGTAGATGCACCTCATGCCTGATGGATGCAAAGCTGAAGCATCTGGCACTAATGCTCATTCATGATTGGTTGCAGGCTGCTTCTGTAGGGGGTCACCCCCTGGTCCTTCTAGCCCGCCCTGTGCACAGGTTGAGGACACTCCTGTGGCTGGAGAAAGCTGGATCTGAAGGTTGTAGAAACTCGCAGAAAGAAGCCATCAAAGTGACTTGGAAAGGTGAGTGCCTGCAGAGGGGCAATGGGTGGGACAGCAGCCTGGGAGATTATTGAGCCTGGCTTCACTGCTAATACAGTGCTGTTTTAATTTCCACTTGGGGCCAGGTGCGGTGGCTCTCACCTGTGATCCCAGCACATTGGGAGGCTGAGGCAGGTGGATCAACTTGAGGCCAGGAGTTCGAGACCAGCCTGCCTAACATGGTGAAACCCTGTCTCTACTAAAAATAGAAAAAATTAGCCAGGCATGGTGGTGCATACCTGTAATCCTAGCTATTTGGAGGCTGGGGCATGAAAATCGCTTAAGCTTGGGAGGTGGAGGTAGCGGTGAGCTGAGATTGTGCCACTGCACTCCAGCCTGGGTGACGGAGAAAGACTCTGTCTCCAAAAAAAAAAAAAAAAAAAAAATTCCATTTGGCCATGTTTCCTTGCTAATAATAGGCTACTTAGATGGAAGGTTACTTGATAATAGGCTACTGGATGGCCAGCTCTGTACTTGGGTCAGTCTTGCTAAAAGGCAGGATTCCCTTGAGGGGTGTGGGTGCGGAGCAAAGTATTGACAGCTAATTGTCATAATAAGGATACCTCCTTTCTGGAGGTAGGAGTCTTTAATTCATTCCTGGGCAGCATTGTCTATCTTCCCCCTTCAACCCTAAACAACTCCCTAAATATCTCCATGTCTGTTGTGGAGGTCTAAAAGGACCTCAGGCTACTGTGGGCATCTCACTGGGTGACCCTTCCCTCAACCTTAGCAAACCTCCCTTCTGGGGACCCCTTCTCTGCATTTGTCTTGGTGGCAAAAGTCTGACTGTTAGTGCTGGACTCTTGGTTTACGGTGAGAGAAGAAGGGGAAGAGAAGCATTCTGACAGCCACAGATTTAAAAAATGTATTTTGTAAGCGAAATATTTCATACTGCCTGGAGATCTTTTTTTTTTTTTTTTTTTTTCAATTGAGACAGAATCTCACTGTGTTTCCCAGGCTAGAGTGCAGTGGTGCAATCTCGGCTCACTGCAACCTCTGCCTGCCAGGTTCAAGCGATTCTCCTGCCTCAGCCTCCTGAGTAGCTGGGATTACAGGTGCTTGCCATGACACCCTGCTAATTTTTGTATTTTTAGTAGAGATGGCGTTTTGCCATGTTGGCCAGGCTGGTCTTGAACTCCTGACCTCAGGTGATCGAGCCACTTCAGCTTCCCAAAGTGCTGGGATTACAGGCATGAGCCAACACACCTGGCCAGATCATTTTTATGGTTATATTTGTTGTATTGAAAAAACCGGGCTCTTTGGATTTCTCCATTAATTTTTATACCTTTCCATTGTTTATGTCTGCAAAGAATTTTTCAAAATGTCTGCTATTATGATATTCATATACCAGAAAGTTTTTTAGGGCTTTAGGGCTATAATGATTTAAAATCTATCTATCTATCTATATCTATCTATCTATCTATCTATATCTCTATCTATATATAGATTTTTATGCTCACACACATATATAAATATAATCCAAATATATATAATTCAAGTATATTGTAATTCAAATATGCATATATATATACTTTCATCAAGAAAAATCTCTATGCACTGACATGGGGATATATCTGTAAACAATAGTTAGAGAATAGTAGGTTTGTGAACAAGAGCAACAATCCCTCCTCCCCTTCTGCCCTCACGACCCTTCCTCTGTTTAGAGAAAGGTCTGGAAGAAAGCGCACGAGACATTTAACAGTGTTTTTGTGTGAAGAGGAGACGGCTAGGTAAGGAGATTTTCACATTTTATTTTACACATTTCCCTCTTGTCTGATTCTACTTTCAAGAAGCATGAACTTTTACAATTAAAAATTTTTAAAAATCCCAAATCCTCAGCCTTTCCCCTCTTCCAGAGGTGCCATAGGAAGCCCCTCCCCTCTTATGAGAGGCGTCATAAAAAGAGGCATCCCCAGCAAAGGCTTCCCAAGATGGGCAGTGCCACTTTAAGTGGTGACCAGGGGCTAGAAGAGGTGGCCTTCTCTGTGCCTTGAAGATACTGAGCTGGGTTCTGCTGCAGCAGAAGATGGAGATGGAAGTATGCAGAAACCAGCTCTCTCCACCTGATGGGAAATAGAGCATTGCTACAGGAAGGCAGCCCCAGGGTCAGATGAGTGAGGGACACAGGGTAAATGCCAACAGGCAAGCGCCCCTAGGTGGTTGGATACTTATAGTGACCGATCCCACGGAATGGTGGGCAAAAGGATGCCGTGGGCACATTCGTTCCTATCACACTGCCCTCAGCTGCGCCCTGGTTGCCCCAACCCATCCCAGGAAAGGGAATGATCATCTGATCGGTCAGAATCCGAGGCACTCATGGAGACATACTTGTTAAGATAAAAGGACCCTGAGAATTCTTACACTTACAGATTGCGGACAAGGAATAGCCAAGGAAGGAGGCAGAGCAGGAAGCCTCAACATTTAGGTGGAAAGTGTAGAGCCTTATCTTCGAAGCAGAGTATTATATTGAATGTCTCCATTCAATTCAATTAGACAAATATTTATCAAACTGCTAATAGAAAAACACACTGCTAGTCTCCGGTACCACCGAAGTGTTTCTTGACTTTAAGGAACTTATTGTAAGATAAATGGAGAGATGGACATTTATCAGGTTGTACCATACGAAATGCCAAGATTCCACCATTTTGATCCACAAAAACTGGTTTCATATGAAACAACCTAATGTAATATGAGAAAAATGCAATTATTATTTTCACAGAGTTTTTAGCAATGGTATTTGTATACACATACTTGCTAGTGCTCAGAGTGAAACCTCATTAAGGTTGTCGCCGTGAGGGTTATCTTCTGGCACTGTCCCCATCCACGTGTTTGCGGTTTTTGTGCAATTACCTTTGCACCAACCTAATAGTGATGTTTCTTCTCCCACAGCTGGGTCTATAAGCTGTGTGGGTGAGGAGAACCAGGGATTCAGGGGCTTTGGGAGGCAGGCAGAATTCCATCCTGCGTTCCCAGAACAAACACAACCTGGAAGGTGATGCAGCACCTCTCTCTCTTGTTTTCTCTCCCCAAGGAGAGGGGATTCAGCAGGAGACCGGAAATCCCCCTAGTTCTTGAGGCTTCCTGAGCATGTGACCAGTGCAACTCTTACCAGGTGGGCTTGATTGAGGCTAGATGAATAATAATGAACTGGGCTAGATGAATAATTAACATTATTGATATTTTCATTTAGTTACTCTTTCTTAAGAATAGCTTCCCTGTGAGAACTGCATGATGAGGAGGGTGAGCAGAATGTGGGTATTCCTGATCCCTTGTCTGCTGTAGTGTCTAAAGGTCAAGTGCCACCAGCTCTTTAAGAAGACTGGGAATTTGGTAGCTTGTGGGAAGGCATAAGACTTTTGCTTAAATGTCTTAAGGGTTAAATGTGTTAATATAACTCTGACAATAAACGTGTTCTATTTTGATATTCCCAAGAGTGCTAGTAAAAAGAATATCCTAGTTGATATTCTATGTACTAATTACTTTGGAAGTTGATGTAAGATTGGGCTGATGTGGGTATTACATTGTTTCGGTATGAAGATTTTCAAAACCAGATTGTCCTCTTCTGCCTCATGAAGATATAGAAATTGAAACAAAATAAATAAGTCTAAGGATTTTTGTCAGTTGATTGATGTGCGCCTCAACTACTTATGAAACATTTGAAGTAGCTCTTAGGCACCTTGATCTTGGGGAGTTCTGATTCTGCTTGGCAGAATATCAGAATGTGTTCCTGGAACGAATACTCAAATATGTTCTAAGTTTGCAATACTCGGAACACATACTCGAATACGTTCTATGTTTGCAATATTCAAAAATAACTTTTCGATTCAAGCCTTAAATATTGGGCCTGTTTCTTTAGTAGTAAAACTGTCCACGTTTCTATTTTCCTTTGAATCACCAATGCAAGAGTATTGTCCCAGAATAAAAAAATGCTAACAACAAAACTCTTACAGTATTTTTTTCTGCTTTGTTTCTCTAACTTTCAGTGGAGATATTTAGACTCTGAAAAATAATTGCTATAATGCCAGTCATCTTACATGGAAAGTCTGACAAATGCCACTTTCTGATTTAAATGAAGTAATTTCTGAAGCATTGAAAGGAATCCCCAAGGATTCTATTCTCAGCATCTCTGCTTTCCCTTGGTTTAGTTAAGATTGTTCTCATTTCTTTTCTCCTATGAAATCTGGCTCAAAGCTCACCTCTTGCAGGCAATCTACCCTGAGTAACTTCTCCTCATTTTGATCTCTCTTATATGTTGAGCAGTCTTCCCTCAATGTTTACCTTGCATGTTTGCATTGCATCCATGAGAAAACAGTAAGTATATTTGAGAAGAGACGGTGTATGGTAAAATATAGATATATTAGAAAGTTTGCTCTTGCCATGGGATAGAGGATATGCTGATGGGGGATGTGAGTGTTGTCAGTGAACTGGGACATTGGCAATGTGTGTAACGAAGGGGAGACGGAAGAGGGACTTAGAAACAGAAGGGATGTGGAGGCAGAATTTGACAGTGAACAGTGATTAAGTGTGGGATAATGACAAGATTTTGAGCTTGTGCCACTGGGAAGATGGAGTGCTGTTAACTAAGATGGGGTGTGAAAGGAGATCAGATAGGTAGGAAACGTCTGTGTATAGGAAATAGGTACATCATGAGTTTTATTTTGTGACGTCTGCAGAGAGATGATACCTACACATCTACATATGGATGTCCTGTAAGTAATTGGAAAATTCAGCTTCGAGTTTGGGAGAGGAGTTGGAACTGAAGACATATGTGTGGGGAATGTGCCTGTGTGTTTGTTTGTTGGGGGTGGGGGGATGAACAAATTAATGGGAGTCCATGAGACCATCAGAAAACTGCCTTAAGTGAAAAGATAAAAGGACCCTGAGAATTCTTACACTTACAGGTTGTGGACAAGGAACAGCCAAGGAAGGAGGCAGAGCAGGAAGCCTCAAAATTTAGGTGGAAAGTGTAGAGCCTTATCTCAGAAGCAGAGTATTATATTGAATGTCTCTGTTCAATTCAATTAGACAAACATTTATCAAACTACTAATAGAAAAACACACTGCTAGGCTCCAGTACCACCAAGGTGTTTCTTGATTTTAAGGAACTTAGAAGATAAACAGAGAGATGGACATTTATCAGGTTGAACCATATGAAATGCCAAGATTCCACCATTTTGATCCACAAAAACTGCAGTTTCATATGAAACAAGCTAATGTAATATGAGAAAAATGCAATTATTATCTTCACAGAGTTTTCAACAATGGTATTTGTATACACAGAGGAAGTACTCAAGATGAAAAGACACATCTCAAAAGGCCTGACATACACACTGGTTTTCCTGAATGACTTTTATTTTAATAGCTCAGAACTTTAGAATCTTCTGAAACGTCAGGTTTAAAAGATTGACTGGCCTGGTTGTTACAAGATGGCACCAACACTTACTTTTCATTTATGTTTGGAGATAAGAGAAGGTTTAAGTTTTTCTCTTAATGATCCAACAAACATCCTGAGATCACCTTGTCATCCTGATTAGACCAACTGGGTTCCATGCTAACTCTAAATCATGGATAGGGAATTCCATATGTTGATGGTCTCAGGTCTGGAATCTTGTCCATCATGATCAAGAGGAGTGGTCGACCCCGCATAAACCCATAGCTGCTCCAGTGGGGAATGGATGAGGTGGAGATTGGGAAAGCAACGAGGCATGTCACTTCAGAGTTTAAGCAGCAGGGTAGCACTTCAGATTTAGAAAGATTGCTTTGCAGCATTGTGGATTTAACTGTTGAAGGTGTGTGATGTTGGAGACAGAGAGGCCAATCAGGAGGTAATTTAAGGGATCCTTGCAAGAAAAGATGAGTGTGCATGAAAATGGGGGGCAATGTGAGTCAGGTGGGCTCACTTCGTGGTGTGATGGAGCTAACAGAAATTGGGGACTACCTTGATGCGGAGAATGAGGGAGGTGGGATGGGGTAAGAATGCTTTGCCCATTTCTGATGTCGTGGTGAAAGTGGTGGTGTGGTTCATTAGGAGAAGTGGAGGGAGAAGACATTTAAGTTTTGGAGGAAAGATGACTATGTCTGTGATCTTTTCTTTTTATGTATTTTTCTTTCTTTCTTTCTTTCTTTTTTTTTTTTTTTTTGAGAGATGGAGTCTCACTCTGTCGCCCAGGCTGGAGTGCAGTGGCATGATCTTGACTCACTGCAGCCTCCCTCTCCCGGGTTCAAGAGATTTTTCCTGCCTCAGCCTCCCGAGTAGCTGGGACTACAGGTGCGCACCACCACGCCTGGCTAATTTTTGTATTTTTAGTAGAGACAAGGTTTCACCATATTGGTCAGGCTGGTCTCGAACTCCTGACCTTGTGATCTGCCCACCTCGGCCTCCCAAACTGCTGGGATTACAGGCGTGAGCCACCGTGCCTGGCCCTTTTTATGTGTTTTTCTTTTGGTTGAGATGACCTTGGAATATGATGGATAACTGGTTTTGCACCTAGAAGAGGCTGAAATGCAGGGTTGAGGTCGACAGTGTAGGGTTAAAACCATGTGTATGGTTGAGGTCTTCCTAGCTAGAGTGCAGGAAGGAGGGGGAAGAGGGGGCTGATGGGATGGAGGGGGCTATGAAGGCCGACAAAGAGCGAGCTCTGTGATTTGGGGCAATCTCTTTCAACCATTGTTTCCTTAAATGTAAAATAGGGATAATAGCAACTGTCTGAGGCTTGTTTTGCTGAGGAAAAGTCTATGAAAAGCTGGTATGTTACCTGACACGAGGGAAGCATTTGCAGGATTTCTATGCCCTGCTTAAATGAAAACGTTTCATGTAAAATGGAAAGATTCAGAATAGAGAAAATAATCAGCCAATAAGGTAAGTCGGGGCTGATGCTTTTTATTATCATGATTATAGTGCTAAGAGGGTCTCCTTGGGAAAACCAGCACAGCCACATTCCTGCCTTGTGACTTTGGACAAGGTTCTCCAAGCCTGTTTTGTCTTCCGTAAAATTGCATATAACATACCCTTTATACAGATATTGTTATGTTGAAATAAGGACATATGTAAAATTCTTAGCAGAGTTCTTGACATGATAAACAGTTATGTCATGTTTTTGAAGCAGTAAGGCCTGGAGGGATTAATGTCCCAGAAGCCCAAGGAAGAGAGGACAGTGTCAAGGCAGGGAACTTCTATAGAATGAGGACAAGGAGCCTCTACTGGTTTTGGCCACAAGGTGACTGTTGACCTGGGAAGACACGGGTTTGGATGAGTAGTTGAGGTGCAGTCTGGCTGCAGGTGGGCTGAACTACAATAAGGAGGTGAGAAAAATGGAGACATCACAGTGCTTGAGTCTCCAGGGAAAGAAAGAAGATAATAGCCAGAAGGTGTGTAGGGTAGTGAGTGTTGTTTCCCAGGTGGCTAGTTTTGGTTTTGTTTTAACACAGAAAATAGGCCCATTTCTAAGTCTCTTTGTGTGTTTCTAAGACATCCTTTCCACTTAGATTTTATAAAGGATTATTAAAAATACTGACCACCCATTACTTAGGATGAAGATCTTTTTCTTCATTTGGGTTCAAATAAGACAGGCTTGTTTGGATATAAAGACTGTCTTTTAATCAAAATAAATGGTTTGACACTGCTAGAAATACTTAGCTTTCTTTTCTTTTTCTAAATCACAATCTGTTTAAAATCAGCTTAATTAGACAAGACAGGGAAATTGCGATGTATTTGGAAACACGGACAATAAGATAAAGAGAGCCTGGATGTGTTTCATTCTCTCAGCAGTCTTTCAGTGCTATTCTGGGTGCAAAGATTTTCTGCTTAGCAGACGCATTGCTAGTTAAAATTCACATGCACACACAAATACGAAAGCCATAGAAATCTACAAGACATACCTCAATTTTCCAGTGAGGAAACTGAGGCCAGTTTCTGCAACATCATGCAATTAGTCAGTAACAGATGGGACTGTAACACTGTAAGTTTTCCTGGGTCCAAGATGAGTCCTTGTTCCATCACACTAAATTCAGGTAACTGGCATTTACCCCTGTTTCTCACCAGATCTGTGAATCCAGATGTTCAACTTTTCCTTCCCTCACCACACTTCCTTAGCATTTGGGTGTAACTTTGTTAATAAGACGTATTTACTTTATGCTATTATGATATTATCTCTCTCATTAGAGCCTGAAAGGCAGAAATCTCTCTCTCTCTCTCTCTAAATATATATATATATACATACACACACACACACACACACTATACATATATACATATGTATATATATGCACACATACATATGTGTGCGTATATGTATGTATGTATGTATTTGAATATGTATATCTCCAGTGCTCTGCACTGTCCCTGAAGAATATATTGAGTACTTGAATGAGTGGATAAGCAAATGATCTATCTGATTTATATTGACTTTTCCTTATATAATTTCCTAGAATGACATACAGGCTTTGATACTTTGATATTTCTGTGCACACATGATCCAAATAGTTGGTCCTGTTCCAGAGCCCTTCCTTCCAAAGGACAATTCCTATCACTGCAGCCTGCCCCACATCCCTTCTTACAGACATCATGGAAATACAGCCACTTCTAGTACAGATGGTAAATTTCTCTTGGAAGTGAGATTATTTTCATGAATCTCAAAGGATCTGGGATATCTCCATCGTGTATTTTTCATAGGATGTAATTTGTGGTTTTATTTTTTTTGCCACCCTAAATTAGAAGGATAACATCCAAATTTTGTCCATATTTCAGCAGATATATCATGGGGTAGTACACATTCTCTATGGCTGATCAACCCTACCACCTGCCTCATGGATTTTTGGATGCCTTTGGACCTACGGAGCATATAATCTCAGACTGGCTACTCCAGAATGGAGGATAGTGATGTCATAGAGTCCAGGGATTCGGTCTCTCAGTCCTCAGCCCTCCTTATTGTTCAAATTAGAGGAAGCTGGGCCTTTATTCAAATGAGTAGAATGTAATTTTAAAGCATTTGTCCCCCTTCTATTGATTTCTTGTCTCCCCTTTCTACCCAAACATCACTGATATCCCCATTATTCTCAACCCCTTGTCACTCCTCAAACCTGCAGTTACAGTCCAACCCCACCATTGCTTAACTCCATCAATGTTCACCAAATCCCTTTACTAAAATCTATGTTCTTCCCCAGGTTGAATAAGTAAATAAGAGTTGCCCACTGAAATGCTAGAAATTAATGAGGAAAATAAACAATTCTTAAGCCAAAAAACCATTGGCAAGCAACTCAGGTACATACTTGTAAGTTTCCCCAAACTTGAAAAGATATCCAAAGTCATGGCTGAGAAGAGGGAAAAGAGAGGGAAGCAGAGGCTATGTGGCAGGGAAAGGTCCGGTTGACTTACAGTAGTTGGGTTGCCCTCCCTGCATCCACTGAGGATCACCAAGAAGAAAGTAGAAAGACAATAAAAGACTTGTGAAGATTTTAGCAGTCGCCTTGCCTTTGGAGCATCATCTCACCTCTCTCCTGTTTTTCTTCATCCTGGAATGAGTGTTTTCTCTATAGCTATATTCGCTTTCTTTCTCTCTCTCTCTCTCAAGTCTCCAGATTTTGGATACCTCTGCACTGACATTACATGGCAAAGAAAGGGATTGCACAAGAACAAGAGCTCCTACATTGATCCTCTAGAGTCTTCTTTGCTCCTACAGGCCCCTGTGATTTGGTCTCCTAGATTTTGCTCACACCCACCCTCAGGTCTTCTACCTGGCTACCTCTCTTTAACTCTTATCATGGATAGAATGCTGTTTCCTAAGTTCTCCCTTACATTGCTGTATTAATGAGGACTCTAACATTGTACCTGATAGAAATGCACATTAGTCCAAGCCAAGCTTGTCCAATCCATAGCCTGCAGGCCACATGAATGCAGCCCAACACAAATTTGTGAACTGTCTTAAAACTTTATGAGATTTTTTGCAATATATATATATATATATATATATATTTTTTTTTTTTTTTTTTTTTTTGCTCATCAGTTATCATTAGTGTTAGTGTATTTTATGTGTGGCCCAAGACCATCCTTCTTCCAATGTGGCCCAGGGAAGCCAAAAGATCGGACACCCCTGCTCTAAGCCAAAAGGAATTGATTGGCTCACATAATTGAAAACTGTGTGAGTTAGTTTGGTTTCAGTCATGGATAGATTTGGGACTTAAATAAACCATATCATCATGTTCCCTCTCTGCCTCCCTCCCCATTTCTTGGGTCTGCTTTCATCTGCTTTGGCTTTATTCTCTTCCAAATGATCTCCATGTGATAGGGCTCCTCCAGGCTTATAAGGTTCTTAGATTTTATGCTGTCAGATTGGAAATCTTTCAGACTTCCAGAATCCATATAAATCTCTGCAAAAGGATTCTGCTTGGCCATGGTTGGGCCACGTGCCCATCTTGGAGCAGTCTCTGTATCCTGGGGAGTAGGATTTGCTGTTATCCTCAGCTATATGCCTACCACTGGGACAGTGGAAACTGGCCCCAACTGATAGTTCTACTAGAATTACATGGTGTGGGGCTGGTGGTTCCTAAAAGAAAGTGTTATGGACCACACAAATGTAACAGAGGGCTACTATAACTGCTATCTTTGAAATAATCACACAAATTTATTTATTAACTCTGAGGAAATTAAACAAAAATGACAAATAAGGGATATGATATTAAAAGTATCTTACATTAGTAGTAGGTGCCATTGCTCTTCCAGACTTCTAAAATGAATCTCTAATGGAGTAGGCAGAATCTCTGTTTTGCTCATTATTGTCTTCTTAGTACCTGGAACATAATGGTGTCTAAACAGTTTCTTTATAATAGGGTATCAAGTGAGGTGAAATTGAAAACAGTAAGCCAGTGACTACTAAGTTATAGAGGCCAATAGCAAGAAAAAATGGAATAATTTTCCTTATTGCAGGAAGAGTCATGTCAGTGAGCCCTCTCAATTAAGAAGTTGTAAGGCAGCAGGCACCTATAGATGAGGAGGCTGGATGTATTCAGTGGTGTGCTGGTAAGTGTTCAACAAGGGATTCTCCAAGGACAAAAAACAACTCTGATTTGTAGCAATTGCCTATTCTTGTGGTGCAAATACTCCCACTGTGGTCAAAACCGCCTAGGTTGGATGAGGTGGCTCAGGCCCGCAATCCCAGCACTTTGGGAGGCTGAGAAGAGAGGATTTGTTGAGCCCAGGAATTGAGACCAGCATGGGCAACATAGTTTTAATTTTTTACAAGAAATAAAAAAAATTAGCTAAGCGTGGTGGTGTGTACCTGTAGTCCCAACTAGTCGAGAGGCTGAGGTAAGAGAATTGCTTGAGCCAAGACGTTCAAGGCTGCAGTGAGCTATGATTGTACTATTGCACTCCTGGGTGATAGAGTGAGACTCTGTCTCAAAAACAAAACAAAAGAATGTAATCTGAGTCACCGAAGGCAGAGTTGGGAAAAGCTGCACACCACCAATCACAATCGGTTCTCAGGAGCTTGTACACTCTGTGAGCTGGCTCTAGCCCAACATACGATGTAACCAAACCTTTTGTGGATTGATGAAGGCTGCTCCTCCCTGAGATTCTTTAGTAGGAACCCTCGGAAGAGAGTCACCAATTGCATGTGGAACTTGAGGTTTTCTGGGGACAAGAGATCAACATCTAAAATCCTTATCCAAATATTTGAAATTAGTTAAACATAATGAAGTGGCCCAAGGTGGCACTGAGCAAGACTCTCGGTCAGATAAGGACCCAGGGATCCCAAAGAGAAACTCACCATGAGATGCATAGTTGGTCTGGTGACCTGGGTACAACATTGGTATTAAGGTCACTGAGAATTTCTAATGTAGCCTATGGCTGAGCCTAGAAGTTACTCTGTACTCAGCCACCCAGGCAAAGATAATGTGGTTCAGAGGACAATGATTAAGAATTTGAGTGTAGCTAAAAATACATAGTACTGAATCCCATTAAGTGCGCCACTTGAATTCTGCCAGGTTTCCAGACAGCAAAGACCTCAATGCAACAGTGTATAAATATTCTTTCAGTTGTAAGGTCCAGTCTGAACAGTTATGTAAACCAGCTGTTTCCAACTAAGCCCTAAGTGCTCACGGAGTGTTATCAGTCAGGATAGGTTTAGCTTATGCTGTAGTAACAAGCAATACACAAGTTTTAGTGGCTTAATACAACATAAGGTTATTCCAAAATTATTCTGAATGCCATCATAGATATGGAAGGTCCAGGCTGAGAGATGTTCTTGACGCCTGCTTCTACCATTGCTGAGGCAGAAAATGATGTAACACATTTATGCAATGGATTTTAAATGACGCCTCAATTCTGCTCTCATTTCATTGGACAAAGTGAGTCCTGTACCTGCATCTAACCCTGTTGTGGGCAGGGTTGTGCAATCCTAGCCTGTGCCCAGAAGATGGAGCTGGCAAACAGCACCAACAACCACAGAGGTTGACTGAAAATTCAACTTATGTTTTTCCTCTTAGCCTTTGTAAGAAGAAATCAGCCTTATTTGATGTTTGAACTGAATAAGCCCCCAGGAATCTTGAACAACTCAATTGGAGGAAGGCCTAAAGGGGACACTAAAACCTCTGGTTTGTAGGTAGGGGAAACCTCTATCAATTACTTGGAAAATGTAAAGAGCAGTTTTGGTATGTCAAACAGGTAAAATAAATCAAAATCAGGTGCATTTGAATGAATGAATGAAAGAAACTTCATTCAATGGAATTATACCTCTCTGCTGTAAACATTTTTTGTGATTCTTTTTAGACATTTTCCACGGAGTTCCTGTCCCTTCATTCAATTGCATTATTACTGTAGGTGAGAACAATCATTTACCCTTCTCCTTCGATAAGAAGACCTCATAATCAGGTTTATCCCTCTCCCAGTGGGTTTTGTAGATAGAATTGAAAGATTTATTTTTTTAATAAATGGGAGCCAAATGTTGAATGAGGGCCATTTAAGCATGAGATGCAACAAAGTTAGGAAAGCTTAGGTTTTAATCCCAGAGCACAGAAGTTTACAGATGACAAAATTCTTTTGTTCTAGTTTGTTGAATTGTCCTCAAAAACTCTAAAAGCAGAGCATTCTTTCTGCAGCATGACAAACAAAACGGAGATATACAAGCAAAAGACGTCTCATTACCCCCAATCTCTCCAGGTAGTCAATATCAATAGATGTGGCTCTTTCCACACCTTTTTCTGCACTTGTAAGCACACATACACATCTCTAGAAAGGACATACATATATGATGCATCCCTCTTCATTTCTTTCTCCTTTCTTTCTTTTCTTCTTCTATAAATGAGATTAAAGTGTGCACTTTACTCAGAAACTCATTGTTTTAGTAATCTGTGAACATTTCTGTAGGTCAGGCATTTTCAACTTGCGGGTTTACCCCTTTGTGTATCATAAAATCAATTTACCCAACCAGTAATTTTTAAGTGAGGCAGCATAGAAAAGAATAGTAAATATCAGAGAACTTTGCATGTGGTAAGGATAAGTATTGTTTTCCGAAAATTTTATTTCATATGTGTATATAAATTTCCTCACCTACAAAATGAGGGTACTAATAGTGCCTACTTCATGGGCTATTGATAGGATTAAATGAATGATTACACGTACGATTCTTAGAATTTTATGCCAATTTTATGACTGGTACCTTTAAGCACAGTGTAGGTGTCATCTTTGTCATCATCATCATCATCGTCATCATCATCGCCATTGTCGCCACTAGACCTGACATTTTGTCTAATCCAAGGGTGGAGGAGAGTATATTATTTGTTTTCATTTGTATTTGTCTGTCCACTAGCAAGACGGAGCATCTCTTCATATGTTTGTTAGCCCTTTCCGTTTTCCCTTGAACAAATTTCCTGTTGATTATGCCATACCCATTTGTCTATTTTTATTTGATCTTGAAAAAATTAATTGTACAACAGGGATATTAACTCTTTGAGCTTATTGGCAAATATTCTTATTGCTAATATTGGCAAATATTATATTGGCAAATATTCTTACCAATCTATCACAGTCCCCTGAATGAATTTTATTTATAGTGCCTTTATCCATTTATCCATTTCTAATTTTTGAAATAGCATTTAGTTGCTTTTTTTCTTATGGCTTTGGGGATCTTTTCTTGCTTAATAAGGACTTCTCTACCCAATGGCTATATAAATATTCTCCTATATTTTTCTCCCCCAAATCTCGAATGCTTTATTTTTTACATTAGATCTTTAATTCATCTGAAGTTTATTTTTGTGTGTGGACTGAAGTAAGAGACTAATATTGCTTTATTCCAGATGAATGACCAATTATTCCAGTCTCACTTATAAAATAAACCATTCTCTCATGACTGAATTTAAATACCACCTTTATCATATATTAAGTTTCTACATATACTTGGATCTACTTCTGGACGCTTGTCCACTGATTTATTTGACCATTCTTATGCCAATACCATACTATTTTGATTGCACCATTTCATGTATAATCTCTCCCTCACTCTTTTTCTTCATTGTCTTAGCGATCCTTACACACTGATCTTTCAATACGACATTTAAAATCATACTAACCGTTTTCATTAAAGAACCTTTTATGATTTTTATTAAAAGTTAATTTATATTGAGAAGAACTGACATTTTTGCAATATTGTTTCCTCATCCATTTATTTAGATTTTATTTTATATTTTTCATTGATTTTTCCCATACAACATTTTTGTTGATTCCTCGGCAATTTAATATCTATCTAATGTGATTGATCATTAATGGAATTTTTAAAATTGCCTCTTTGTTCTAAATGACTTCAGGTAATACAAAGATGACTTCTGTGTATTTATTAATAAATTTTTCAAACGAAATTTACTCTTTAATTCCAATAGTTTTAAAAAATTATTACTATATTCTCTTGGCTGTTCTAGGCATATGGTTATGATACAATCTATAAATAAAGGTAATTTGCTGTCTTCATTCCCAAATTAATTCCACTCATTTCATTTCCTTTTACTATTACATTAGCTAGACTCTCTAAAACCATGTTGAATATAAATGATGCTTGAAGGTATCTCTGTTTTCTTTCTTTCTGGTTTTAATGAAATTGATTACTATTTCACATTTTAATAGGATGTTTGAATTTCGGGCTTTGGTAATAGTCTTCATCATACTTAGGGCATTCTATGTATTTCTGTTTATTTCAGCAATAGTTATGTTTGCTGAAATCTATCAAATGCCTTTTCACTGCCTGTTTATTTAATTTGCTGTTGTAATCAACGTAATGGATAAATGTTTTAATATTGATCCATCTAACATGCCTGGAACAAATGACTACTTTGGATGCAAAGAGGGAAAAAAATAGTAAAAGAACTAAAAGGAAAAGAAAAAGCAGTTTGTGCATGAATATACACGGAGAGAGAACAAATTGATACCACAATGCAAACGGCAAATGTGGGATTCTTACTGAAGTTTGGTTTATCAGGAGAAAAAAGAAAGAAGATATGAAACCTCCAAAAATGTGAAACAAACAAAACTAAACAAAATCTTGTTTCCAGGCCAGACGTGGTGGCTCACGCCTATAATCCTAGCAGTTTGGGAAGCCGAGGCTGGTGAATCACCTGAGGTCAGGAGTTCGAGACCAGCCTGGCCAACATGGTGAAACCCCATCCCTACTAAAAATACAAAAATTAGTCGGGCGTGGTGGCACATGCCTGTAATCTCAGCTACTAGAGAGACTGAAGCAGGAGAATCACTTGAACCTGGGAAGTGGAGGTTGCAGTGATCTTTGAGATTGCGCCACTGCACTCCAGCCTGGGCGACAGAGGCTCTGTCTGAAAAGAAAAAAAAAAAATCTTGTCTCCAAATAGAGACAAGATTTTTTTTTTTTTGACAAGGTAACAGGGAGGTTATGCCTTCTGATCCCTGAATAGATGAATAAACTATTTTCTAGCTGGTGGACACAGGTCTTGGCATGATATTTGTGAAGATTATTGGGTGGATGTTGATTGCGGTCTTTCCAGTATTTGAGAAAAGTGCAAATATTATTTCTGTAGCTACTACTAAATAAGTGAATTATTTTTCTCTTTCAGTGCTCTTATTTGATTGGCCACTAAGTAGAGTTACTTCCGGGTTCCAAATACCTTTTAAAGCTGACCTTGTCTCTTTTTCCATAGCCACTGTGTTAGGTCAGGCCTTATAATATCCTGCTGGGAGGGAGAGAATACCAAGCTTGAAGGGCGAAGATAAGAGGGACTGAGTCTGACGCTGGCCACCATAGAAGTTTGCATGACCAAGTGGAACTAAGGAAGGAGCCAAATGCAGACTGTCAACACTGACTTCATGTCAGAACCACAGGGACAGCCCAGGCCCCATCCCAGAGATTCTCACTTAATTGGTCTGTACTGGGGCCAGGCATATTTTAAAATATGGCTCAGCCCCAGACAACTTTAATGCACTCCCTATGCTGACAGCTATTTGAGCAGTGGTGCTTGAAGAGTGGTCCCTGGACCAGATACAACAGCATCACTTGAAAATTTGTTTGATTTGCAATTTCTGAGCTGGTCCACCCAGATCTGTTGACTCAAAACTGTAGGGCTGGGGCCTAGCAATCTGCCTTATAACAAGCCCCCAGGGTATTCTGATGTGGATGCCAGGTGAAAGCCATTACCAATAACTTAGAGAGTTGCTAAGTAGTTAGAGAACTACAGCCCCAATGGATCGCTGACGCCAAAGAAACTTGGTTCTGAGGACTGGGGATCACAGATAACACTTTTGATTGCTACAGGATAGTGAAGAAGAATATGGACCCACGGAAAGACACTGACTGCATTTAATAAGGGGATCAGAGGCATCTTGAAGCAGTTTCAATAAAGAGGTGAGGGTGGGAGTCATGATCCTCAGGATAAAGGAGAAAGAGATGGCGAGAAAAAGGTGGGAGTGGATATGACCTGCTCACTGCAGACACATGGCCATAAAAGGAGGCAGAAAACCAGAGATGAATGAAGTTGGAGGTGGCAATTCCATTCATACAGAGTGTTTTCGTTCATTTGTTTATTTTACCTTCAGAAACAGATTATACCTTGACGGTTGTGAGACACAAGGAGAAGTTCCTATACAGAAAGAAGGGTTGATTTTGGAAATAAAAAAAAAGTGATTCCTCATTTCTGGGTCAGGAGAAGATGTCTTTTCAGCTATAGGTTAATTTGGGTAAACCAGTAGTCCCATTTCCTCTCTGTTTTGCCTCCATTTTACGTAGCAAAAGAACACACGGCAGAGAAAAAATAAAATAGAACAGTTTCTTCCCTTGGCCTGAAGGAGTCTGGAGAAATGCCTCAGCTGGCTGTGTTCCTAGGTTTAACAGAGCCTTCTTAGGTTTCTCGTGTGGGCCATTCGAGGGGTACCACTGAGAGAGGGAGAGAGCGCACTCTTCATTCTCTAGGCGCCCCAGCTTCTTCTGGGCACAGCATCTGTTCGAATCTGGAGGTCTATCCCCTGCCTGGACACACAGCACCAGAGGCCTCACCAACACCCCCTCAGTGCCGTCTGCCTTGACTTGTGTTGACTTGCTTTCTGATCAGCAACTGCTCTGCCTTTATTTTCTTAGCCGTCTAAAATCAGTTTCTGGCTGGACCGTTTTTGTTCACGCATGAATTTCCAGAGATGATGCTTTTTTGCAGAGCTTTTTGCATTCTTGCCTCCCCTCCCTCAACCCCCTCCTCCTTATTCATGAGATTCACAGTCTTGGACCTTATGTTGTAGCTTGTTAATGCTTGATTCCAGTACATTTTCTTTGTTCCCACATTAACCTCTCAGCTACCTCTTTCTTCACCCCCTGGGGCACACCTGGGGGTCTTATTTTTAGGACTTCTACTGTAAATCTCTGACACAAGCTGCTTCTTGCTCTGGAAATCCCACAACAAAGAGGTCTCCTCAATTAACATAATTACTATAGTTCCCGCATGCATAATTTCCCTGCCCCCATACATCAGAATATCAATTCAGCATCCCGGCTCCACAGGACAATAAACTCAGGACCAAATGCGACCAGGACTGAGGTTTCTTTACCAGTGGCCTATCTTGGTCTCTCCTGTAGTGTCCATATCAGTCTTAGGGGAGCTGCAGTAAGGGGAAACCCTGGGGGTATAGATGGCAGGTTAGAAAGGAAGAGGAGTTTAGGGGAGAGACTGTGACATCATAGTTAGTCCACAATTCAGAGCAAGACCAGGACTGTTAGAAATTCTGGACCCTAGCTTAAAATGAATAGATCTGCATCCCATTGACTGGTTTTAGTATGAATCATTTTGTTTTCATTTTCTCGTGTGTACACACCCCTGGTGCCCCACTGAGAGATCCCACATCATCTTGAAGTGAGAGTCTTTTTGTCATAGCAATCACGTCCAGGCTCTTGCATTTCTGTATGAACATTAGCATTGCATGGTTCTTTCAAGGAGATGATCTCTCTTTAGAAACATCACATTCTAACAAGGAATGCTGATCTTTGCTCTGATTTACTAGCATGACGGAATCATATTGCCTTACATATCTGGCTGCTGAGCATCCTTTACCAAAATATAAAAGCATCCCTAAGATACGGGGAATGAAGCTTCAATGATAACTTGTACATGCTGGTTGATTATGCTGTTTATAATATTTTTGTTCTTTTTAAAAAATATTTTATTTGCAGCATATGTTAGATAATGTTAAAAAAGATCACATTATATAGGTTAGCCATCCTGATCCATGTAATATTGGTTCCTGCAATATATTTGGTGTAGAATTTCTAAAGTGCTATTCTGAAATATTTGTATTTCTTAACTGTATGTTTTTTCTCTTGCAAATAATAGAAAGCTTAAACTTGCAGAAACAAAAAATTTATTGCCTTATATGTTTTAGTCCAGAGATGGTTTTAGCTTCATGTGTAATAAGCCTTATACATAGTTTCATGTGTGCACGGTTTAGTTTCATGAATGGTTTTAGCTTCATGTAGAGGTAGTTTTAGCTTCATGCATGGTTCAATCTATGAGTTCAGATGAAATGGTCAGGACTTGATTTCTCTTCTCTCTTGCTTTTTGGCTTTGGCTTGATTGATTTTGTTCTTAGGCAAGCTGTCTTCTTCTAGTGACAAAACAGCTGCAGATGCACCAGCCTAGAAGCAGTATAGAAAGCAGGATGGTAGGCAAGAGCAAGAGCTCTGGGGTAGATGCAGTTGGATTCTATAGGGGTCAGTGGAAAACTCTCCTTCACCTTCTGAAAGATCACAGAAAATCAGCCTGCAAGGGGCAGGTTAATAGGAGCAAAGGCATATGCACTTATTAACATGCATAAGAAGGAAATCATAGAGTGATTATCCAATATTCCAAAGTGGTACAGATGCTTATTGTGAAAGAAAAATAAATCTTGGGACCAAAATCATTAATCCAAGGGAAAAATCAACCTGGAAACTATGCCAGGCAAATCTGTCTCCTATTTTATTCCTAAATCGGATAGCTACAGAGATAAGAAGCTACAGATAACCCTCACAATTTGCCTAAAGGGAAATTCCTTGTGGACAACGGACAGACAGAACTCAAAATCATCCCTCTGAGTCTCGCCTGAGATGAATGCATATCTGATTGCTTCCTCTGCTATATTGTTTATGTAAAAAGGCAGATTCACCAAGCCAGGCTAAATTGTGTATTTAGTGGAAGGCTGATCAAGAACTCAAAAGAATGCAACCTTTTGGCCAGGCGCTGCGGCTCACTCCTGTAATCCCAGCACTTTGGGAGGCCGAGGCAGGCAGATCACGAGGTCAGGAGATTGAGACCAGCCTGGCCAACATGGTAAAACCCCGTCTCTACTAAAATACAAAAACAAAACAAAACAAAAAAAATCAGCTGGGTGTGGTGACGGGCACCTGTAGTCCCAGCTACTTGGGATGCTGAGGCAGGGGAATCGCTTGAACCTGGGAGACGGAGATTGGAGTGAGCTGAGATCGCACCACTGCACTCCAGCCTGGTGACAGAGTGAGACTCTGTCTCAAAACAAAACAAAACAAACAAACAAAAAAAGAAGGCAGCCT
The DNA here is from genome assembly GCF_000001405.40 of Homo sapiens. Lineage (NCBI taxonomy): Eukaryota > Metazoa > Chordata > Mammalia > Primates > Hominidae > Homo > Homo sapiens. The sequence continues at coordinate 15,084,382 of NC_000017.11, read as the reverse complement.
TTTGTCTTTTATCTACTTCTAACCTGGAAGTCCCCACTTTGAGTTGTCCTGCCTTACTGGAGCAAACCAATGTACATTTTACACATATTGATTGATGTCTCATCTCCCTAAAATGTATAAAAGCAAAGCTGTACCCCAACCACCTTAGGCATGTGTCATCAGGACCTCCCGAGGCTGTGTCATGGGCTTGTCCTTAACCTTGGCAAAACAAACTTTCTAAATTGACTGGAACCTGTCTCAGGTATTTTGGGTTCACATTATATACATTACTTCCTAGGGAAAGAGTAATGGGGAAATACGGATGATTTTAAGGGGGTAGTAAGTGATTTTTAGGGGAATTAAATGAACTTGAAGAACATACAGTGGCCTGGAACAGAGTCTTTGGGCCTCCAGCCCAGACAATGGTTTGTAACAAAAGTCCATCCAGGTGTGTTGACAGACTTCAGTCTTTCTTCCTGCATATGAGGTCAGTTGAAAACTCAGGGAAGGGACGAGAGGTAATTGTTTTATTCTTTGCCAGGTCTGGGCTTTAGGCAGATAGGGGAACTTCAGAGAACTTCATTCAGTGCTTTGGGAGAGACGGAGGATTGAGAGACAGGAATGGGGGAGGTCAGAGAGACCTTCCTCACCTCAGCATGTCAAAGCACCATAATTTAAAGCATTGGTTTCTGAGCCCTGACAATTCTAGTCTTCTCAACCCTACGATTTTACACAAGTTACCTTTCATCCGCAAGCCTCAGTGTCCTCCCCTGGGAAATGGGTTCCTAATAAAATCTCCCTCTTCTTGTGTCTGTGGGAATTAAATTAGATCATCTATGTAAAGCACTCGAAGGCTTCTGGCACCTCCAACTTTCTGTTAGCTATTGTGGGTGTTGTCAGTTACCTCCCTGCTTCAACTGGAAAGAATGTCTGCCTCTCTCCCATGTTCTTCCCAGGGGAGGACATTCCATCCTGCAGAGTTCCCATGGCCACAGTGATTTGTTTGTGCGTGGACAGGGGACCCAGCTGGTGTCACTGAAGTAAACCTCGTGACTTTTGCTTGGTGCGCAGCAACAAAAGCCCTTTCACCTTCTCTGAGCAGCGTAGTGGACTTATTTGAGGCTTGGATTGGCTGCAGCTCTTTTACTACAGTGAGAACCCAGCCTGGGGTTAAAGTTGTCACAAAAGAGATGGGCAAATAAGTGGAGAAAATATCCTCAAAAAGGAGCCAGAGCTCCAGGAGCATCATGAACTTCAAGATCTAATTCTGCTTGAAGGTCCTCTACCTGAATTCAGTTCTGTGTGCCAGTTTGTCGGGTTCTGTATTACTTGCAATCAAAGGGTTCTTACTAACACTGGAAACCCACATTAAGATTGCCTTCATTTTACCAACTAAGAATGTAAAAAAGAAAATCAAACATGCCAGATCAAATCTGCCACTCTTATATAATAAACAGGCATTATGTTATTAATAAAAGTAGAAATGACATAATTTTGGAACATGAAACAGTTTTTTAAAATGGGTATATTTGGCTTTTTGCAACATTTATTTCTAATACGTTGCAGACCAGAAAAAAAGACCATATAAAATGTACTGGCTCATGGACCAGCTTTTAGGGACCAATCAGATAATACACATAAAATGAGTGTTACAGGCCTTGGCACACACAGTAGGTGCTTCACAGACATCTGCTACATATGCTTCAAAGAGGCATGAAGAGTTTGGGCTATGGTCTTTGTGTGGGAGACAAGAAAAGGTAAGTCTCTCTTATTTTTGTATTCCCCACAAAGCCTAGCACAAAAAGACAATATTTGTTGGATGAATGATTGAGGATGATAAAAAGTCTACAGAAATATGAAAAGAATATAGTCTATTGGATATGAAATACAAAAAGACAGCAACTATAAAGGAGGGAGCAATGGTATATTCTCAGGGTGGTGGCAGTGGGGTGATGGGTGTTCTCTGGAATCCTAGGGCAGAGCCCCTCAGACTCGCCCAGCACATAAAGTCCCGCCCTTCATGCATATTAAAGAAGTGGGCAGAGTGAGGACAGACAGTAAAGTGGAAAGGCTTCTGTGTGTTATGAGGGGGCTATGGTATCTGGGTGATGACAAGCAGAAGTAGCAAAGGTGAAGTTGGGGCTTAGGTCAGTGAGATCCTTCTTCCCCTGCAAAATGAGGGAAGCTGTGGCATAAGAATTCAGCCATGGAGTAGGGAAAAAAAATTGTTTAAAGGGTTTCTGTACCACTAAGCTAGAATGCAAAGTAGTAGGGTACAGGTTACCACCCAAGAGTGAATTTGGAATGCTGAGGAAGCTCTTTTAAGAAATCCCAAATTGGTAGTTAAGTTCGATTTTTTTTTTCTTTTTTTGAGACGGAGTTTCACTCTGTCATCCAGGCTGGAGTGCAGTGGCATGATCTCAGCTCACTGCAAGCTCCGCCTCCCAGGTTCACGCCATTCTCCTGCCTCAGCCTCCCGAATAGCTGGGACTACAGGCGACTGCCACCACGCCTGGCTAATTTTTTTGTATTTTTAGTAGAGACGGGGTTTCACCGTGTTAGCCAGGATGGTCTCGATCTCCTGACCTCGTGATCCGCTCGCCTTGGCGTCTCAAAGTGCTGGGATTACAGGTGTGAGCCACTGCGCCCTGCCGTTAAGTTCAATTTTTATGTTTATTTTCACCATGGAGATTATATTATTGAAGTCTAATAATGAGTGCTCAGGGAGTGGTGAGTTTATAAAATATGTCGGTTTCATCCCAGAAAAAGATCTTAACCCCAGATTTCAAGGTCAGTCAATGAATAAGAATTTCTTGATCCTAATCATGTGTATAATACAGTGTGAGGCGATGCAAAGAATACAAATGAGAATATCAGACAGTCTCTGCCCTCAAATAGCTTAGAGTTTCATTATGAAAATTGTACCATACTTGTAAAATAAAAATCCAATTCAATGTCCCACCATGTGTAATAAAGATTGCAAATGTTTTCTATTAAGCTTAAATTTCTGAGCCCCTGCCTCTCTTAGCTGATGATCTTGACTCTTTCTTTATGAAGAAAAAGGACGGATGGGAATTCTGTCAACATTTACATTTGCACCTGTTTCCTTTTATCTCCTATTACAATGGAGGAATGTTCCTACTCTCTCTTGTCCTCTGAATCCCTTCCACTCTATCCTTTGCAAGGGCTCTATGCCCTGTATTGCAGATCCCTTGCTCTCCACCAGATGATGCCCCTAAAATGCAAACATCAACAGCAGAGCTGTGCTGGAGCCAGGTGGTACTGGCTTGCAGGAGCCGATTCTGAGCATCTCTTCCCAAGTCCACATCCAGTGATTTCACATGTATAGCTTGAAATTACATACCCCGTGAGAGTATTTACACTGCAGAGACTGGCTAATGCTACACAACAGAGCTTTCCCTCTGAGCGCCCATTGTTAAGCATTTACCAACGCACCACTGATGAAGACAAACAGTAGGTATATCTCATTAAAAAAGAGAGAGACTTTCCTTGAGCCTAACCCCTCCTTTTTACCTTTAGTAGCCAAATGTCACCCAAAAGGTTTTCTCATACATGCTGCCTCTGCTCAGTCACTCCCTGCCATATTTGTTCTTTTTTTAAAATTTTATTTATTTATTTATTTATTTTTGAGACAGAGTCTTGCTCTGTCACCCAGGCTGGAGTGCAGTGGCACGATTTCAGCTTACTGCAACCCCCACCTCCCGGGTTCAAGCGATTCTCCGGCCTCAGCCTCCCGAGTAGCTGGGACTACAGGCACGTGCCCCCATGCCCCATATTTGTTCTTCTACCCTCTAAATCACAGCTCTGCCTCTCACATGTGATTGAAACGGCCTTGTCAAGGGCCCCAGGGACCTCCATGTTTCCTGATCCAGTGGGCGCCTCTTTGTCTTTATCAAACATGTATTATTATTACAGGCATTTGGCATTGACGGCCACGTAGTTCTTGAAATATTTTGCTTCTTGCCTGCTGTGATTGAAAGATCGTTGATTTTTCTCTTTTATGAGCTGACTCCTGTTTCTTGGTCCCTTACGCTTGTTTTTCTCTCTTCACCAAATTTCTAAATGTTGGGGTTCCCTGGGGCTTAGAATGAACTTTTTTTGTCTCTGAAATCTGTCCTGGATGAGCTTTTCAGTTTCTCCTTATTTAAATACCATCTTGATATTGTTAGTTCCCAAATGTCTACCTAAAGACCAAGACCTTTCCTCTGAGTCTAAATGTACTTATCTTTCTTGACCTATCCATTAGAACATCACAGAAAAAACTGGAAGGTAACATGATAAAAGTGAAATTATTCATTTTATCTCTCCTCTAAAACCCCTCCCATTCTCAACACAACACAAAACCTCCCAACACACAGCCACAAGGCTTCCCGAATCAGAATATGTTACCTCTCAGTTTTTCAACTTGAAAATATAGTATAGGAGTGATTATTGATTTTTCCTTTCCCTGTCACCTGAGGTACTGTGATGGTTGATGTAATATCTCAACTTGACTTGGATTAGGGATGCCCAGATAGCCAGTAAAACGTTAATTTTGGATGTGTCTATGAGAGAGTTTCCGGAAGAGGTCAGCATTTGCATCAGTAGATGGAACAACTATCCACCCTCACCAATGTGGTGGCATCATCCAATCTGTTGAGGGCCTGAACAGAACAGAGAGGTGGAGGAAAGGCAAATTTGCTATCTATTCTTTAGCTGGGCTATCCATCTTCTCCTGTCCTTGGACAGTGGAGCTCCTGGTTCTCAGGCCTTTGGACTTGGACTGAATTATAGCTTTACAGATGGCATAGCATTGGGCTTCTTGCTCTCTATAATCTGATATGCCAATTCCTGTAATAAATTTTGTCTTATTTATCTCTGTCTATATCCTATTGGTACAGTTTCTCTGGAGAACCCTCACTAATATATATATTCCTGCTAATCTATCATCAAATCTCCTCCATTCTTTCTCCAATCCCCCTCGTGTTTCCTCCAAGTCTGCTACTACATGGGTCTAGGTCACTATTGTTTTGCCCAGATTTCCAGAATTCCCGCCTTCCCTCCTAGTCACACTTCATTCTTTTAGTTCTTGCCTTTTAGCATGCGTCTTCCTATCTGAGTCCTTGCACATCCTGTTTCCTCTACCTGAAATCTTCATTTCTCTGCTCTTCACCTAGTTAAGCTTGTTCACCTTCCAGACCACTCCACTGCACTGCAACTTGGAGAAGTCTTTCCTCATACCCCTGAGCAAGGCAGGCCCTTCTTTTAGGCTCTCTTATAGCACCAACTCTTTACTTGCAAACTTTTGTCACAGTTACATTTTATATTTTAATTAATTAATGTCTGCCTTCTCTATCAAGGAGATCAAGAGGAAAGGAGGAGTTCTTTGTTTTAGCCCCTGGTGCCTTGTAGAGTACACAGGACAGAGTTGATAAATAGTTATTTAATGAATGCATAGAAATATAAATAACACAAGTGTTAAGTTCGCAGGAAGAAGAAAGCTTCTGTGCCAATTGTAGTCAGAGGAGCTGGAACACCCGCAAATTTCAAGACCTCTCTTCTAAGGGCTTCCAAGAACAGATGTGGGATCTAGGAAGCCAGTGACTACAGTGAATAATCTGCTCTGCAAATCCCACTCTCCAGGAACAGAGGGATGACCGTAGAGAGGAGTGTTTTCCATGTGAGCTTTGCATCCAGGGATACCATCTGCTTCTACCGGTGCATTTACAGACTGTGACTACTTAGACAAACAGCAACTAAAACGTTAGCTTTTCAGCATTTTTAACATATGGCTATAAAGCACATCTGCTTTTTTTTTTTTCTTTTTAATTTGAGACAGGATCTCCCTGCATTGCCCGGGTTGGACTTGAACTCCTGGGCTTAAAGGATTCTCCAGCCTAAGTCTCCTAAGTACCTAAGTAGGACTATAGGTGCATAGCACCGTGCCCGGTTCACATCTGCTTTCAATGTTGATCTTATTTGAGACCCAGTTTTCATAGTCTTGGTTTATCTGTTTAAACTTTATTCAGGTGTAAATGGATCTTATTACACTACAGCTTCTTCTACTTTAAATGCCACTTACATTGTATATCATTGTAAGTCATATTCCCCTCTATACTGCTTCTTTCAGAATATCCCTATTTACATCACAGCCAGTTAAGAGAATTTAATCCCCAAACTTCTCTCGGATACCTTCTCAGCACCACTTTTTCTAAATTTCTCTCTTTAAATTCCTCAGAGTAGTGTCATATGAAGCATACTTCAACCTCTTTACCTCCTGATCAACTTAATGTTTTTGCTCAAAACCATATCCAATTTAAACTGATTGAGATTCCCATGATACTTCAAGTTTTTCTACTTCCTTGTCTCTTTTGAATTGCATTTTTTTTCTTTTAAAATTCAGTATACTTATCAGGAGCCACTGATAAAAAGACAAAATAATAATAATAACATTTTTTATCCTCTGCAGGTGTAAAGGTACTACGGGACTTGCTAGGGATCTGTATTAGGATTAAGGAAAATCAAATGAGGGTCAACTAGAAAGGAAAGTTTTCCATGCGACCAGGGAGCATCGACAAGTAGGCCACAAGTACAAAGCCATTCACTGCAGGGGTCTAGGAATAACAGTGCCCTGGTAAAGTCAGTTGCCAATTACTCTATTTCATTTACCTGAAACTATTGAATACATGGCTAAACTGTATTTCTTTGGCTCCTCAATCCATCACTTTTTAAATTGAATTATGTTTTTCCATGCAGTTAAATGACATTTCTTTTGGCACCAGGTTAGCCATTCATTGATTACATTAGCACAAATGGGTTGTTACGACGGCCCTGTGTTGACTTACCAGTGTTTTGACCCTTGTGTTGGCATTGTCTGGTCACACTTGGTACTGGGTTTACACAGCCTCATACAATCTGGTCTGGTGCATCTGTGTCCCTTCCATTGGAATACTGGGCTGTCCCTGTCTGCACAGCCACAATGGGTAAGATGAGAACCAAACAATGTGTTTCAGGCCTTCCTGACTCTGGCTGTGATTACTGGGCTCCGGGGATTTTCTTTGTTTTTGTCTTCCTTCTCTTCCCAAAGAGGTACTTGGGGAGTCATCTTCTGGTTCTGAATTAGGAAATAGTGACCTTTACTGGTAATGGCTAAGAAACTCATTGTAGACATGCCGTACGCATTCATGAAGTGCTTCGCTAAAATAGGCCCATACTTCTGATATGAGTGCTTGTCACTGACAGTTCTTACACATAACAGACCTGCAATTACATCTGATTTTTCAAGTTGAGAGGTCCATGGATAACCTGCATTGAGTTATCCTAACAAATGGTAGCTGATTCCTTTTGTTCTGTACACTGAAAAAAAAAGTGTGTCTTTTTTTTTTTTTTTTTGGGTGAGGAAAAGTCCTTTTAGTTTTTCATCAGCTCTGTTAATGAAGGCTGTAAACCTCAGAACATGAATTGGACCTTCTGGAGAATCTAATCTTCAAACAATTATTCTGTACCAGTGTTACGCTTTATTATATTGACAGCTATTTGTGTTTGTTTGTTTCAGCTATTAAGTCCAATGATACTGATAACAGATTAGAAATACAATCTTCAATGTGATAGCCCTTGGCCACCTCTCGCTACTGAGCCATGGAGATGTGACTGGTCTGAACTGTGATATGCTGGGAATGTAAAATATACACTGGATTTGAACTTAGTAGAAGGAAAGCTAAATTTCATAATAATATAATAATTATTTTTTTGAGATGAAGTCTCACTCTATTGCCCAGGCCGGAGTCCAATGGTGTGATTTTGGCTCACTGCAACCTCTGCCTCCCAGGTTCAAGAGATTCTTCTGCCTCGGCCTCACAAGTAGCTGGGATTACAGGCACCTGCCACCATGCCTGGCTGATTTTTTTTGTATTTTTAGTACAGATAGGGTTTCACCATGTTGGCCAGGCTGGTCTTGAACTCCTGACCTTAGGTGATCTGCCCACCTTGGCCTCCCAGAGTGCTGGGATTACAAGTGTGAGCCACTGTGCCCAGCCCATAATAATTATTTTTATATTGTTGACATGTTGAAATGACAATATCTTGGATATATTGTGTTAAATAAAATATACTTTTAAAATTAATTTCACCTGTTTGTCTTTACTATTTTTAACATAGCTACTAGAAAATTAAAAATGACATCAGTAGCATACATTGGTGGCTCACATTTTGCTTCTGTTGGACAGAACTGCCTTAAACATTTTCCAGAATGTGTCCTTATTAACCATTCTTAGGACATCGTTGGTCCTAATTTGGAAACAGTCCTGCAAAATCAGAAACTGTAACTTATCTCTCAAATTTGAAACAAGTTACAGGATTCATTAAGGTCACATTCCAGTGTTTCTACATGATGCTTGTCAGATTTATTCCTCTAACAGCACATGTATGCTGGTGTTTAAATGCTGAAATTTATGGGGAGGGTTGTCTGGTGCTTCTGCCTTTCAGTCTTCCCACGGTACAGGTCTGGTCCACACCTACTACACCTCCAGACCCATATAAAGAATGAGAAAGGACTCGTGCTTCTGTAAAGGCGGGTTCCTTGCCTGTTTCTCAGCCAATAGTCAGACAGCTGTAGAATTACAGTGTTGCGCCTCTAGTTCTAGTTTCCCAGCATCCTGCTTTCCTCAAAAAGCCTCCAGTCAAACCTCTGTGCTGTGTTCTCTTCAATAAGTAACCAGCTGGGTACTGTGTCCTGGCCATTGCAGGAGACACATTTTGTAAGCACTTCTGTCTTGGCTGTTTGGCCAAGACTGAAAGTCATACTCTAATTCTTTATTATTATTATTTATTATTATTATTATTATTATTATTTTGAGATGGAGTTTCGCTTTTGTTGCCCAGGCTGGAGTGCAATGGCTCTGTCGCAGCTCACTGCAACCTCCACCTCCCGGGTTCAAGTGATTCTCCTGTCTCAGCCTCCCAAGTAACTGGGATTACAGGTGCCCACCATCACACCTGGCTAATTTTTGTATTTTCTTTTAGTAGACATGGGATTTCACCATGTTGCCTAGGCTGGTCTCGAGCTCCTGACCTCAGGCGATCCACCTGCTTTGGCCTCCCAAAGTTCTGGGATTATAGGCATGAACTACTGCTCCCAGACTTCTTTATTTTTATTTTTATTTTTTTTATTTTTTTGAGACGGAGTCTCACCCTGTCGCCCAGGCTGGAGTGTGGTGGCGCCATCTCAGCTCATTGCAAGCTCCGCCTCCTGAGTTCACGCCATTCTCCTGCCTCAGCCTCCCGAGTAGCTGGGACTACAGGTGCCTGCCACCACGCCAGGCTAATTTTTTGTATTTTTAGTAGAGACAGGGTTTCACCGTGTTAGCCAGGATGGTCTCGATTTCCTGACCTCGTGATCTGCCCACCTTGGCCTCCGAAAGTGCTGGGATTACAGGCGTGAGCCACCATGCCTGGCCTGGACTTCTTTATTATTCTTTTTATTATTTTTGAAATACGGTTTTGCTCTGTCACTCTGGTTGGGGTGCAGAGGCAGTATCATGGCTCATTGTAGCCTGGACCTCCTAGTCTCATGTCTTCCTCCCACCTCAACCTCCCTGGTAGCTGGAATTATAGGTACGCACCACCACACCTAGCTAATTAATTTTTTTTTTTTTTTTTTTTGTAGAGACAGGATCTCACTATGTTGCTCAGGTTGGTCTCGAACTCCTGGGCTAAAGTGATCCTCCCGCCCTGGCCTCTGAAAGTGCCGGGCTTATAGGTGTAAGTCACTGAGCCTGGCCTCTCTAATCCTTTAATCCATAAAGTGGTCCATATACTTTTGCAAAATACAGGTCGGCGAAAGTTGGTCAATCAATAACCTCTGCAGCTCAGAAGTACTTGAGTGGAACAGAAGATGAGCTGAATATAGGGACTTGAATCCTGCAAGTTTGGGAGCTCCAAAGACCTTCAGTCATTCTTTGCAAGATGCGATGAGGGGGCTATCATGGTAGAGGTGGATGAGGTTGGCCAGAGGTGGGCCGGAAGAAATACTGTGTAAGGTATTTCATTGTCTCTAGTTTTTATTTTGATAATACAAAACAAATCTTAACTAAGCAACTTTTCATAGAATAAATAGAACGGTGACTTAGGTGTCACCATTAACAGTACAGATTTTGGAAAGAGCAAGGCTTCATTTGCTACTATGTTTTGGACAGTGTGAACATTAACATATTTCTTCCTTCTGAACCTCAGGATATTATGAGAAATGGGCAATCTGCAATGCTGGGGAGAGATAGTCAGCTATCAACCCATTAGTGTGGTTATGGGAAAGCTGACGTTCTGAGTCGTGAGGGGGTCAGAAACTTTACCAAATGAATGAAGTAGATCAATTGCCATCAAAAGCCATTTTATGCTTCCCTGAGATTCTCTGAAGATGAGGCTGCAGAAGAACTTCACTTGGGCTGGGGTGGCGTCTTGGTTCTCTTCGTGTTCTAAGGGAAGCCAGCCCACCGGCAAAGTGACCATTCTCCCTCCTTTTCCGTGGGCCTCTCTTTGTATCAGAGAACCACTCTTTAGAGAGGCAGACTTTTGTAACTTCTTTTTCTAAGCCTTGCTTCCCACAGACATGTTTGATCTGAAGAGGGAGCAAATTTGATATGAAAGCCTTTCAGAGAAAATAAATAGGTGAAATCAATGGTATCATTTTCACAGAGTCTCTTTTCCAAACATAACACTGTAAGAGGAACGGCAGTTAAAAAGCCCTTCCTCTCCAGGACCTCCCAGATGCTGGGTTTCATTCTCTGCTTTGAGCTCAGGAAGCTCAGCCAGGATTGGACAAAGGAGATTCTAGGACAGGACAGAGATGTGGGGAGGCTTGGTTGCCATCTGTTCTCATGTTCTCTTTGTGTGCAGGTCTTCTGAGGAAAATGGAGATCAAGAAGCTTTCCTGAGGTCTCACACCTCAGAATTTCAGAAGTCTTTTCTCTTGGCCAAGGTTTATTAAGATGAGAAATCAGGTTGTACACTAATAGGACGATCACTGTGCAATTGATGAGATAGTGAACAGTTTCACGCTCAGCTAGCCCAGTTTTCTTCTTTGTACCGGAATCTTTGTGTTTAGGGAGACTTTAAACTAAAATATGCACCTCCTCAAAATGACAGTAAGTTCTCTGAGTCACTCTGAAGGAAACCTTGACTTTGGGGGTCTTATAAGTCCCTTTTTCTGGGCAGATCATATTCCTCCCCTCTTCCCTTCCTTCTCTTGATGCTTACTGCAGTCTATGTTTGTGTCATCTCTGAAGTCACTACCCTTACATGGAATGCATTCTTCCTTTCATGCTACCTATCTGTAGGGGATACAAAGTAATATCTTCTTCTTACCCATCACCAGGAGTCTCACGGCTGAGACCCCTGTCACAAAATATAGATTAATAAGAGAAAGGCATAACACATTTATTTAACATAAGCTGTACATGACACGGGAAACTTCAGAAATGAAGACCCAACACATGGACATAAAGATGGGAACAACAGACATGGCGGAACACAAGACAGGGGAGAGAGGGAGACAAGAGTTGAAAAACTGCCTATTTGGTACCATACTCACGACCCGGGGGACAGGTTCAATTGTACTTCAAACCCCAGCATCATACAACATAGTTATGTAACCAAACTACACATATACCCCAAGAGTTTCACATGAAAGTTGAAAAATGAAAAAAAAAAAAAAAAGAAAAATAGAAAAAGAAACGAAGACCTAGAGATCCAGGGAAAATCATGTATTTTTATGGGCAGCCCTGCAGAAGTATAACTGGGGGACAAAAGGTATGATTGAATGGTAATAAACTGAGGGCAACTTAGCAAGGCCTGTTTATTCAGATTCTTCTTGCCCTCTCTGTGTGACCTTCCCTCCTTCTGGATATGGAGCAGGATACCTGCCACATCAGGGTCTTCAGGGAAGGAGAGAGGGAGAAGATCAGAGAGAGAGACCTTCCTAGGTTTTTGGCCTGCTTCAGGGAAGAAGGGGCATGGGAAATGCCGGTTTATATGGCCTGCTTCAGAAAAGAGGAGGTGGGAGAAGGTAAGAGAGATCTTTCTGCTTCTGCAATTTCCTTCAGCTTAAAATATTCAGTATGCCAAGGTATATTTTAAGGTAGCATTTTCTGTACCCCATCTTATCCCAGTACAGAGTCCCCTTCATGAGTCGACTCTCAATTCCTTCCTTTCAGAAAGCCATCTCTCTCTTCACTCCCTTTGCTCAATTATCCTTGCATTGCATGTGTCCAATTCAGGTTTATGGGGCACTGTCCTGTGCTGTGCACCGTTCTCCATGTTGGTGATGCATACTGATAGACCCAGGTCCCTGCCCTCATGGAGTTTACCTTCTAGTGGAGAGCATGAACTTGGGGGCATTTGCTTTCATGATGCTCTGTGATTCCTCACCTTTCCCGGTCTGTGTTTTTGTTTACTAGACAGGGTCCTCTGTGATGGCCAAGACTGTCTGCGTGCATGTGGTGTCTGTCATTTAACACATCGTAAAGGCCGGGCACAGTGGCTCATGTCTGTAATCCCAGCACTTTGAGAGACTGAGGCGGGCAGATCACCTGAGGTCAGGAGTTTGAAACCAGTCTGGCCAACATGGCAAAGTCCCATCTCTACCAAAAATACAAAAATTAGCCCGGCGTGCTGGCATGCACCTGTAATCCCAGCTACTCGGGAGGCTGAGGCAGCAGAATTGCTTGAATCTGGGAGGCGGAGGTTGCAGTGAGCTGAGATCGCACCACTGCACTCCAGCCTGGGAGACAGAGCAAGACTCCGTCTCAAAAAACAAAACACAAACAAACAAAAAAATGCAGTAAATACTCAGCCCTGATGGTCTCTGACCTCACAGCATGTCTTCTTCACCCTGCAGGGTATCCTTGTCCCCCTCCGTACCTGTATTTGGGCTTGTAGCTGGTGTGTCCCTTATTTTAGATGCTCCTCAGCAGTCTCTCTCCCACTCTGCATTTTCCCACTTCCTGCCTAGGTGTCACCACTTCAGTCATCCAGGTTTGATATTTCAATGTTCTCTTTGATCCCTGGCTTCTTTCCTACATTTTCAGGTAGGAAACTTAATACATCTTAAACTACTAGCAAATAAGATCACTCCTAAGTCATATGTTTTGGATGGTTCCCTTCCCAATCCAGCCCACCCCTCTCTAATTAAGACCCTTGTCCACTTCCAGTCTAGATTGTCTTGTGCCAGAACTCCATGTCTTCAGACTTGTCCCTCTCAAACAGAAAACTCGACTTGACGCACATCACCATCTCCGATCAAAAAGCCTTTGAGTGGTTTCCATTTGTGCACAGAATAAAATGGAAGCATGTCACTCTGTCATTCAAAGCCCTCTACAGCCTGGCCCGCACCACATCTCCAATCCCAGCTCTCACACCTTTTCACTCTGATGCTTTGATTTCTACTACACCACTCTTCCCTAAGATGTATCTCCCTGGTCTTGCTGAGCCTCATCTTCATCACCAGCCTTCTTCTTGTCTCCATCCCAGCCTGTCTCCAGGCCCCTGTACACGCTCCCCTCCTCCATGAAGCCAACACTGATGGTTGTTCCTTGTCTGATCCTGCGACTCTTGGCCACCTTATGTTATTCATCCTTTTGTGTTCATTTCCTGTGTCCCTATTACACAAGTGACCTTTGAGAAGGTAGAGGACTTATCTCTTTGCCTTGAGAACACAGCATAGCCCTTATGGATCCAAGCGTGCATAACAAATATTTGTGAATGCTCATGCAGTTGTCCCCTTGTGTTCAAAAGAGGGCATTAGCTATAGCTGCCTCTTCCCTGACCCCATTTCCTAAGGAACAAGGGATGCCATGATGCTCTGTGTTATCTAGAGTATGGGAGATTCTCACTTGAGAGATACTCCTAGGTTGAGCCACCGCCCTCTGTGGGTCCCAGGAACCTGCCTGACGTTTTATCACCTGAAGATTAGGACTCACCCTAGGAGACAGGGAGCAGTGGGTGATTTTTCTTTTGTCTTATAGCCAATGAATTCAACACTCCAAGTATTTTAGTGACCTGCATACATTCACACAAGGTGTTAGTGACAGAAAGCCTTATCAAGCCTGCAAGCCTGTAGCATGATGGAGCAAAGTCTATGACTCTTTCTGGCTTATTTAGAAGAGCTGACTTTGCCTTTTGCATTTTACCGTCAACTTCAGTGAGAGAATGGGACATTTGCTTTATCTTCAAGTTGCACTTATCCTCAACATGGATGGTTGCAGCTTCTAGCTGGTTCCACTGCCCTCAAATGGGTTAGAGGTTTCCCTCATGTGAGAGGAAAACCTTCCCATCCTGCTTGTCTTGCACCATCCAGGGTTCATTTGTGGAGCTGCCGTAGGGTCTGAATTCACTTCTGCCTCCACTTGGGAGAGGCGCCATGAAGCAGAAACTTTCAATTTTATGCTTGCTCCAGCCTTTGGGTATAGTGGGGAATAGGGTCAGGTCAAGCCAGAGCCTTTCCCCTGTGGCCAGTCCCTATAGTCCTCCAATCTCTTCAAATGGAACTGGCATTTGGCTTCCCTGCTAAGATCTGTAGTCAGTCAGTGAATGGATGAATAGGAAAATGATCCTGACACTTAATGGCTCCAAGGACTTTCATGCAGAAGGAGGGTTGTCGTCAGTTTGAACCCCTGATGTTCAGGAAGTCTTCACAAAAGTAGGTGAAAGAACTCACCTTCCAACTGAGGCTTGCATCATCATGGGCCTCTTCATGCCACTAAACAGGTTAGAAAATACCATAGTCATTCTCATTTAGTTTGGGCAACATTTATGGAGCATGTAGTGTGATCAAGAACAGCAGTGGTTACGGGGCATGCCCGGATGGCCAAACCAATCCCCTGCCCTGGAGGAGTCCACATCTGCATCACCCACTGAATTTGGCCTCTCCTTGGGTTCCAGAATATGAATGGAGGCCCTGCTGTCTCCAGCTTTGTGGTCTGTACCACCCCCACACTGAGATCCCTCCCAAGGAATGGGGTTGCCAATACAAATGCTTCAGGTCCAAGGTCACACCTGGGGCTGGGTGTCTTTCTCTTTTTCTTCAAAGGCATCTTTTAAAGGATATATGTGTTATCTGAATAAAATTCAAACTGTTCATATGTCCCAGAAGGTTGTGTTAGAGCTGCTCCCAACCCACCGACCCACCTCCCCACCTTGTGTCAATCTCTCTCCCCTTTCCTTCTACTCTCTGGGACATTGGCCTCCTGCAGCTCCTCACACACTCCACCAATTTTCACTTCTAGGCACCGCATTTGCTCTTCCTTCTCTGTTGATTATTCCTCTCCCTGGAATGATGATGTCTCCTTATTGAACAAAATGAGCTTAAATGTTATCTCCTGTGAGATAGCAGAGATGTTTTTGATCAATTCTTTCCAAAGCAGGTCCCTGTGGAACATTTATTTTTCTCATGGTGCTATTTCCAATGTGTATTTATCAAATGTGCTTGTTTATGTGTCTACTCCTTTTATTTCCCACTAGAAGGTAGGTCACTGAGAGCAGAGGCCTTTGTCTTTCTTGTGGATGTTCACACCTGCTCACAGCAAGGGCTCAGTAAACAGCATCTGAATGAATAAATTGTGACAATGGTACAAAAATTGTATGAAAAGTCAAATTTCTTCTCTTCTCACATCACTCTCAGTTCCACTCCTCAAAGTTAACTGTTGTTAATAGTTTGATTTATATCTTACCTGCTATGGTCTGAATGTGCCACCCTTAAAATTCATATGTTGAAACTTAATATCCAATGCAAAGATATTAAGAGGTGGGTCCTTTAAGAAGTAGGCCGGGCTCATGCCTGTAATTCCAGCACTTTGGGAGGCCGAGGCAGGCGGATCACAAGGTCAAGAGATCAAGACCATCCTGGCCAACATGGTGAAACCCTGCCTCTACTAAAAATACAAAAATTACCTGGGTGTGGTGGTGTGCCCCTGTAGTCCCAGCTACGCAGGAGGCTGAGGCAGGAGAATTGCTTGATCCTGGGAGGTGGAGGTTGCAGTGAGCCGAGATCGCGCCACTGCACTCCACCCTGGCGACACAGTGAGACTCCATTCCCCCCAAACCCTGCCCCCCTCCCCCCAAAAAGGAGGTGATTAGGTCGGAGGGCTTCTTCGCTGACTAGGATTAGAGCCCTGGTAAAAGAGGCTTCACGCAGCCTTGGGTCAGCTTGCCGTTCACCTTCTGCTATGTGAGGTCATTGCATTTCTCCCCTCTGGGGGATGCAGCAACAAGATGCCATCTTGGATACAGAGAGCAGCCCTCACCAGACCCTGAACCAACTGGTGCCTTGATATTGGACTTCCCAGCCTTCAGAACTGAGAAATAAAATTCTGTTCTTTATAATTACCCAGTCTTAGGTATTCTGTTGTAGCAGCACAAAGCAGATTAGGATACTGCCCCCGCAAATGTTTTCACTCTGCATTTGCAAAACCTCCTCCACACTACACATGCACACCTTTTTTCTCCCCACTGGGGAGAGCATGACTTTTGCACTGGGTGAGACCTCTTAGTGTAAAACCCTGAAATGCAAGTAACAGAAACCAGAAATCCACTATGATCAGGTCTGAGAGATTACTTTCTGAGCTCTGGACAGGCATATCTCAAACTGTAAATGTAGCCATTCATATTGAGGGTAAGAAAAGCAAGACTCTATCTGAAAAGAAACTTGGAATCCAGACTTGGTAGTAGAAAGAATTCTTTCATGTGGCTAAAGAAAACTCAAAATGCTTTTATGATCAATCGTTGACTTTTGAGTGGTTGATCTATTTTTGTGAATTGACAATAGAATGCAATCCAACAATAAGAGCCAGAGATGCACATGGAACAAAAATCAATAATAATATGCAAGTGAAATGCTATAGCTCCTGGAATGTTAGCTAGGAGGAGCTCACCTGTGCGATGTGGTCATTGTGCAGCCTTTACAAAAATAATAATTATTGGAAACATAAAAGGATTTGGAAGAAATCATAATCTGATAATTATATTTGTGACCCAATATGGGTCTGTGATGAAATAGTATAATTTATTTACTTTTAACTGGAACATCTGAATGATCTGAGGACTGCTGGATAAATTAAACTGCCTTGACTTGACACCAAGTCTAGAAGTTTATGATTGGCATGTGTGTCTGAAGATAGCAAGGGTCTGGAGATCAAAGCCCTGACAAATGATAAATGCATTTGTCTTTGTCTGGCAGTGAAGTTTTTCCATCATTGTCAAATACCATCTCAGCATGACTAACTCTAATTTACTGATTACCCATAAGCCTAATTTACTGATGGGGCATGCTTCACTACTCGGGTTTGTTACAAGGATCAGTGGCACTAAGATAATTACTGGAAGGACCACATTCTTCTTTTTCATCCATCCAATATAAAATTATGTTCTCCACTTGATGTGATGCATGGTACAAGGTGTGGCAATGTTAATATAGGTGAACCCAGGAAGCTCTACGCACACAGGCGAAGCCATATTAATTTTGGAACTGGCAAGCCTATGAATTAATATGACAGAGTTCCTACTGATCACTAACTTTGAGCATTCATTTTCACAGCCATAGACATAGTAAAAAATGAATACTTTATTATCAAGGCTTCAGAACATAGACACAGTCCCATGGTCCATGGTGAATTATTACTTTGTCTCAGGAGTTGCCCTATAAATAATTCCTGAGGATGAAAACTCATAAAAATAAATCTCCAAGTGTTTCTAACTGGAACTTCGGGTGTTCTCAATGTCATCTCCAAAATAAAGCAATCACTGTTCAGACTTTTTCCAGTAGTGTGTGTATTCTCTCGCATCCTCCCCTAACCCTTCTCTCTCATGTGAGAATGATTTAATGTTTATAGAAAAAGGCACACACTTGGCTGTCATCCACAGAGATCAAGGATGCTTTAACAACTCCACTAATAGATTCCATTTCTCATTCTGTTTGGTTGCAGGAGGGCCTGTCACTAAACACACTTAGCAAATCGATGAAGATCTTGTAGCAACACTTCGCCCTCTGAGATCCAGTTGCATCCATCTGTCCCTTTTGTTATCATTTCATCCAGAAACCAACTGTCTGAAGACTCTTGCATTTTCAAAAATGGATAAAATGGTTATCCACTAAAAACAAAATCCATGACTGATGGTAAGTTTCTTTCCCTGGTGTATACAAACCTCAACTGGAGATTCCTGGCTGGATGGACATGGGGGCTGAGGCTGCTGTAGCCCTCTTTTATTGCTAGTCTGCCTCCCCACCGTGGCTCAGAGTTGTACACCTGTTCCAAGTAGCTGAGGATTCATGGGATGTTTGCAGCAGCTGAACACTCCTCACAAATGCTCTGGAAGGAATGCACATGTCTCAAGAAGTTATTGAATCTTTTTTTTTTTTCATTTTCTAAGGAATTCTTCTAAAAAGCTCTGGTCCTCTGGCAAGGAATACAGGTGAAATTTTACTCCTACAAGATCATTGTCAATTTAAGGCCAGGTTCAATCTGGCTGGAGTCAGGAATGACAACATAAATGCATTGCAGCTGTTTTATTTTTTAGGCTAATATTAAGAGGGAAAGAATCGCACACCATTCCCAGGTGGAGGGTATAAGTGGAGATTTTAAGAAAGAATTTATAATTTTTCTGATTATAATAACAAAGGAGTATGATAGAAAATCTGAAAAATGATAATAATAATACTGCAAAATATCACAACCCAGAGATAAATGTTAGAGTTTTGCCTTTCTTTCCATTTAAAAATGTGTCTCCTTTTGGCTTTATATATAAACAATTGTGTTCATGTTCTACCTAAGCTAAGTTTTTGCATACGATAGCCTGCACATTTTTTCATTCTTTAAAAATTTCCAAAACTTATTGTAAAATTTGGTTTTAAATTTCTGTACGTATTTGATCATGTTGACCAATATTCTAATGTACATATAGATTATTTCCTATTTTTCTATCATATATTATGCCAAGAACATCTCTCCATGTAAATCTTGGTGTGCAACACTGATTATTTATTCATTACAAATTCATAAAGTTTTTACTGATATGAAGATATAATATGTTTTAGGCTTTTTTTTTTTTTTTGCGATGGGGTCTCGCTCTGTTGCCAGGCTGGAGTGAAGCGGCTTGATCTCAGCTCACTGCAACCTCCTCCTCCCAAGTTCTAGTGATTCTCCTGCCTCAGCCTCCCAAGTAGCTGGGACTACAGGGATGTACCACCACGCCCAGCTAATTTTTGTATTTTTTAGTAAAGACAGCATTTCACCATGTTGGCCAGGGTGGTCTCGATCTCTGGACTTCGTGATCCGCCTGCCTTGGCCTCCCAAAGTGCTGGGATTACAGGCATGAGCCACCACGCCTGGCCTTTAGGCTTTCAAAATGCATATTGACAATGTAAACACTAGAAAAATTATATTATTGACAAGCCTGTAAGCAGTATATGAGTAAGGCCATACTTTTTCTTCCATTGCATAAAAGAATTATTTGAACACAACAACAAAAGCAAAAGGACTTATTGAAAACAAATACAGAATTATCTTTGCCATACAAACGTGGACAAAAGGATATTTGTTTTAAATTTGCATTTCTGTCTTTACTGGAATTTCTTCTTTTTGTTTGCATTATGTGTAGTGGCCTCTTCTAACTCTTCTGTTATTTTGTCTGTTTATATTCATGGCCTGTTTTTATATTAGAATAAATGAGTGTTCTTTTTGATTGTTCTATAAGGCCTATTTATATATTATAGCTATTAATCTTCTAACCAAAAAACATCTTTTCATTTTCTGTGTTTCAAAAGTTTAAATTTTAGTGTTATTTGTACAGTTGGACCTCCGAATTCATGGGTTCCTCATCTGTTGGTTCAACCAATCACAAACTGAAAATATTCAGGTGGGAAAAAAAGGATGGTCACATCCATACTGAACATGTACAGGCTTTTTTCTTGTCATTATCGCCTAAACAATTCATCATGGCAGCTATTTACACAGCATTCATTAATACTATAATTAGGTATTATAAGTAATCTAGAGATGATTTAAAGTATATAAGGGGTTGTACGTAGGTTATTTGCAAATATGACATTGTTTTATATCAGAGACTTGAGAATCTGTGGATTTTGTTATCTGTGGGTGTACTGTAATGCATCCCTCATGAATACTGAAGGACTGGATATTGATTTTTTAATAATATTTATGAATAGACCTCTTTTCTTCTGTCAGATAGTCACATATATTTGACACTTTAAATTGATATTTTTATTCATGTCTCTAATATTTTAAATTTACATATAATCTTTATTTTGACACATAAATTATAAATTTATTTTGACAAATGTAATGTGACACTAGTTTCATTAAAAACACAATTTGTCTCTCACTCTTCCTCCTTCTCACCACATACACATACAATCTGAAGGCAATACAGTATCCTGGTTAAGGATGCAAACTCTGGAACCAGACTGCTTGGGTTTAAGTCACGGTTCTACCTTAACTAACTGTCTAGGCAAGTTACTTATCTTCTCTGCACCTCAGTCCCCTCATTTATAAGATGACAATAGATATAGTACCATCCTCATAGAGTTGTACTGAGTAATAAATGAATCAATACAGGCAAAGTGCTATATGATAAGGTACTATGCAAGAAATGCCTTATTGTATTAATTGCCTAATAATTGTTAGCTGTTACTACTACCAATTAAGTTCTGATATATCCTGGGTTCTAGGAGCAATTATATATTAGTGACTAGTTATATAGGATAGCATGTTGGGCTTGGGAACCACCACAGCTTGAATATGAATTCCAGCTCTGGCAAACTCTAGTCATGTGGCTTTGAACAGAACACTTAAGGTCTCAGAACTGGTTTTTTCACCTGTAAAATAGGAATAAGTATCTCAGTTTCGCAAAAGTTTCAAAAACATTATACTTTTCTTTTTGGTATCTTATTTGACACATGAATTATATAGAAGTGTGCTATTTTGTTTTCATATATTTTGAGATTTTCCGGTTATCTTCCTATTATTTATTTTTAATTTAATTCTATTGTAGTCAGAGAATACTTCATGAGTCAAATCACTGCAGATTGATTGAGACTTGTTGGCTAGCCTAGGATATGGTCTGCCTTCCTAAATGTTCTGTTTACTTGAAAAGAAAGTATATTCTGTTGTTATTGACTGGATTATTCTATAAAAATCAATTACATCAAGTTGGTTGATAGTCATATTCAAGTCTTTTATACCCTTATTGATTTTCTATACTTCAACTTTGTTCTCAATATTTAAAATTATTTTGACTATTCTTGGTCTTTTGAAATTCTGTATAAATTTTACAATCATCTTACCCATTTCTTTAGAAAATACTGCTGGCATATTGACTGGGATTATGTTGAATATATAGAAAAATTTGAGAAAAATGGACATCTTAACAATTGAATCTTCTCATCCATGAACATGGTATACTGTATCTCTACATTTATTTAAATGATTTTAGATTTCTCTCAGCAATATTTTAAAGTTTTCAAAAATGTAGGTGTTGTAGAATTTCATGAAATTTATCCCTAAGTATTTGTATGTTTATTGATACTTTTGTAAGTAGTAATTTTGTATATTTCAGCTTCTCGTAGTCTGAGCTAATATATAGAAATATAATAGATTTTGTTGTGCATTGAACTTGTGTCCTTGGAACTTAACAGTTATAGTAGCGTGTTTTTTGTAGATTTCAATAGACTTCATATGCAGACAATCATGTCTTTTGAGAAAAAAATAATATTACTTCTTCATTTCTGATCTGTATATTTTTAAAGCCTTTTTGCACCAGCATAGGCCTCCAGTAGATTGTTTAACAGAGGCGAATACCTTGCCTTAATATAGTGAAGAGAGTGTTCAAATTGCCTTGTTGCTAATCTCTAGAGATACCGTTCAGTTTCTTTTGTCATAAAATACAATGTTAGCTACAGATTTTGCATAGACGTTCTTTACCATTTTGAGGAAATTTCTATTTCTAGTTTGCTGGAATTTCTGTTTATAATTGAATTCTGTCATTTACTTTATCTGCATCTACTGAGATAATCAATTTTTATTCCTTTATTCTGTTAATATGTTGAAATACAATGATCATGTTTTCTTACTATATCACAAATTTGATTTTTAATATTTTGATGGCTGCATTTTATTATAACTGGTTTCTTTTGTAAAGCTACTTTTAATAGCGTTGTATTTGCTCTTTTTAATGCTTTTTATTTTGGAATACTTTAAGACACAAGAAAATAATAGAAAAGAGTTCCTGTGTGCACTTCACCCAGATTTCCTTCATGATAATATCCAGAGTGCAGTGTTAAAATAAAAAAATTGACTTTGGTACAATAACACTAATTCAACTATAGAATTTGAATTCGACCATCTCTCTCTCTCTTTTTCTGTGTGTGTGTGTTTGTGTGTGTGTGTGTGTGTGTGTGTAGGTCTACGAAATTTATCGCATATATAGACTTGTTGTAACCATCACTACCATCAGGATACATAACTGTTTTATCACCACAAAGAAACTCTCTTGTGTTACTGCCTAATAGTTATACCTTCTCTGAACTCTAACCCTTGGAAACCACTAGTCTATTCTCCATCACTGTGATTTTGTTGCTTCAATAATATTGTATAAATGAAATCATACAGTATGTGACTTTTTGAGATTTTTTTCACTCAGCATAATTTTCTTAAGACCCATATACATTGTTGCCTGCATCAATAGTTTGTTCTTTTCATAGCTGAGTAATATTCCATTGTATGGATGCATTAAATTTATTTATCCATTCACCCATTGAAAATAATTTGGGTTGTTTCAAATCTGACTGATGTTTAAATGTTAAACCAACATACAATTCTTGGATAAAAATCCCACTTGGGCATGGTCTATTATCTTGTTTATATATTGTTGTATTAATTTTGTTGATATTTTGTTGAGGATTTAAAAAATCTATGTTAATGAAGTATATTGGTATCTAATTTTACCTTGTAATATCTTTTTTTTTTTGAGAGAGGTTCTCACTCTGTTGTCCAGACTGGAGTGCAGTAGCCCCATCATTGCTCACTACAGCCTCAACCTTCCCAGGCTCAGGTGATACTCCCACCTCTGCCTCCTGAATAGCTGGGACCACAGGTGTGTGCCACCACACCTGGCTAATTTTTTTTTTTTTTTTTTGAGATGGAGTCTCGCTCTTTCACCCAGGCCGGACTGCAGTGGCGCTATCTCGGCTCACTGCAAGCTCTGCCTCCCGGGTTCACGCCATTCTCCTGCCTCAGCCTCCCCAGCAGCTGGGACTACAGGTGCCCGCCACCATGCCCGGCTAATTTTTTTGTATTTTTAGTAGAGTCGGGGTTTCACCATGCTAGCCAGGATGGTCTCGATCTCCTGACTTCGTGATCCAACCGCCTCGGCCTCCCAAACTGCTGGGATTACAGGCATGAGCCACCGCGCCCTGCACACCTGGCTAATTTTTGTATATTTTCTGGAGACAGGGTTTTGCTATGTTGCCCATGCTGGTTTTAAACTCCTGGGCTCAAGTGATCTGCCTGCCTTGACCTTCCAAAGTGTTGGGATTACAGGCATGGGCCACTGCACCCGTCCTGCCTTGTATTATCTTCATCTGGTTTTGGTATCAGGATAAAACTGGCCTTGTGAAATGAGTTATGATGTATTCCCTCCTCCTCTATTTTCTGAAAGAGTTGGTGTTAAGACTGATCTTGTTTTTTCCTCAAGTGTTCGGTAGAATTCACCAGTGAAGACAACCAGGCTTGGACTTTTTTTGTGTGTATAGAAAGATTTTAATTATGAATTTAATTCCTTTAGTAAATATCAGAATATTCAGACATTTTGTTTCTCCTTGAGTTAGTTTTGATAATTTTTGTCTTTCAATAAATTTGACCATTTCATCTAGGTTGTTGACTATATTGTTGTGAAGTTTTAAAAAATACTTTCTTATTATTCTTTTAATGTTTGTAAAGTTTGTAGTCATGTTCTTTCTTTAATTCCTGGTATTGAAAATTCATGTTGTATCTCTTTGTTTCTTTATTAATCCTGATAGAAATTTATCAATTCCATTGATTTCTTCAAAAAACCAATTTTGATTTCCTCTTCATAAAATTTTGTATTATACTGATATCTACCCTCATCTTTATTATTTTCTTCTTCCTACTAAATTTAAATTTATCTTTTGTGGCTTTTAAAGGAGAGGTTTAGGATATTGATTTTAGAGGTTTCTATTTTACTAACATACACAATTAAAGACATAAGTTTCCCTCTCATCTCTTCTTTACCTGTTTCCTACAAATTTTGATATGCTATGTTTTTATTTTCATTCAGTTCAATAATTTTTCTAATTTTATTTTTAATATCTTTTAAAATAGGTGGATTATTTATATGTGTGTTGTATAATTTCTGAATATTTGTGGATTTTCTTTTTATTTTTTTTTTTTTTGAGACGGAGTCTCGCTCTGTCGCCCAGGCCGGACTGCGGACTGCAGTGGCGCAATCTCGGCTCACTGCAAGCTCCGCCTCCCGGGTTCACGCCATTCTCCTGCCTCAGCCTCCCGAGTAGCTGGGACTACAGGCGCCCGCCACCGCGCCCGGCTAATTTTTTGTATTTTTAGTAGAGACGGGGTTTCATCTTGTTAGCCAGGATGGTCTCGATCTCCTGACCTCATGATCCACCCGCCTCGGCCTCCCAAAGTGCTGGGATTACAGGCGTGAGCCACCGCGCCCGGCCTATTTGTGGATTTTCTAGATACGTTTTCAGTTATTAATATCTAAGTTAATTTTGTCGTGATCAGAGAATATACTATATTATTTAAATACTTTTAATTCTGTTGAGATTCATTTTATGGCCAAAAAATGGCTTATCTTAGTGAATATTTCATGTGTACTTGAAACAAATATGTATTCTGCAGTTATTGGGTGGAGTGTTCTACAAATGCCAATTCTATCTGATTCACCGGTTAATCTTTTTATTCAAGTATCCTATATCCTTACTGATTTTTGATCTATTTGTTCTTACCTGGCTATTAAATGAAGAATGTTAAATCTCCAACAGAAATTATGAATTTATTTTCTTTTCAGTTATTAAAGTTTTCAAATGCATTTTAAAGCTGTCATTGAATGTATGCTAATTTAGGGTTGTTGTATCTCTTTGATGAATTGATTGATTTATCATTATGAAATGTCTCTTTTACCCATGGTGATAATCTTTGTTCTGATGTCTATTTTCTCTAGTGTTGTAGTTACTCCATTTTCTACTCATGTGTCATATGTAACTAATATTACATAATATTTTAATATAGTTATATGACATATACTATTTTATATATAGTTGGGTATTGTCTTTTTCCCCCTACCCTTATAGAGAATGTTAAATGTTAATTGAAATGTTAAATTATTGGTTTGGATTTACATTTACCTTCCTATTTTATGCAATTAACATCAGGAAAGACTACCATATAGAGGTTTTTTTTTCTTTTAAATGAAGAAAAGCTTTGCTTTTATTGGAGTAAATCTAAATGATCCTACTCCTTTGGAGCAAAAATAGTGCTAACCAATTCCCAATTGTATTTAGCTTCTGGTTGGAATTTGAAAAAATTAAAATCTAAATAAATGAAAGTTCACCTGGACTACTCAGGTGAATAAAAAAAATTATCTCCTCACTCTTTGTTTTCTATTATTTTGCTTATTGGTATTTTCTTTTTTTAATTATTTTTTTCTGCTTTCTTTTGGATTGAGTATTTTTTTTACTGTTGGTTTATTAGCTATACTTCTTTTTTTGGTGTTTACAATAAGGTTTGCAATATATATCTTTAACTTATTACAGTAACATTGCTATTAGCTGTTAAGTATGCTATTTTGCTTTTCTCCCCACTTATCCTTCCTGATTTTGGTATTCTGTTGCTTTTTTCTTGTCTTCTTTGGGGTTATTTAAAATTTTTTTTACTCTTCTATTTTAGTTTTTGCATTGTCTTCTTAAATATGCCTTCAAAAAATGTAGTTTTTTTTTAGATCTAAAAATTGGTATAATTAAAGTATCAGTCTTTTTACAGTCAATATGGCACTATTTCACATTTCATAGTGACCCTTCATACTTCTAATTTTCACTTCACATCTGAAACTTTGCAGTTTCCTTTCCCACTTCCCACCTCTCATTCAAACTTAACACTTTCTACTTCTTATTTTCTACTTCACAAATACAGTACTCTAGCACAGTATAATTCTACTTACCTACTCACCACCTTTTGCCACATTTTTACAACTACATATGTTACAAACTTTACGATGTTATTATTTTTTTCTTGAAATAGTCTGCTGTCTGGTAAGAAATTATGATAAGAACAGAAGCCATAATTTTTCAGTATATTTTTAAATTTTACTTGAAGTTCTGGGATACAAGTGCAGAACGTATAGGTTTGCTACATAGGTATACATGTGCCATGGTGGTTTGCTGCACCTATCAACCCGTATTCTAGGTTTTAAGCCCTGCATGCATTAGTTATTTGTCCTAATGCTCTCCCTCCTCTCGTCTGTCACCCCCTGACCAGCCCCGGTATGTGTTGTTCCCCTCCCTGTGTCCATGTGTTCTCACTGTTCAACTCCCAATGAGTGAGAACACGTGGTGTTTGGTATTCTGTTCCTATGTTAGTTTGCTGAGGATGATGGCTTCCAGCTTCATTCATGTTCCTGAAAAAGACATGATCTCGGCTGGGCACGGTGGCTCACGCCTGTAATCCCAGCACTTTGGGAGGCCGACTTGGGTGGATCACAAGGTCAGGAGATCGAGACCATCCTGGCTAACACGGTGAAACCCCGTCTCTACTAAAAAATACAAAAATTAGCTAGGCGTGGTGGTGTGCGCCTGTAGTCCCAGCTGCTGGGGAGGCTGAGGCAGGAGAATGGCGTGAACCTGGGAGGTGGAGCTTGCAGTGAGCCGAGATCGCGCCACTGCACTCCAGCCTGGGTGACAGAGTGAGACTCTGTCTCAAAAAATAAATAAATAAATAAATAAAAAAGACATGATCTGATTCCTTTTTGTGGGTGCATAGTATTCCATGGTGTATATGTACCACATTTTCTTTATCCAGTCTATCATTGATGGGCATTTTTGTTGGTTCCATGTCTTTGCTATTGGAAATAGTGCTGCAATAAACATATGTGTGCATGAGTCTTTATAGTAGAATGATTTATATTTCTTTGGTATATCACATTTTTTACTGTGTCTTTTCTATGTTTAGCTGTATTTAGTTGCACAAATGCTTATTGTTGTGTTATAAGTGCCTACAGTATTCAGGTCACATGCTGTTCAGGTTTGTAATTTAGGAGCAATAGGCTACACTGTATAGTCTAGGTGTGTAAGAGGCTCTACCGTCTAGGTTTGTTTAAGTACACCGTATAATGTTCACACAATGATGAAACTGCCTCATGACAACATTTCTCAAAACATATCCCCATCATTAAGTGCATAACTGTATAAGCTTCACATATACGCAAAACCGTATACACATTTGTTTGGAGAGCTAGGTAGTGACTTTCAGAATTATTTGTGTTTTCTTTGTCTCTCCAGCTTTTAATAGTACTGGCTCTTCCTGAATTTAAACATTATATTAGAAATAAACAATAGCAGCATAATGATTGTGAAGAGGAAGAAACTGAACTTGAGTTATTTATATTCTGTCATTTTATGTGCAAGTCATTTTTTAAGGCTTGCAAAATGCGGTCTTTTTAAAAATTATCTCTTCATGTGTTTTAACACAGTTTTAATTTTAAAATAGTTTAGTTTTACTTAAACCTATGAAGACACTACAAAGAGTTGCCACATACTCCACACCCGATATGCTTTATTATTAACATTTTTTATTCATATGTTCTATTTGTTACAATTAATGAACCAATATTGGTACATTGTTATTAAATAAAGCACATACTTTATTCAGATTTCCTGTTTTTCCCTAATGTCCTTTTCCTGTTCCAGGATCCCGTCCAGGAGGCCACATAATATTTAGTTATCGTGGCCAGGTGCGGTGGCTCACACCTGTAATCCCAGCACTTTGGGAGGCTGAGGTGGGCGGATCACCCGAGGGAGGTCGGGAGTTCGAGGCCAGCCTGACCAACATGGAGAAACCCCGTTTCTACTAAAAATACAAAATTAGCTAGGCAAGGTGGTGCATGCCTGTAATCCCAGCTACTCAGGAGGCTGAGGCAGGATAATCGCTTGAACCTGGGAGGCGGAGGTTGTGGTGAGCTGAGATCGTGCCATTGCACTCCAGCCTGGGCAACAAGAGTGAAACTCCATCTCAAAAAACAAAACAAAACAAAACAACAAAACAAATTTAGTTATCATGTTTCCTTAGGCTCTTAGCTGTTCCAGTTTCTCAGCCTTCTCTTGTTTTTGACAGTCCTGATTGTTTTAAGGGTTACTGATCAGGTATTTTGTAGAATGTTTTCCAATTGGGATATTTCTGATGCTTTTCTCATGATTAACTGGGTTTATGTGTTTTGAGGAGAAAAATTACGGAGGTAAAGTGCCATTTTCATCACATCGTATCCAGCCTCACTCATCATTGTTGATACCCTCAACCTTACTTATCACTATTGATGTTGACTTTGATCATGTGGCTGAGGTCGTTTCTGCCAAGTTCATCTATGGTAAATTTACTCTTTTTCTCCTCTTCCATACTGCACTCTTTGGAAGGAAGACGCTATACACAGTCCCTATTTAAGGAGTGGGGAGTTATGCTCCACCCTATCTCCCTGAATTACTTGGAATTCTTATGTATGGGAGATTTGTCTATTCTTTCCAAGTAATTTATTTATTTGTTTATTTGTATTGGCGTTGACTCATGAACATTTATTTTATACTTTGAGTTATAATATTATACTACTTTATTTATTTTGTTGCTCAAATTATTCCAGCTTTGACCATTGGAAGCTGTTTTCCAGTGGACTCCTATATCCCTTTGACATCCATCATTTATTTTTCTTTGGAGAATGTCCTCACTTTCTCGCACTACCATATACTCTGGGCTCATTTTGTATATTTTATGCCTGAGTTCTAGAATCAGCAATTTCTCCCAAAAGCACTGGTTTTGTTTATTAGAAAATGGTATTAGAAACCAAGATCTGGGCACTAGGTGTGTTCATTGCTGCAGGGATGTCACTGCTTCTAGGCTCTCTTACCTTACAGAATGAGGAAATATGAATATGCATAACCTATATATATATACACACATATATAAGTGTTTCTGTTTCTGTCTGCAATGATCTGTATCTAAATAAATCTAAACATGAGTTCACACTGACGTCTCCCACTCTACTGAATAATTCAAGCCTCCTCCCCTTGTTTATTAGTAACCCCCACTCCAACAGCAAGAAACCCGATTCCCACTGCCCCACTATCCATTTATTTAATTGTTCAATTCCGGTTTACATAATAGCAATATAAGAATTGTTAAACATGTGTTTTATCCCCCTTTAAA
This sequence comes from Homo sapiens, assembly GCF_000001405.40. Taxonomy (NCBI): domain Eukaryota; kingdom Metazoa; phylum Chordata; class Mammalia; order Primates; family Hominidae; genus Homo; species Homo sapiens. Next base: position 15,054,896 of record NC_000017.11, on the reverse strand, counting down.
AATGCATTAATGTAATTAAAAAATGTGTAATTCATTTTCCCTTTCTTGTACTATAATATTTATTTTTAATGTATTTTTACTGGGATTATATGATATAAAATAAAAGAATAATTTCATTGTGATTTATGATTTATTTTCTAGTTATTATCATTGTTTTATTTCTTTTTTTTTTTGAAGACGGAGTCTTGCTCTGTCACCCAGGCTGGAGTGCAATGGTGCAATCTTGGCTCACTTCGACTTCTGCCTCCTGGGTTCCAGTGATTCTCCTGCCTAAGCCTCCCGAGTAGCTGGGATTACAGGCGCCCACCACCACAACCAGCTAATTTTTGTATTTTTAGTAGAGACGGGGTTTCACCATGTTGGCCATGCTGGTTTCAAACTCCCGACCTCAAATGATCTGCCTGTTTCAATCTCCCAAAGTGCTGGGATTACAGGTGTGAGCCACCGTGCCTGGCTCATTGTTTTGTCTCATGAGTACTAATAAAAATAATTTGTTATATTATGGGACTGCTTAAAACATGACTTACTGTTAGTGTCAAACATGGTGGGTTCGCCACAATGTAATCCATTAATCAGTGTTTTGTGTTGTATCTGATGTGCTGATGACCATTGGCATTGTTTTTAAATTTGTTAATCGGCAGTCTTTTCTGATCTTAGGTGGTTTCCTTTTTCTGTATGTAGTACACTTCTGTTTCTTTGAGTGAGTAAAGTATAGAAGGAACATTGGCCCTTATTCTTTGGAACGATTCATTTAGTGTGAGTTATTCACTCTTAGCTGTTGCAGTCCCTCCTTTGTTTTGGTTATCCATGTGATGGAGTGCTACTGCTGTCTGCTTGTTCTCCAGATGGGTATTTCCTGTGATGTACTGACATTTGTGTACCTGTCTGAGTTTGATCCTATGTTTACTTGTAACTTACAGATGGTCTCCACATATATATCCTGCTTTGTCACCCAGGTTAGAGTATAGTGGCATGATCATGGCTCACTGCAGCCTTAGACTCATAGGCACAAGTAATCCTTCCACCTCAGTCTCTTGAGTAGCTGGGATTACAGGTGCGTGCCACCACACCTGACTAATTTTAATTTTTTATCTTTTGCAGAGATAGGGTCTCACTATGTTGCCCAGGCTGGTCTTAAACTCCTATGGCTCAAGTGATCCTCCCACCTCAGTTCCCCAAAGTTCTGGGATCCCTTGATGACATATATCTTTTTTTTCCAATACACTGTCATTCACATTTTCCTGTTTTCATGTTTTTTTGGAGATATCAGTGGGAGTTTAGGATGGAGGAGAGGAGGGAATTAAAACTGGGGACTCAATGTCACATCTTGAAATGGAGGCCCAGGCTGAGGCTATAGTTCCAACTCTTGGTATGGCTCCTGACACACAGCAGTAGCCCAGGAGATGAGATAAATGCACATTACAGAAGTTTCTGGTGAGATGGGGATACTATTGGACACATTCTAGGCATTTACTAGAAAAAGTACTGCAGCCAATAGACAAATGAAACAAATAAAAAATTAGAAGTATGAAGAAGATGTGGCATCAGAAATGGGAGGAAGTGATAGAATCAGTATAACTTGGAGGCTATGTCTAAGTGGCTACATTAGTACTCATTTTATTTTCTATCAATTTTCTCAGTCTGTCCTAATATTCCTAGTAGGATCTTGTAGATCTGACTCCTCCACCTTTCTCACCTTTTCCCTCATCACTTTTACCTATTCCATTTTTTTCCTATGAGTATTGGATAAATGTCTGGGATTTGTCATCTATTTAATTCAATTTTCTACAGAATCTAATCTTCTGTTTGTAGTGAACATAGTGATTTTTAATCCAGTAATCTTTTTAATGCCCATCTCTCTTGCTTGGAGATGATTTTCTCCTCAGGAATGCTTAATGAGGATTGATAAATTTAATAGGCACTTGAAAATTAAGCCCACAGATTAGCAGTTTTCTAAAACCTTCTGCTCTTTCTTGTAGCAAATTTATTTAACAGAGAAGGATTTGCGTCAAATTTTCAGTGAGGTACCGTTTTTTGAATGCGGTATCTTTTTTTTTTTTTTTGACTGTGCAGGAGCCTCACAGTTTTTTTATTTTTCTTAAATTTTTTATTTTATTTTATTTTTTATATTTTTAAAAAATATATATATTTTATTATACTTTAAGTTCTAGGGTACATGTGCACAACGTGCAGGTTTGTTACATATGTATACATGTGCCATGTTGGTGTGCTGCACCCATTAACTCATCATTTACATTAGGTATATCTCCTAATGCTATCCCTCCCCCCTCCCCCCACCCCACAACAGGCCCCAGTGTGTGATGCCCCCCTTCCTGTGTCCAAGTGTTCTCATTGTTCAGTTCCCACCTACGAGTGAGAACATGTGATGTTTGGTTTTTTGTCCTTGCGATAGTTTGCTGAGAATGATGGTTTCCAGTTTCATCCGATGTGATATCTTTTCTAAGTCTTTAAATTTTTCTTCTTTGGTCCCATTCTTGTAGAGGGAGTTCTTTCCTTTCTTAAGCAATAAGGATGATAATATGTTCTGTCAAAAATTGGTGTGTGGGAAGGGGTGTTCCTGCCCAAATTCTGTAGTCCCAGATGAGAGAAAAACAGAAAATTTACATTTTGCTATGCATTTATATTAGGCATTCAGTAGCTTGGGGGTTTGAGTGGATGTTGAGAGGTGACGAGTAGGCAGTCACAGCTAGACAAGTCTCCGTTGTGCAGAAGGGCGTCTCTCTATTTATTTTGGCTGAGGCAATGTGAACTCCCATGATGGATTAGGTCAGGTTGAAGTGGGGGGCAGTGGCCTGCACTTTGTGTATCATGGCTCTTTGCCCCACTACCTGCCCTCACCCCTCTGAATTAGGGAGTGTGAGTGAAGTTTTGACAGGATCTTCTCCATGTCGAAGTCCACTCTACTGTTTGATGAGAAAAAAAGTTGTGAAGCAACAAAATCAGACCTGTTGTACACTAAATCTGGCAGCAATTTATCCTAGTTTTATTCACTTCTCAGTGAAAGTGCTTGCATGGGTCATTTCCAATATTGAGGTCATCTGGGAGGCTAGACTTTATTTCTGCTTTTTTCTCCCATCTTGCAAAGATGAATCAAAACCTATACTTTTGATTTTTAAAAGAAAGTCTTCTCTTGTACAACCTAAACTAGTTTGCAATAGTGTTTATGAAAAGTTAGAGCCTTGAGACAGTTGCAGATATCAACCTCTCAGGCACAAAACCCTTCTCGGAAGTGGAATACCCAGATTTAGAAAGGTGGAGCTCATAGCCTTGATGACATTCTGATTTATACTTGGTTGATTTGAACACAACTAAAACTGTAAAACAATTTGTAGCACCATCTCTCTGAATGACAGGCTTTGTGCATGATATTAGAATCAGCCATGATATTTACAGTCAGGAAACTTAGGCGAACTGATCAATGCTGTAGTCAACAGGCTTGCGGGAAGCTTGAGATCAACCACCACTCCAGCAGAACAACCTTGATCAGAACATTTACCATTCCTGAACTTTGATTTCTTCATCTGTAAAGAGAAAGGGGGGACCCTTAAAATCTCTGAATATTATACACACACATGCACACACATGTATACACACATACATTATATACCTATACATAGTCTTCTTGTATGTATTTGAGATTTTGAAGCAAAATTTCTAAAGAGAGTAATAGTTCCACAATAATTGAAGCAGTAGAAACTGCATTCATTTGGTTGTATAAGTTCTGGAAATTTTATTTAAAAAGCATTCACATCATCTTGCATAATTAGCCACCTGCATATTCTTGGTACCCAGCATACTTCATAAGACATTGTAGAAAGTCAAAATATATTTGAAGAATAAATGAATGAACATATATAACCTCATTTGTAATGTTATTTATAGCATCACCCTTAGATTTGGGCACCCAGGGTCTTGCCCTGTAACTGGAGATTTAACAGGCTCACTCTTTCTCCTCCTGCCACAATCCTCATGGACTGAGGAACCCCCAAGGCCAAAGGTTCATGTCCACCTACAGCAGCCTCCCCTCATCCCCACCCCACTCAGCTCCAGGTACCTGACATTGGGAAATTTTCTGTCAAGACAGCCTCAAGCCTGCTTCTAGGGCCTGCTAGAGTCTCTCTCTTGGACGTCCCTCACAAAGATATGCTGTTTTATAAGTGTTACCACCCCAAAGCACAAGAGGTGACCAAGGTGGCTCACAGGAGTGGAGGTGGAAAGAGTCCTCCTTGCCACAGAAGGCAAGGTCTAGGAGTCTCCACTTTACTCTTGCCCCAAATTTGGTAAAAGGAACAGGCTGGGTTATTTCAATCATTAGCTCACTTTACCCTACATCCCAACTACACTCACACATAATGCTTTAAATTTGAGTTAGAAAGACTCAGTGATCCTTACAACATACACACGAATGAACAGAATATTGCAAGGAAAAATATGTGGTCACTACCGTAAACCTTCTATTACACAGTTACACTCTGGTCCAATATGTAAGGCAAAGTACAGATTCTGCAACCCAGGACTGGGTTTGTTTGGGGATCCAATACGGATCTATTATAACAGTTTGTAGGTGTTGATAGAATTATAGCATTTATTTCCTCTCTAACCCCCTCTCCAAATCTTAGTTAAAAAGAAGCTTTGTTTGCTTGGTTTTCCTGGTGTGGATTTAAATATTTCCATTTTCCATGCCCATATTAACATTTGACCATCCGTGTGATGTGCCAATTTCTATTTTGCCCTTCAAAGGTTAAAATAACACCCACCCTTAGAATTCCCCTCACAAAGCACAAGGAAATCCCTCCTAAGGCACAGCGAACCAGCTAGACTTCATAATTAGCTTCTGTAATGAAGTACTTAATCGGAATAGAAGCCCTTACTAATTACAGCAGGAAGTCAGGGCAGGCGGGTTACCCACAGCTGGGGTGAAGCACAGGCAGAGGTGTCTGTGAACACGCATCCGCAAGGGTCCAGGTTCACACAAGAGCCCTAGGCCTTAATTAGCCCCAGCAATTAAAAATGAAAACAATCCTCCATTTTCTCATTAAAAGATGAAACCACACCCCCCCAAGCACCTTACTCTGAATGATAATTTTGCTTCTGCAAAGACCCCAGCTACTGCAGATTACCAAAGACAATGGTTAGTTCCTGGGCTGCAAGACCTGAGTCACCCTTTTGCTTGCTAAATTTCAGGCACCTCTGCATAATAGGAGATTGATTAGGGTTAATAGACTTATTTTTTGCAGGTCAAGACACAAAACACTTTGGGTTGTGGGCGCTCTTGCACATAATATCCGAAGCTATAAATCAAACTGCTTAATGGAAGCTCAGAGCTTTCTGTCTCCGAACTATTGGTAACAATTGACTTTTGTTCCTCCCCTGCTACCGTCTCTCTTTCCTCTGCTTCTTCTTGTAAATTCAGCCACAGAATCAGTCTGATAGATAAAGGGTTGTGATTTATTTACTCTACAATGTTTTCAGAAACCTAGAGGTGAGGTATGGTTCCTTGGAATTCCTGTGTTTGTTTTACCTCCATTTCTAAGGTAACCAGTGGCTAGCAGCAGCTGTAACCACTGTCAGCATCTGTCAATCTCACCTAGACCTGATGGTCAAAAGTAATACAGCTGGATGAAGAGATTTAAAAATTAAAAATGAAAGAAAACTGATCCTCAGGGGAGAGTTTGAGAATTTAGTCCGTGGGACCCAGGGCAGACTGGTAGGTCACTGAGTGCATAAGGAATGCAATTGCCATTGGCAAATTATCCCAAGAAGGAAAGCCACATGCAGCGGGAACCTGTTGGAGACTGCCTCTTAAAGTTATGCAGAAAGAATCACTGAAAGGAAACTGTCTCAACAGGAGGAAATGTCAGAAAATGCTTCCCTAGAAAATGTGATAAAAAATTTAGAAAAGTATCTGGCTATGAAATTTAAGAACATTTGGGGGAATGTTCTTTGCACCTAATTATCAGTGCTTTCTGCTTCTTTTCTCTTGGTGAGGGATATTCTTAGTCCAAGGATTTTTTTTCCCCCTTCAAATAGAAAGAAAGCAAAGCTGATTTTCATATATAAGTTGGTTTGGTTTTTCATCAATTTGACAGGATCATTCCAAAGATGTTGCCTTATTTGATTCTGAAACATTATTGAGAGATTTACTCTACTGAGTAACTGAGGACTCACGAAAAATACATTTGATGATATCTGTAAGTTTCTTTGATGACTTGTTCTTTCCTATCCCCGTTTTTGCCTGAATCTTTTTTTTCCTCCTTCTTTCTACTCAGAGCTACATGGCTCAACCACAACCACAAGGAGTCAGTAAGTGGGCAGGTTTTCTCAAACTTCATAGAGCTGTTACTCTACCTGGCTTCTAAGGGGAGACCTGGGAGTTGAGAGAATGAACATAAAATAGTTTGGGTCAGGAGTGGAAAGGGAGGAAAGATTAGAAGGAAACAAGAAAAGCAGAATAATGCACTCAGAATCTGATTTTTATGTTATGGTATACTAATATGGATTTTCCTCCCTTTTTAAACAACATAGAAATTCTTAGTAGAATCTACACATACAGTTTAATAGCAGAAGTAGATGGAAGTCCCTTGATGCCAATAATAATAGATACCTAGTCATAGTACCCCTCTCACCCTCAGTAGCCTCTGGCAGCCTTGCTGAAGGCTGGGGCCATCAGACCTGGGAATGCAGCTGTGAGCTGGGACTAAGGTTTTGTTGCCCTAATGGAACTGGAGGAAAGGAGGTGTATCTTTGGCATTGCATGAAGTGGGTGGCTGTAATTGAGCTCCCTTCTACATAGCCAGGATCCTCAAATGGCCTCCAAGTTTAGAATAATAATAACAAAAAGAAAAATTTGTCTCCGGGCTTGGAGACATTGTAAGAAAGCACAGGGTCTGTCTCAGGCTCCAAGTAAATCTTTAAAAATTAGACAATGTCCTCTGAAAAATCAAAATGTCAAGTCTGCACTAAACATGGGTATAAATTCTGAATTTATATGCATGGTGTGATAATCCCAAACTGAGAAATTGACATAAAGTGGTCCAGAATTCACTGTGCTCCTGGGAGAAACCAATAGAACACTATTCTTAGGATCACTCAGACTATTCAAGAAACCCTCAATAAAGCGGGTTCATCAAGGAAGAACTCATAAGAAAATTACGATACAGGCAAAGAAGCAAAAAACCATGAATGAGAATTATTAAGGCAGCAGATAGGAGAACTAACACCCAGACAATTAGAAACATAGCAAAAAAACCACCTGAAGAAGATTAAAAGGAAGATCTAAGATCCTTTCATTGTTTGAAGAAGGCAGAGAGGTTGATAAAACTATGTTGAATATGTTTGCTAAAAATATAAGGATAATGAACTGAGAAATAGGGAAAGAATGTACAACTTTTGAACAAATCGAAGGAAGAGAAGAAAATTCCCACATAATTCAATAAAAAGCAAGAAAGGAGGAAAATAAATGGAGAATGATAATTAAAAAATTAGAAGGTAGAAAAGTGTTCAGATATGCCAGTAGTTCTAAGTGTAAACGTATTACACTGTTTTGTCAAATGACAAAGATTCTCACACTGGAATAAAACAATCAAATAAAAAAATACTAAATTATATGTTATTTTTAAGAGATCCATCTAAAATATGATACAGAAAAGTTGAAAGTAGTGGCATGAAAAAAGATACAGTGGGCAAAAAAGAAAAGAAAGCTGATATAGTGACCTTAATATCAGACAAAATCAACTGTATTAGAGATAAGGGGAATCTTTTCTTACAGATAAACACAAGTCACTTGGAAGTTCTAACAGTCTTGAATCAGACAGCCGAAAAATGTGTAACGCAAAAATTTCCTGAATACGAAGTGAATCCAACATTATAGTGGAATTTTGAACACATCTCTATGAGTTACTGAAAAATGGAGATAAATATTTTCTAAGGATATAAATGTTTTACATAACGCATTCATAAAGCTTAATATGATGAACATATTTAGAATGTCCACCCAATATAAAAGAATCCATTTCCAATAAAAAAGCATCTTCATATTTTAAGTAAAGAACACTTATAAACATTGTCCATATACTTGATTACAAAGTCTAAATAAGTATCAAGAAAACAATATAACCCAAACTATGTCTTCTAACAAAGATGAAGTAAGATTATAAATTAATGACTAAAAGATAATTTTAAGAAATTCTATTCACTATTAAGTTAAAAATACTTCTAAATAATTGATGGGTTAAAAATAATTCAAATTGATAGTTACAAAATATTAAGAACAATAGAAATTGCAGACAGTTCATACCACAACTTGTACAGTTAAACTGATATTTATAGGGACATTTATTACCCTAAATACTGTCAATGCTTATATTAAGAAAAACAGGCCAGGTGCAGTGGCTCACGCTTGTAATCTCAGCACTTTGGGAGGCCGAGGCAGGTGGATCACGAGGTCAGGAGATCGAGACCATCCTGGTTAACACAGTGAAACCCCATCTCTACTTAAAATACAAAAAATTAGCTGGGCGTGGTGGCGGGCACCTGCAGTCCCAGCTACTCGGGAGGCTGAGGCAGGAGAATGGCGTGAACCCAGGAGGCGGGGCTTGCAGTGAGCCAAGATGGTGCTACTGCACTCCAGCCTGGGCGACAGAGCAAGACTCCATCTCAAAAAAAAAAAAAAAAAAAAAAAAAGACTAAAAATTAACCAATTAAGCATTTGTCCCAAGAAGTTGAAAAAGCAATAGTGATTAATAGAGGCTAAGAAGGGGATGAAAAGAAGTTGGTTAATGCATACTAAAATACAGTTAGATATAAGGAATAAGTTCTAGTATTTGATGGTACAGTAGGGAGATAATACTTAATAATATATTTCAAAATAGCTAGAAGAGCAGAATTGGAAAGTTCGCAACACAAAGAAACAATAAATATAAATGTTTGAGGTTATTGATGTCTCAATTACCTGATTTGATCATTAAACATTGTACACATGTATCAAAATATCATATGTACCCCTAAAATATGCACGACTGTTATGTATCAATAAAAATAGTATTCATAAACAAAAAACAAAAAGAAGTTGGAAAAACAATAAAAGCACAAGCTCTCTAAAAGTAAATAAAAAGCAATAATAAAGATAAAAGCATAAATGAATCAACTAGAAAAACTTACAGAGGTTAATAAAACAATGTAAATGGTGTTAATAAATATGAACCCATAGACAAATGAACATATTTGAATAAAAATAACTATAGTTATTTCCTCAAGAAAATAAGAGAAAGCCTGAATATACCCATAACGTGCAAAGCCATTAAATTAGTATCCAGGTTCTGTTAAAAATAACAAACATCTAACTGAAATAAAGAGCCAAAAATAGGCAAGTCATCTTTTAAGAATAATAAAGAAAAGCTTGTCTTGAAAGAGAGAGACCAATGGAACAGAATTATAGAATTAAGCATTGAGAAACAGCTGATACAGGACAGAGAAGGCACTCCAGATTTGTGAGGAAGGGATGAACTGTTCACCAAAGGATGCTGGGGTAATTAACTTTGCTGATGGAAAAGAGTAAAGGTAGATTCCCTCTGGCAATGTCTGGCCTGGAAGGTGGGATTTGTGGCTGGGGTGTAGAACGTTTAGCTGTATCTATAATATTTCATTTCTTTAAAACAGTATCTAAAATTATATAAATAAATATGGCAGAATGGTAATGTTTGTGAAATCCAAATCATTATACATTGGGGTCTGTAATATTTTCTTTGTACTTAATTGTATGTGGAAATGTGTGTGCCTATACATTATATATTTATTTGTAGAATGAATATACTATATAATAAATATGTATGTGTAATGCATTCTTTTTTTTTTTTTTTTTTGAGACGGAGTTTCGTGCTTGTTGCCCAGGCTGGAGTGCAAGGGCGCGATCTCAGCTCACTGTAACCTCTGCCTCTTGGTTTCAAGCGATTCTCCTGTCTCAGCCTCCCGAGTAGCTGGGATTACAGGTGCCCCCCACCACACCTGGCTAATTTTGTATTTTTAGTAGAGATGGGGTTTCACTATGCTGGTCAAGCCAGTCTTGAACTCCTGACCTCATGTAATCCTCCTGCCTCGGCCTGCCAAAGTGCTGGGATTATGTTGCATGAGCCACCACGCCTGGCCGATGCATTCGTTTTTTAAGCCAGCAATTGTAAGTAGGAGACAAAAAAGACCTTTTATGTTATGCTGAGGAGTTTGGACTTCATCCTCAGGGCAGCGGGGAGCCACGAAGGGCTTTTAGACAGGAAGGTAAATGACTGCATCATCTCGTAGGAAAGATCTTCCTGGCTGCAGTATGGCAAATGGATTAGATGCAGTATGGCAAATGGATTAGATGCTGGAGGTGCAGCCATCACTGAAGTAGCTGTATTTCAGGGTAAAGATTATGGTGCCTGGAACAGGGAAAACAGCAGCGATGATGGAGACAGGTGGGTTGACTGGAGAGGGGGTAAAAAGAATTTCCAGGCTTTGTGTTTTCTTGGTGGGTGTGGAGAGGTGGGGAAGAGTCTGGGCTCCTCCCTGGGTCTGGGCCTCAGGACGCTGGGTACCTACCATTCCCTGAGAGAGGCTAGAGGAGCAGGAAGAGTTGACTGAGTGAAAACTGGAATTGAAATTTGAATATACTTTGTTAGAAGTGTCCTACTGCATCCAAGTGTAGGGTTATTAGGTAGGTATTCTTTTTTTTCTTTCTTTCTTTCTTTTGAGACAGGTCTCACTCTGTTGGCCAGGCTGGAGTGCAGTGGCGTGATCTTGGCTCACTGCAACCTCTGCCTCCCAAGTTCAAGCGATTCTCCTGCTTCAGCCTCCCAAGTAGCTGGGATTACCAGGCGCGTAGCACCACACATGGCTAATTTTTGTATTTTGAGTAGAGACGGGGTTTCACTATGTTGGCCAGGCTGGTCTCGAACTCCTGACCTCAGGTGATCTGCCTGCCTCGGCCTCCCAAAGTGCTGGGATTACAGGCATGAGCCATTGCGCCCGACCCGGGTAGGTATTCTTTTTTTTTTTTTTTTTTTTTTTGAGACGGAGTCTGGCTCTGTCACCCAGGCTGGAGTGCAGTGGCACCATCTCGGCTCACTGCAAGCTCTGCCTCCCGGGTTCACGGCATTCTCCTGCCTCAGCCTCCGGAGTAGCTGGGACTACAGGCACCCGCCACCAAGCCCGGCTAATTTTTTGTATATTTAGTAGAGATGGGGTTTCACCACGTTAGCCAGGATGGTCTCCATCTCCTGACCTCATGATCCACCGGCCTCGGCCTCCCAAAGTTCTGGGATTACAGGCGTGAGCCACTGCGCCCGGCCCCAGGTAGGTATTCATGATGATGGAACCCTGTTTTAACTAAAGCTTGTCTTAGAATTGTAGTAATCTAGCATGGCTTGAGTCTTCATCTGTAATCTAGAAATTTTTTATTTGTAATTCACTACTGTCAAGTAACAAACTCTCTTTCACTAGCTTAGAACCTTCAAAAAATATAACAAATCAGAAATTAACTTTTGAATAAAATATAACCATAGGGTACTTCTTTAATTATTTAACAAATTTAATGTCTTGTCTGATTTTCTTCTAATTTGCCTGTCATCAGTTTAATGATGTTACATGTCTAAAATGCTGTATAAATGTAAAAATTACTATATCTTAACAAAATTATACATGAAAAGGTTAATTTGACCCAACGAATGATAAACACATGCTAATTCAACAGGTTAGAAGAAGGTTTCACCAGTTACTCTTATTGATACAATGATTACTCAGGCCAACTCATATTTTAGTTTTTCTTTTCGAAGTTATTTCTCTGATATTGAGGAGACACTGTAATTTTAAACCAAGAGGGACTATAAAGAGGTGTAATTCATCATTGCCCAAGCTATCCTCAGTGGACATCTTCAAGATGTTAACAGATGTTCCATTAAAAAAATTTAAAGGGTAATGTGGCAAAGTAAGTTTGGGCAATGATAAACCTTCCTCCCTCTGAAAAATCTGTCTGTGAAGAAAGATGTTTTATTCTGTTTGATGTGGAATAATTACATCTCCCATCTCACAACATTCTTTTCCATGGAATACCACAGTAACACTCTGTGGAAGGCCTGAATGGTACCCTGGCACACTAATACTCCACAGGATGCAGAGGTAAGTTAATCTCACAGATGAGGACAGGAAGGCGAGGTGTACTTCTGTGTGCCTTCTCCAGGTTATGGTGTTGGCCCAAGCTAAGCCAAAGCAAAGATTCAGGCCTCCTGGACCCCCGATTCAATAACCTTCTACTGCATAGACAGTAGCATTGTCCGTTTTGACAAATAGCACGGGTGGTGTTGAGTTCCTTTCTTTCTTACATGTTTACATTTCCTTCATTGAGGGAAAGGGAGAATGACTCAGACTCAGCAGGGGCCAAAGCTCCCTGGACCCCAGCTTGCCCCCTCCCACACCCACAGTCCAGGGCTGAGGCTTTTCTGAGCTCCCTGCGTGGAAGGTGGGGAACCCATAGGTGAGGAGCCCACACCGTGTGCTGGGGAGTTCCAGGGGTTCCTGGAGGATCATGGTTACTCTCCTGAGGGCACAGGACATGGAGCAGGGAGAAGGGCTGAATAAGACCCAGATCCAGGTTTGAGATGAAATGTAGAACTGCCATGGAGGTTGTGCACTGCACAGCTGTACACAGTGGTGTGAGAACACCAGGAATTCCAGCTCCCTAGCCGGTGGGACTGGGGATGGTGAAGAAACAGCAGAGAAAACAACCAAGTTCAAAATTGTATGCTCCAGAGCCAGTTAATGCAATAAAAATAAGGGCCATAACTTCGAAGCATTTAGTGAAAGACTGTCCCCATTTAATATTTCAACATCAAAATCACCTTTGGAATAGGTATTTTCACCCCTATTTCACACTTAAGAAAACTGAGGTCCCAAATGATATGCTCTCAGTGTTTTTTTTTTTAACTCTCTCATATCTTATATATTCCATATTGTATTTTTCCACATATTATCTAGTCATAGTAACTATCACTCATTGAGCACTTGCCTTGTGCCAGAAAGAGCGTTATACACTTTGCGTGTATTAGTTCATTTGCTCCCTACAACTACTCTGTAAGGAAAGTACTGATAGTGTTTGCATTTTCAACGTGAGCAAACTGAGGCCCAGAGAGGCTGGCAGCTTACCTAAGATCAAACAGGCAGTAATGGAAGAGCCAAGAATTTAATTCAAACCCCAACACTTATGCAGTGGACTCACATGGCATGGCAATCCAGGCATGGGGAAGCTCCCAGACTTTGCTTATTAACACAAAAATGGAAAATGACTTCATTCAACTGGGACAAGTCATAGGTTGGCATGGTAGGCAGGGGTAAGGTAAGGAGAGGCGTTCACCCTGTCTCCTGTAAACTTGCTTTTTAGTTTGCTCACTTAAAAATGAATTGTTGCTGGATGCGGTGGCTCATGCCTGTAATCCCAGCACTTTGGGAGACCGAGACGGGTGGATCACGAGGTCAGGAGATTGAGACCATCCTGGCTAACACGGTGAAACCCCATCTCTACTAAAAATGCAAAAACAAAATTAGCCGGGTGTGGCGGCGGGCACCTGTAGTCCCAGCTACTCGGGAGGCTGAGGCGGGAGAATTGCGTGAACCCAGGAGGTGGAGCTTGCAGTGAGCCAAGATCACACCACTGCACTCCAGCCTGGGCGACAGAGCAAGACCCCATCTCAAAAAAAAAAAAAAAAAAAGGAATTGTTGACTTTCCTGTTTGAATTGAAGTCAGCAACTACCTTCTCCTTTGTGTCTGCAGTTGGAGGCGGTGGGCTTTCCCGGGATTCCCCAGAGAGCTAATTCATTGCAACATCAGACGGAAGTATGGACTTGGCGAGAGGTTGAAATCTAAATGCAATTTCTTTTTTCTTTACTTTTCTCAATACTCTTCTAATATTTTTTTTAAATTCGAATTTAGCTGCAGACATTGCCAGTTTGCAGAAGCAAGTGTTGGCTGTGATCGTGTCTTTTCTTTGTGTGACACATTCATTAGAAACAAGGGACAACTGGCTGCTGGAAGCAAGGCTATCGTTTATCTTAACAAGTAGGACTCACTAGTACTACTTGTGGTGCAAGTAGGAAATGTGGATGCCTTTTCTTTACCTGATAAAGCGTTTTGCTTCATTTGCTTTTAAAAACTCCTCTCTTTTAGCTCCTATCCATATCTCCTCCTAGCCCAAACCATAAGGCAGCTGCAGAGAACTAACCCTAGAAGATTCCCTTTCTAGTCTAGAATGGGCGTCCCGGTTCAACAGCCACTTTATCCACATAAAGGCAGCATCTAATGTCCAAAGGTGCTCATTGTCTGTGGCTATCTTATTCAAGTTCCTACATGTTGAAGGTGCATAGGGAAACAAAGTGTATTACAAGAATATCCACCAATGTATTAACCATGCATGAAATCAGTCCCTATTTCAACACCCCTCCCAGTTTAACTTTAGGAATGGATCTGTTGCCCTACTTATTGGATATTGATTTCTTGCATGGTTAATACATGCATGAAATGGTTAATGTAGTCATATACACTACAAATGTGTTTTGAAGCAAAGTTGCAAAATTTGCAAAATATCCAGGACTTTATCAAGTGAATGGAGAACTCCCAGAATCAAGCAAAGCCACTGATACGTGAGGATCTAAAATATTTAAACCAGTTAACAACCGAAGAAATGAAAACAAGCAAGGATAATATCATGGAAGGACTTCATAAGAGAATGATTTAAATATGAATCCATTTGAAAAGGCAGGTCATTGAGAACATTGATGAAGCCCTTGAATATGTTTGCAAAAAAAAAATGAGCAACTCTTTTAAAAATCATGTGCAAAAGTTAAGCATTGGGTGAGGAAGTCTTGGCACGCTACCTTTCAGCTTTTTAAGGGGAAATTTTACCTCCCTAAACCTACAAATCAAAATTTGATTTATTCTTTGTTCTAATAATTAAATCATTGTAATTTTAAACTAAATTGTTAAATATAGAATAACATTAATTAGTTTATTTTTCTATTGACTACATGAGTTTAGTCTCTGTTAAGTGGGTTCATGGCTAGTAGCCTGATTGTAGGGTCTAAACCCCTCAGATAATGAGATATCAGGAAGGGGTGTGATGCCTAGAGAAGTCTGTGGACTTGTGGCAGGGTAGATATGGGAACAGAGGGGATACCATCTTCATACATAGGCGCTGACAAAGCAGTCAGCCTACTTCCTGATATCTCTGCTATTCTGGTGGATTCATGGAAATTTAACTCCAGGTGCTTTCCCTGGGAGCTGCTGAGATGACAAACTCAGGAATGTGTAAGTCAAATTGACTCATGTCATCACATATCCACAGGGCCTGGTACTAGCCCTATCCTGGCAGGGACCCTATTACTATCCTTGAGCTCACCAGAAGAATGCAGTCCTCAGAAGGTGATCTCAGTTATTTTGTGGAGAAGGACAATACAGCTTTTTGAAGAAGGAAGAATCCTATTTTTCTATAGATAGAATCCAAATTTTAAATCTATTTCATTATCAACTTGGAAATCAAAGATAACATATAAAGGGTATATTGAAATTTTTTTCTGTTTTCCTTCTTTCCTCCGTCTATTCCTTCCACCCTCCCTGTCTTCCTTTCTTCCCTCCCTTCCCCCCATCTCTTTCTCTCCTTCCTTCTTTTCTTCCTTCTTTCAGATCAAATGGCACAATGACCACAAGATTATGCTAGTCTTCCAAAGGTTAATAAAGAAGTCCTTAAAGGTTGACTTGACATCAGTTTTCAAAATATTTAGGGGACTGTTCATGGAGAGTATGTTCACACCAGTAAATAAGTGGACTTATTCTTATTTTCCAATGAGATAAGAGCACACAAAAAAAGAGCACCAGTGACTTAGAGTTGCTGAAAAAGAAATGTCTCAATAATGACTCATGCTCCTTAATGAAGAGTAAACGAGGAACTAATAGTGCTGGCATTCATACAGTTCTTTTGAATTCACAAATTGCTTCCACATTCACTTCTGTTGTAAACCTATTCCAATCCCATGAGGCGGGACAGGCGGAAATGTTCAGCCATTTGACACACATGGCAGGGGCACACGGGACACAGGAGACTCAGGCTGCCTGTGTGGTGTTGTGTGCCCGACTGCCTGCAGGGTACTCCCAGGTGTGACTCTCTGTCCTCCCAGAAGATCAGGGTTTCCCAATTTCACTAAAGACTGCCCTTTGCCAATGCTGAAATCCTTGTTCTGAATATCGCCTGGTCTTTGCAAGAAGATCCTGGCTGGGTATTTCCTTGTAGCCCATGTGTACCAAGTAACCCTGTGTATGATGGGATTAGTGGTTTCCTGGGTTCCCCCAGCTGAGGCAGGCAGGGTAATCTGAGTAGAAGTACATCTCCTGATTCAGAGAGAAGTCTAAAGGAGCTTCAAGTTCCCAAATATCCTTACTGAATGGGGTGCAGTCCAACCCTTTCCATCACTCCAGCAGGACCTCAACTCCCTGCCAGCCCTAAGGATTTGTAAGTCTACAGATTTACACGGGGGCCACAGGGAAGGACAGACATGCAGAAATGGGATGTGCACTCCTCCTGTGCTTTCAATGCCTAGAAACCGGAATTCTGATTCTGTGACTGAACCAAATGCAATCATTCTGAGCCAGAGTAGGGGGAATGCAAACATCCTACAGCTCAGTTTTCTGGGTGTCTGAGCAAGAGAGAAAGGGAGGGCTCTTCTTTCATAGCACCTGTAGGTGAAGATGACTTGAGAGGTTTTTGAAAAAGTATGGAAGTGATTATCTCAACCAAGAGAATGCTGGAGGAACCACATCCTGGTTTTCTGTTAGGAGCAAGGAGAGACTAAAACAGTCCAAAATTAGCCGTAGATTGTCCCTCCATAACCACCCCAACTAAAGACACTACAGTTTGATTTTATTTATTTTTATTTGTTTTTTTTTTTTATCTTTAAAGATAAGGTCTTGCTATGTTGCCCAGGCTGGTCTTAAACTCCTGGCCTCATGTGATCTTACTGCCTTGGACTCTTAGAGTGCTGGGAGTATGGGTATAAGTCACCACGTCTGGCCTACAGTTTGACTTTAGATTCATGTTAAGATCTTTCAGCTTAAGTAAATTCAAATTTCCTACGACATTTGCTATACTTCTTATGCTGGTCATTTATCTTCATATTTGCTTTCAAATCATTTTTTTGACACTTCCCTTGCTCTGCTCTGTATTGCAGCTATATTTAATGACAGATGTTGAAGAGAGATTGGAGGGTGGCAAGCAGGTAGAAACCAGAGTCTTTTTCCATCTTTGCAGCTCCACAGGCAGTGTGTCTGTGTTTTCCTTCACGCTCCAGCTTTGTTCCAGTTTCTGCAGGACCTGAGCTTTAGTAATACCACCTTCTTTGTCCCTCCAGACAGAGATTGTAGTGGCTTCCTGCAGTTGTATCTCAGGTCTTCCACTACCTCTATGACAAATCCCTTGATTGAATTCCTACTATTCGAATATACAGAGTAGTTTCTTTTTCCCCAGTGAAGCAGCTCGGAGTCCCTGAGTAAGAAGTGGCAGCCAAATGTGATAACTAACGAAGAATCATTTTATAGGCATTGAGACTAAGAAAAAAAGAATTGTTTTCTTTTCTAAAACTTACAGATGGAAGATGACTGCCAGCCTTCTGTAGATGTGAATTCCTGCAGAATAAATGTACTGGGTCGTCATGGATGACCTAGAAAGGAAGGAGCTTCATAAACTCCTCTTGAGTATTTGAAATGAAATAGAAGTCATAACCTCAACGCTATTCTTAGATTACTGGTGGAAACACAAATTCAGAAAAGAATATACCCTATGTCTACCCCACGTGTACTTATCTAGAAAAACTTTTTTCTCATTAGTGTTAGGAAACAAAAACTGGTGCACTAACCACTTTGGTGAGAAGGTTCAGAGATCACAGAAGTTTGTGTAACAGCTCGGGGAGGCATATATAGAGAAGGAAGTAGAGGAGATAAAAATCTTATCACCTAGCCAGGTAAAAAGAGACAAAAAGAGCAGTGGCCAACCAGGATCGTGTGCCTTGGGGGATCTAATATCAGGAAGTATATATACCTGAGTTCAACAGCTACTCTTGTTGAAAATGGGGAAGGATTCACCGAAAAAGGCTGCAGACTTCCATAGGGAGGGAGATACAACTCCAAGAGAAAAAAAAACGGAGAAAGAAAGACTAGGGAAAAGGAAATGAGGCGAGTCTTCTTTTCTTGTTAATGTAGCTGTAGAAGATGGCGCCATTTCTGGCATGGCTCGGTAAATTCCCA